>NC_000017.11:22813679-23113679 GCF_000001405.40 Homo sapiens | reverse complement strand
TCTCAGAAAGCTTCTGTTTAGCTTTTCTGTGAAGATTATCCCGTTTCCAACGAAATCTTCAAAGAGGCCCAAACCTCCACTTGCAGATGCCACAGAAAGAGTGTTTGGAAACTGCTGTTTGAAAAGGAACCTTCAACTCTGTGAGTTGAAGGCAGTCATCACAAACAAGTTTCTGACAATGCTTCTCTCTAGTTTTTACGTGACGATAATTCGTTTTCCACCACAGGCCTGAAAGCTCTCCAAATGTCCACTTGCAGACCCTACGAAAAGCATGTTTCTCATCTGCTCTATGAAAAGCAACGTGAAACTCTGTGAGTTGAACACAAACATCACAGAGAAGTTTCTGAGAATGCTTCTGTTTAGTTTTTATGTGAAGATATTCCCGTTTCCAAAGACATCTTCAAAGAGGACCACATATCCACTTGCAGATTCCACAAAAAGAGAGATTCAAAACCGCTCTATCCATAGGAGGGTTCAACGCTTTGAGTTGAATGCAATCGTCACAGAGAAGTTTCTGAGAAGGCTTCTGTCTAGATTTTATTTGAAGATGTACCCGTTTCGAACGAAGGCCAAAGAGTGGTCCAAATATCCACCTGCAGAACCTACAAAAAGAGTGTTTCAAAGCTGAACTATCAAAGGAAGGTTCAACTCTGGGATTTGAATGCAAACATCACAAAGAATTTTGTGAGAATGCTTCCGTTTAGTTAGGTGCAGTTATCCCGTTTCCAACGAAATCCTCAGAGAGGTCCAAATATCCACTCGCAGATTCTACAGAAAGTGTGTTTCAAACCTTCTCCATCCAAAGGAATGTTCAGCTCTGTGTGTTAAACTCAATCATCACAAAGTATTTTCTGAGAATGCTTCTGTGTAGATTTTATGTGAAGCTCTTCCCTTTACTACCATAGGACTCAAAGCGCTCCAAATCTCCACTAGCCGATTCTACAAGAAGAGTGTTTCCAAACTGCTCTGTCAATAGGAATGCTCCACTCCGTGAGGTGAATGCAATCATCACAAAGTAGTTTCTGAGAAGGCTTCTATCTAGTATTTATGTGGAGATATTTCCTTTTCCACCACAAACCTCACAGCCCTCCCAATGTCCACTTGCAGATTCTAGAAAAAGAGTGTTTCATAGCTGCTCTTTCCGAAGGAAAGTTCAACTCTGGAAGTTGAATACAAACATCACCAAGGAGTTCCTGAGGATGCTTCCGTGTAATTTTTATGTGAAGATGATTCCGTTTCCAACGAAACCTTCAAAGAGGTCTGCATGTCCCCTTGCAGATTCCAGAGAAAGAGAGTTTCAAAACTGCGCTCTCAAAAGGAGTGTTCAACTCTGTGAGTTGAATGCAGTCATCACAGAAAAGTTTCTGAGAATGCTTCTGTCTAGATGTTATGTGAAGATATACCCGTTTCGAACGAAGTCCACAGAGTGGTCCGAATATCCACTTGTAGATCCTGCAAAAAGAGTGTTTCCAACCTGAACTTTCAAAGGAAGGTTCAATTCTGGGATTTGAATGCAAACATCACAAGAAGATTCTGGGACTGCTTCTGTTTACTTAGCTGAAATTATCCCGTTTGCAACGAATTCCTCAGACAGGTCCAAATATCCACTTGCAGATTCTACAGAAAGTGTGTTTCGAAACTACTCCATCCCAAGGAAAGTACTGCTCTGTGAGTTCAACTCAATCATCCCAGAGAATTTTCTGAGAAAGCTTCTGTCTTGTTTTTATAGGAAGTTATTTCCTTTACTACGATAGGCCTCAAAGAAGTGCAGTTATCCACTTGCAGTTTCTACAAAAAGAGTGTTTCAAACCTGAACTATCAAAGAAAGGTTCAACACTGTGGGTTGAATGCAAACATCACGAAGAAGGTTCTGAGAATGCTTCTGTTTAGTTCTGTGCAGTTTATCCCGTTTCCAACGAAATCCTCAGGGAGGCCCAAGTATCCGCTTGCAGATCCTACAGATAGTGTGTTTCCAAACTGCTCCATCCAAAGGAATGTTCAGCCCTGTGAGTTAAACTCAGTCGTCACAAAGAGTTTTCTGAGAATGCTGCTGTCTAGTTTTTATATGAAGCTGTTTCCTTTACTACCGTAGGCCTCAAAGCAGTCCATATCTCCACTTGCAGATTCTACACAACGAGAGTTTCCAAAGTGCTCTCTGAAAGGGAATGTTCACCTCTGTGACTTGAATGCAATCGTCACAAAGTAGTTTCTGAGAATGCATCTATCTAGTTCTTACGGGAAGATAATTCCTTTTCCACCACAGGCCTCAAAGCCCTCCAAATATCCACTTGCAGATTCTAGAAAAAGAGTGTTTCAAAGCTTCTCTCTCAAAAGGAAAGTTCAACTCTGTGAGTTGAAAGCAAACATCACAAAGAAGTTTCTGAGAATGCTTCTGTTTAGCTTTTCTGTGAAGATTATCCCGTTTCCAACGAAATCTTCAAAGAGGCCCAAACATCCACTTGCAGATGCCACAGAAAGAGTGTTTGGAAACTACTGTTTGAAAAGGAACCTGCAACTCTGTGAGTTGAATGCAGTCATCACAAACAAGTTTCTGACAATGCTTTCTCTCTAGTTTTTACGTGACGATAATTCGTTTTCCACCACTGGCCTGAAATCTCTCCAAATGTCCACTTGCAGACCCTACGAAAAGCATGTTTCTCATCTGCTCTATGAAAAGCAACGTGAAACTCTGTGAGTTGAACACAAACATCACAGAGAAGTTTCTGAGAATGCTTCTGTTTAGTTTTTATGTGAAGATATTCCCGTTTCCAAAGACATCTTCAAAGAGGACCACATATCCACTTGCAGATTCCACAAAAAGAGAGATTCAAAACTGCTCTATCCATAGGGAGGGTTCAACGCTTTGAGTTGAATGCAATCGTCACAGAGAAGTTTCTGAGAAGGCTTCTGTCTAGATTTTATTTGAAGATGTACCCGTTTCGAACGAAGGCCAAAGCGTGGTCCAAATATCCCCCTGCAGATCCTACAAAAAGAGTGTTTCAAAGCTGAACTATCAAAGGAAGGTTCAACTCTGGGATTTGAATGCAAACATCACAAAGAATTTTGTGAGAATGCTTCCGTTTAGTTAGGTGCAGTTATCCCGTTTCCAACGAAATCCTCAGAGAGGTCCAAATATCCACTCGCAGATTCTACAGAAAGTGTGTTTCAAACCTTCTCCATCCAAAGGAATGTTCAGCTCTGTGTGTTAAACTCAATCATCACAAAGTATTTTCTGAGAATGCTTCTGTCTAGATTTTATGTGAAGCTCTTCCCTTTACTACCATAGGCCTCAAAGCGCTCCAAATCTCCACTAGGAGATTCTACAACAAGAGTGTTTCCAAACTGCTCTGTCAATAGGAATGCTCCACTCCGTGAGGTGAATGCAATCATCACAAAGTAGTTTCTGAGAAGGCTTCTATCTAGTATTTATGTGGAGATTTTTCCTTTTCCACCACAAACCTCACAGCCCTCCCAAGGTCCACTTGCAGATTCTAGAAAAAGAGTGTTTCATAGCTGCTCTTTCCGAAGGAAAGTTCAACTCTGGAAGTTGAATACAAACATCACCAAGGAGTTCCTGAGGATGCTTCTGTGTAATTTTTATGTGAAGATGATTCCGTTTCCAACGAAACCTTCAAAGAGGTCTGCATGTCCCCTTGCAGATTCCAGAGAAAGAGAGTTTCAAAACTGCGCTCTCAAAAGGAGTGTTCAACTCTGTGAGTTGAATGCAGTCATCACAGAAAAGTTTCTGAGAATGCTTTCTGTCTAGATGTTATGTGAAGATATACCCGTTTCGAACGAAGTCCACAGAGTGGTCCGAATATCCACTTGTAGATCCTGCAAAAAGAGTGTTTCCAACCTGAACTTTCAAAGGAAGGTTCAATTCTGGGATTTGAATGCAACCATCACAAGAAGATTCTGAGACTGCTTCTGTTTACTTAGCTGAAATTATCCCGTTTGCAACGAATTCCTCAGACAGGTCCAAATATCCACTTGCAGATTCTACAGAAAGTGTGTTTCGAAACTACTCCATCCCAAGGAAAGTACTGCTCTCTGAGTTCAACTCAATCATCCCAGAGAATTTTCTGAGAAAGCTTCTGTCTTGTTTTAATAGGAAGTTATTTCCTTTACTACGATAGGCCTCAAAGAAGTGCAGTTATCCACTTGCAGTTTCTACAAAAAGAGTGTTTCAAACCTGAACTATCAAAGAAAGGTTCAACACTGTGGGTTGAATGCAAACATCACGAAGAAGGTTCTGAGAATGCTTCTGTTTAGTTCTGTGCGGTTTATCCCGTTTCCAACGAAATCCTCAGGGAGGCCCAAGTATCCGCTTGCAGATCCTACAGATAGTGTGTTTCCAAACTGCTCCATCCAAAGGAATGTTCAGCCCTGTGAGTTAAACTCAGTCGTCACAAAGAGTTTTCTGAGAATGCTGCTGTCTAATTTTTAAATGAAGCTGTTTCCTTTACTACCATAGGCCTCAAAGCGGTCCATATCTCCACTTGCAGATTCTACACAACGAGAGTTTCCAAAGTGCTCTCTGAAAGGGAATGTTCACCTCTGTGACTTGAATGCAATCGTCACAAAGTAGTTTCTGAGAATGCATCTATCTAGTTCTTACGGGAAGATAATTCCTGTTCCACCTCAGGCCTCAAAGCCCTCCAAATATCCACTTGCAGATTCTCGAAAAAGAGTGTTTCAAAGCTTCTCTCTCAAAAGGAAAGTTCAACTCTGTGAGTTGAAAGCAAACATCACAAAGAAGTTTCTGAGCATGCTTCTGTTTAGCTTTTCTGTGAAGATTATCCCGTTTCCAACGAAATCTTCAAAGAGGCCCAAACCTCCACTTGCAGATGCCACAGAAAGAGTGTTTGGAAACTGCTGTTTGAAAAGGAACCTTCAACTCTGTGTGTTGAATGCAGTCATCACAAACAAGTTTCTGACAATGCTTCTCTCTAGTTTTTACGTGACGATAATTCGTTTTCCACCACAGGCCTGAAAGCTCTCCAAATGTCCACTTGCAGACCCTATGAAAAGCATGTTTCTCATCTGCTCTATGAAAAGCAACGTGAAGCTCTGTGAGTTGAACACAAACATCACAGAGAAGTTTCTGAGAATGCTTCTGTTTAGTTTTTATGTGAAGATATTCCCGTTTCCAAAGACATCTTCAAAGAGGACCACATATCCACTTGCAGATTCCACAAAAAGAGAGATTCAAAACTGCTCTATCCATAGGAGGGTTCAACGCTTTGAGTTGAATGCAATCGTCACAGAGAAGTTTCTGAGAAGGCTTCTGTCTAGATTTTATTTGAAGATGTACCCGTTTCGAACGAAGGCCAAAGAGTGGTCCAAATATCCACCTGCAGATCCTACAAAAAGAGTGTTTCAAAGCTGAACTATCAAAGGAAGGTTCAACTCTGGGATTTGAATGCAAACATCACAAAGAATTTTGTGAGAACGCTTCCGTTTAGTTAGGTGCAGTTATCCCGTTTCCAACGAAATCCTCAGAGAGGTCCAAATATCCACTCACAGATTCTACAGAAAGTGTGTTTCAAACCTTCTCCATCCAAAGGAATGTTCAGCTCTGTGTGTTAAACTCAATCATCACAAAGTATTTTCTGAGAATGCTTCTGTCTAGATTTTATGTGAAGCTCTTCCCTTTACTACCATAGGCCTCAAAGCGCTCCAAATCTCCACTAGCCGATTCTACAACAAGAGTGTTTCCAAACTGCTCTGTCAATAGGAATGCTCCACTCCGTGAGGTGAATGCAATCATCACAAAGTAGTTTCTGAGAAGGCTTCTATCTAGTATTTATGTGGAGATATTTCCTTTTCCACCACAAACCTCACAGCCCTCCAAATGTCCACCTGCAGATTCTAGAAAAAGAGTGTTTCATAGCTGCTCTTTCCGAAGGAAAGTTCAACTCTGGAAGTTGAATACAAACATCACCAAGGAGTTCCTGAGGATGCTTCTGTGTAATTTTTATGTGAAGATGATTCCGTTTCCAATGAAACCTTCAAAGAGGTCTGCATGTCCCCTTGCAGATTCCAGAGAAAGAGAGTTTCAAAACTGCGCTCTCAAAAGGAGTGTTCAACTCTGTGAGTTGAATGCAGTCATCACAGAAAAGTTTCTGAGAATGCTTCTGTCTAGATGTTATGTGAAGATATACCCGTTTCGAACGAAGTCCACAGAGTGGTCCGAATATCCACTTGTAGATCCTGCAAAAAGAGTGTTTCCAACCTGAACTTTCAAAGGAAGGTTCAATTCTGGGATTTGAATGCAAACATCACAAGAAGATTCTGAGACTGCTTCTGTTTACTTAGCTGAAATTATCCCGTTTGCAACGAATTCCTCAGACAGGTCCAAATACCCACTTGCAGATTCTACAGAAAGTGTGTTTCGAAACTACTCCATCCCAAAGAAAGTACTGCTCTGTGAGTTCAACTCAATCATCCCAGAGAATTTTCTGAGAAAGCTTCTGTCTTGTTTTTATAGGAAGTTATTTCCTTTACTACGATAGGCCTCAAAGAAGTGCAGTTATCCACTTGCAGTTTCTACAAAAAGAGTGTTTCAAACCTGAACTATCAAAGAAAGGTTCAACACTGTGGGTTGAATGCAAACATCACGAAGAAGGTTCTGAGAATGCTTCTGTTTAGTTCTGTGCGGTTTATCCCGTTTCCAACGAAATCCTCAGAGAGGCCCAAGTATCCGCTTGCAGATCCTACAGATAGTGTGTTTCCAAACTGCTCCATCCAAAGGAATGTTCAGCCCTGTGAGTTAAACTCAGTCGTCAGAAAGAGTTTTCTGAGAATGCTGCTGTCTAGTTTTTATATGAAGCTGTTTCCTTTACTACCATAGGCCTCAAAGCGGTCCATATCTCCACTTGCAGATTCTACACAACGAGAGTTTCCAAAGTGCTCTCTGAAAGGGAATGTTCACCTCTGTGACTTGAATGCAATCGTCACAATGTAGTTTCTGAGAATGCATCTATCTAGTTCTTACGGGAAGATAATTCCTGTTCCACCTCAGGCCTCAATGCCCTCCAAATATCCACTTGCAGATTCTAGAAAAAGAGTGTTTCAAAGCTTCTCTCTCAAAAGGAAAGTTCAACTCTGTGAGTTGAAAGCAAACATCACAAAGAAGTTTCTGAGCATGCTTCTGTTTAGCTTTTCTGTGAAGATTATCCCGTTTCCAACGAAATCTTCAAAGAGGCCCAAACACCCACTTGCAGATGCCACAGAAAGAGTGTTTGGAAACTGCTGTTTGAAAAGGAACCTTCAACTCTGTGAGTTGAATGCAGTCATCACAAACAAGTTTCTGACAATGCTTCCCTCTAGTTTTTACGTGACGATAATTCGTTTTCCACCACAGGCCTGAAATCTCTCCAAATGTCCACTTGCAGACCCTACGAAAAGCATGTTTCTCATCTGCTCTATGAAAAGCAACGTGAAACTCTGTGAGTTGAACACAAACATCACAGAGAAGTTTCTGAGAATGCTTCTGTTTAGTTTTTATGTGAAGATATTCCCGTTTCCAAAGACATCTTCAAAGAGGACCACACAACCACTTGCAGATTCCACAAAAAGAGAGATTCAAAACTGCTCTATCCATAGGAGGCTTCAACGCTTTGAGTTGAATGCAATCATCACAGAGAAGTTTCTGAGAAGGCTTCTGTCTAGATTTTATTTGAAGATGTACCCTTTTCGAACGAAGGCCAAAGAGTGGTCCAACTATCCACTTGCAGATCCTACAAAAAGGGTGTTTCAAAGCTGAACTATCAAAGGAAGGTTCAACTCTGGGATTTGAATGCAAACATCACAAAGAATTTTGTGAGAATGCTTCCGTTTAGTTAGGTGCAGTTATCCCGTTTCCAACGAAATCCTCAGAGAGGTCCAAATATCCACTCGCAGATTCTACAGAAAGTGTGTTTCAAACCTTCTCCATCCAAAGGAATGTTCAGCTCTGTGTGTTAAACTCAATCATCACAAAGTATTTTCTCAGAATGCTTCTGTCTAGATTTTATGTGAAGCTCTTCCCTTTACTACCATAGGCCTCAAAGCGCTCCAAATCTCCACTAGCCGATTCTACAAGAAGAGTGTTTCCAAACTGCTCTGTCAATAGGAATGCTCCACTCCGTGAGGTGAATGCGATCATCACAAAGTAGTTTCTGAGAAGGCTTCTATCTAGTATTTATGTGGAGATATTTCCTTTTCCACCACAAACCTCACAGCTCTCCCAATGTCCACTTGCAGATTCTAGAAAAAGAGTGTTTCATAGCTGCTCTTTCCGAAGGAAAGTTCAACTCTGGAAGTTGAATACAAACATCACCAAGGAGTTCCTGAGAATGCTTCTGTGTAATTTTTATGTGAAGATGATTCCGTTTCCAACGAAACCTTCAAAGAGGTCTGCATGTCCCCTTGCAGATTCCAGAGAAAGAGAGTTTCAAAACTGCGCTCTCAAAAGGAGTGTTCAACTCTGTGAGTTGAATGCAGTCATCACAGAAAAGTTTCTGAGAATGCTTCTGTGTAGATGTTATGTGAAGATATACCCGTTTCGAACGAAGTCCACAGAGTGGTCCGAATATCCACTTGTAGATCCTGCAAAAAGAGTGTTTCAAACCTGAACTTTCAAAGGAAGGTTCAATTCTGGGATTTGAATGCAAACATCACAAGAAGATTCTGAGACTGCTTCTGTTTACTTTGCTGAAATTATCCCGTTTGCAACGAATTCCTCAGACAGGTCCAAATACCCACTTGCAGATTCTACAGAAAGTGTGTTTCGAAAATACTCCATCCCAAGGAAAGTACTGCTCTGTGAGTTCAACTCAATCATCCCAGAGAATTTTCTGAGAAAGCTTCTGTCTTGTTTTTATAGGAAGTTATTTCCTTTACTACGATAGGCCTCAAAGAAGTGCAGTTATCCACTTGCAGTTTCTACAAAAAGAGTGTTTCAAACCTGAACTATCAAAGAAAGGTTCAACACTGTGGGTTGAATGCAAACATCACGAAGAAGGTTCTGAGAATGCTTCTGTTTAGTTCTGTGCGGTGTATCCCGTTTCCAACGAAATCCTCAGGGAGGCCCAAGTATCCGCTTGCAGATCCTACAGATAGTGTGTTTCCAAACTGCTCCATCCAAAGGAATGTTCAGCCCTGTGAGTTAAACTCAGTCGTCACAAAGAGTTTTCTGAGAATGCTGCTGTCTAGTTTTTATATGAAGCTGTTTCCTTTACTACCATAGGCCTCAAAGCGGTCCATATCTCCACTTGCAGATTCTACACAACGAGAGTTTCCAAAGTGCTCTCTGAAAGGGAATGTTCACTTCTGTGACTTGAATGCAATCGTCACAAAGTAGTTTCTGAGAATGCATCTATCTAGTTCTTACGGGAAGATAATTCCTTTTCCACCTCAGGCCTCAAAGCCCTCCAAATATCCACTTGCAGATTCTAGAAAAAGAGTGTTTCAAAGCTTCTCTCTCAAAAGGAAAGTTCAACTCTGTGAGTTGAAAGCAAACATCACAAAGAAGTTTCTGAGAATGCTTCTGTTTAGCTTTTCTGTGAAGATTATCCCGTTTCCAATGAAATCTTCAAAGAGGCCCAAACATCCACTTGCAGATGCCACAGAAAGAGTGTTTGGAAACTGCTGTTTGAAAAGGAACCTTCAACTCTGTGAGTTGAATGCAGTCATCAAAAACAGGTTTCTGACAATGCTTCTCTCTAGTTTTTACGTGACGATAATTCGTTTTCCACCACAGGCCTGAAATCTCTCCAAATGTCCACTTGCAGACCCTACGAAAAGCATGTTTCTCATCTGCTCTATGAAAAGCAACGTGAAACTCTGTGAGTTGAACACAAACATCACAGAGAAGTTTCTGAGAATGCTTCTGTTTAGTTTTTATGTGAAGATATTCCCGTTTCCAAAGACATCTTCAAAGAGGACCACACAACCACTTGCAGATTCCACAAAAAGAGAGATTCAAAACTGCTCTATCCATAGGAAGGTTCAACGCTATGAGTTGAATGCAATCATCACAGAGAAGTTTCTGAGAAGGCTTCTGTCTAGATTTTATTTGAAGATGTACCCGTTTCGAAGGAAGGCCAAAGACTGGTCCAAATATCCACTTGCAGAACCTACAAAAAGAGTGTTTCAAAGCTGAACTATCAAAGGAAGTTTCAACTCTGGGATTTGAATGCAAACATCACAAAGAATTTTGTGAGAATGCTTCCGTTTAGTTAGGTGCAGTTATCCCGTTTCCAACGAAATCCTCAGAGAGGTCCAAATATCCACTCGCAGATTCTACAGAAAGTGTGTTTCAAACCTTCTCCATCCAAAGGAATGTTCAGCTCTGTGTGTTAAACTCAATCATCACAAAGTATTTTCTGAGAATGCTTCTGTCTAGATTTTATGTGAAGCTCTTCCCTTTACTACCATAGGACTCAAAGCGCTCCAAATCTCCACTAGCCGATTCTACAAGAAGAGTGTTTCCAAACTGCTCTGTCAATAGGAGTGCTCCACTCCGTGAGGTGAATGCAATCATCACAAAGTAGTTTCTGAGAAGGCTTCTATCTAGTATTTATGTGGAGATATTTCCTTTTCCACCACAAACCTCACAGCCCTCCCAATGTCCACTTGCAGATTCTAGAAAAAGAGTGTTTCATAGCTGCTCTTTCCGAAGGAAAGTTCAACTCTGGAAGTTGAATACAAACATCACCAAGGAGTTCCTGAGGATGCTTCTGTGTAATTTTTATGTGAAGATGATTCCGTTTCCAACGAAACCTTCAAAGAGGTCTGCATGTCCCCTTGCAGATTCCAGAGAAAGAGAGTTTCTAAACTGCGCTCTCAAAAGGAGTGTTCCACTCTGTGAGTTGAATGCAGTCATCACAGAAAAGTTTCTGAGAATGCTTCTGTCTAGATGTTATGTGAAGATATACCCGTTTCGAACGAAGTCCACAGAGTGGTCCGAATATCCACTTGTAGACCCTGCAAAAAGAGTGTTTCAAACCTGCACTTTCAAAGGATGGTTCAATTCTGGGATTTGAATGCAAACATCACAAGAAGATTCTGAGACTGCTTCTGTTTACTTAGCTGAAATTATCCCGTTTGCACCGAATTCCTCAGACAGGTCCAAATATCCACTTGCAGATTCTACAGAAAGTGTGTTTCGAAACTACTCCATCCCAAGGAAAGTACTGCTCTGTGAGTTCAACTCAATCATCCCAGAGAATTTTCTGAGAAAGCTTCTGTCTTGTTTTTATAGGAAGTTATTTCCTTTACTACGATAGGCCTCAAAGAAGTGCAGTTATCCACTTGCAGTTTCTACAAAAAGAGTGTTTCAAACCTGAACTATCAAAGAAAGGTTCAACACTGTGGGTTGAATGCAAACATCACGAAGAAGGTTCTGAGAATGCTTCTGTTTAGTTCTGTGCGGTTTATTCCGTTTCCAACGAAATCCTCAGAGAGGCCCAAGTATCCGCTTGCAGATCCTACAGATAGTGTGTTTCCAAACTGCTCCATCCAAAGGAATGTTCAGCCCTGTGAGTTAAACTCAGTCGTCACAAAGAGTTTTCTGAGAATGCTGCTGTCTAGTTTTTATATGAAGCTGTTTCCTTTACTACCATAGGCCTCAAAGCGGTCCATATCTCCACTTGCAGATTCTACACAATGAGAGTTTCCAAAGTGCTCTCTGAAAGGGAATGTTCACCTCTGTGACTTGAATGCAATCGTCACAAAGTAGTTTCTGAGAATGCATCTATCTAGTTCTTACGGGAAGATAATTCCTTTTCCACCTCAGGCCTCAAAGCCCTCCAAATATCCACTTGCAGATTCTAGAAAAAGAGTGTTTCAAAGCTTCTCTCTCAAAAGGAAAGTTCAACTCTGTGAGTTGAAAGCAAACATCACAAAGAAGTTTCTGAGAATGCTTCTGTTTAGCTTTTCTGTGAAGATTATCCCGTTTCCAACGAAATCTTCAAAGAGGCCCAAACATCCACTTGCAGATGCCACAGAAAGAGTGTGTGGAAACTGCTGTATGAAAAGGAACCTTCAACTCTGTGAGTTGAATGCAGTCATCACAAACAAGTTTCTGACAATGCTTCTCTCTAGTTTTTACGTGACGATAATTCGTTTTCCACCACAGGCCTGAAATCTCTCCAAATGTCCACTTGCAGACCCTACGAAAAGCATGTTTCTCATCTGCTCTATGAAAAGCAACGTGAAACTCTGTGAGTTGAACACAAACATCACAGAGAAGTTTCTGAGAATGCTTCTGTTTAGTTTTTATGTGAAGATATTCCCGTTTCCAAAGACATCTTCAAAGAGGACCACATATCCACTTGCAGATTCCACAAAAAGAGAGATTCAAAACTGCTCTATCCATAGGAGGGTTCAACGCTTGGAGTTGAATGCAATCGTCACAGAGAAGTTTCTGAGAAGGCTTCTGTCTAGATTTTATTTGAAGATGTACCCGTTTTGAACGAAGGCCAAAGAGTGGTCCAAATATCCACCTGCAGAGCCTACAAAAAGAGTGTTTCAAAGCTGAACTATCAAAGGAAGGTTCAACTCTGGGATTTGAATGCAAACATCACAAAGAATTTTGTGAGAATGCTTCCGTTTAGTTAGGTGCAGTTATCCCGTTTCCAACGAAATCCTCAGAGAGGTCCAAATATCCACTCGCAGATTCTATAGAAAGTGTGTTTCAAACCTGCTCCATCCAAAGGAATGTTCAGCTCTGTGTGTTAAACTCAATCATCACAAAGTATTTTCTGAGAATGCTTCTGTCTTGATTTTATGTGAAGCTCTTCCCTTTACTACCATAGGCCTCAAAGCGCTCCAAATCTCCACTAGCAGATTCTACAACAAGAGTGTTTCCAAACTGCTCTGTCAATAGGAATGCTCCACTCTGTGAGGTGAATGCAATCATCACAAAGTAGTTTCTGAGAAGGCTTCTATCTAGTATTTATGTGGAGATATTTCCTTTTCCACCACAAACCTCACAGCCCTCCCAATGTCCACTTGCAGATTCTAGAAAAAGAGTGTTTCATAGCTGCTCTTTCCGAAGGAAAGTTCAACTCTGGAAGTTGAATGCAAACATCACCAAGGAGTTCCTGAGGATGCTTCTGTGTAATTTTTATGTGAAGATGATTCCCGTTTCCAACGAAACCTTCAAAGAGGTCTGCATGTCCCCTTGCAGATTCCAGAGAAAGAGAGTTTCAAAACTGCGCTCTCAAAAGGAGTGTTCAACTCTGTGAGTTGAATGCAGTCATCACAGAAAAGTTTCTGAGAATGCTTCTGTCTAGATGTTATGTGAAGATATACCCGTTTCGAGCGAAGTCCACAGAGTGGTCCGAATATCCACTTGTAGATCCTGCAAAAAGAGTGTTTCCAACCTGAACTTTCAAAGGAAGGTTCCATTCTGGGATTTGAATGCAACCATCACAAGAAGATTGCTGAGACTGCTTCTGTTTACTTAGCTGAAATTATCCCGTTTGCAACGAATTCCTCAGACAGGTCCAAATACCCACTTGCAGATTCTACAGAAAGTGTGTTTCGAAACTACTCCATCCCAAGGAAAGTACTGCTCTGTGAGTTCAACTCAATCATCCCAGAGAATTTTCTGAGAAAGCTTTCTGTCTTGTTTTTATAGGAATTTATTTCCTTTATTAAGATAGGCCTCAAAGAAGTGCAGTTATCCACTTGCAGTTTCTACAAAAAGAGTGTTTCAAACCTGAACTATCAAAGAAAGGTTCAACACTGTGGGTTGAATGCAAACATCACGAAGAAGGTTCTGAGAATGCTTCTGTTTAGTTCTGTGCGGTTTATCCCGTTTCCAACGAAATCCTCAGGGAGGCCCAAGTATCCGCTTGCAGATCCTACAGATAGTGTGTTTCCAAACTGCTCCATCCAAAGGAATGTTCAGCCCTGTGAGTTAAACTCAGTCGTCACAAAGAGTTTTCTGAGAATGCTGCTGTCTAGCTTTTATATGAAGCTGTTTCCTTTACTACCATAGGCCTCAAAGCGGTCCATATCTCCACTTGCAGATTCTACACAGCGAGAGTTTCCAAAGTGCTCTCTGAAAGGGAATGTTCACCTCTGTGACTTGAATGCAATCGTCACAAAGAAGTTTCTGAGAATGCATCTATCTAGTTCTTACGGGAAGATAATTCCTGTTCCACCTCAGGCCTCAATGCCCTCCAAATATCCACTTGCAGATTCTAGAAAAAGAGTGTTTCAAAGCTTCTCTCTCAAAAGGAAAGTTCAACTCTGTGAGTTGAAAGCAAACATCACAAAGAAGTTTCTGAGCATGCTTCTGTTTAGCTTTTCTGTGAAGATTATCCCGTTTCCAACGAAATCTTCAAAGAGGCCCAAACATCCACTTGCAGATGCCACAGAAAGAGTGTTTGGAAACTGCTGTTTGAAAAGGAACCTTCAACTCTGTGGGTTGAATGCAGTCATCACAAACAAGTTTCTGACAATGCTTCTCTCTAGTTTTTACGTGACGATAATTCGTTTTCCACCACAGGCCTGAAATCTCTCCAAATGTCCACTTGCAGACCCTACGAAAAGTATGTTTCTCATCTGCTCTATGAAAAGCAACGTGAAACTCTGTGAGTTGAACACAAACATCACAGAGAAGTTTCTGAGAATGCTTCTGTTTAGTTTTTATGTGAAGATATTCCCGTTTCCAAAGACATCTTCAAAGAGGACCACATATCCACTTGCAGATTCCACAAAAAGAGAGATTCAAAACTGCTCTATCCGTATTACGGTTCAACTCTTTTTGTTGAATGCAATCGTCACAGAGAAGTTTCTGAGAAGGCTTCTGTCTAGATTTTATTTGAAGATGTACCCGTTTCGAACGAAGGCCAAAGAGTGGTCCAAATATCCACTTGCAGATCCTACAAAAAGAGTGTTTCAAAGCTGAACTATCAAAGGAAGGTTCAACTCTGGGATTTGAATGCAAACATCACAAAGAATTTTGTGAGAATGCTTCCGTTTAGTTAGGTGCAGTTATCCCGTTTCCAACGAAATCCTCAGAGAGGTCCAAATATCCACTCGCAGATTCTACAGAAAGTGTGTTTCAAACCTTCTCCATCCAAAGGAATGTTCAGCTCTGTGTGTTAAACTCAATCATCACAAAGTATTTTCTGAGAATGCTTCTGTCTAGATTTTATGTGAAGCTCTTCCCTTTACTACCATAGGCCTCAAAGCGCTCCAAATCTCCACTAGCCGATTCTACAACAAGAGTGTTTCCAAACTGCTCTGTCAATAGGAATGCTCCACTCCGTGAGGTGAATGCAATCATCACAAAGGAGTTTCTGAGAAGGCTTCTATCTAGTATTTATGTGGAGATTTTTCCTTTTCCACCACAAACCTCACAGCCCTCCCAAGGTCCACTTGCAGATTCTAGAAAAAGAGTGTTTCATAGCTGCTCTTTCCGAAGGAAAGTTCAACTCTGGAAGTTGAATACAAACATCACCAAGGAGTTCCTGAGGATGCTTCTGTGTAATTTTTATGTGAAGATGATTCCGTTTCCAACGAAACCTTCAAAGAGGTCTGCATGTCCCCTTGCAGATTCCAGAGAAAGAGAGTTTCAAAACTGCGCTCTCAAAAGGAGTGTTCAACTCTGTGAGTTGAATGCAGTCATCACAGAAAAGTTTCTGAGAATGCTTCTGTCTAGATGTTATGTGAAGATATACCCGTTTCGAACGAAGTCCACAGAGTGGTCCGAATATCCCCTTGTAGATCCTGCAAAAAGAGTGTTTCCAACCTGAACTTTCAAAGGAAGGTTTCATTCTGGGATTTGAATGCAAACATCACAAGAAGATTCTGAGACTGCTTCTGTTTACTTAGCTGAAATTATCCCGTTTGCAACGAATTCCTCAGACAGGTCCAAATATCCACTTGCAGATTCTACAGAAAGTGTGTTTCGAAACTACTCCATCCCAAGGAAAGTACTGCTCTGTGAGTTCAACTCAATCATCCCAGAGAATTTTCTGAGAAAGCTTCTGTCTTGTTTTTATAGGAAGTTATTTCCTTTACTACGATAGGCCTCAAAGAAGTGCAGTTATCCACTTGCAGTTTCTACAAAAAGAGTGTTTCAAACCTGAACTATCAAAGAAAGGTTCAACACTGTGGGTTGAATGCAAACATCACGAAGAAGGTTCTGAGAATGCTTCTGTTTAGTTCTGTGCGGTTTATCCCGTTTCCAACGCAATCCTCAGAGAGGCCCAAGTATCCGCTTGCAGATCCTACAGATAGTGTGTTTCCAAACTGCTCCATCCAAAGGAATGTTCAGCCCTGTGAGTTAAACTCAGTCGTCACAAAGAGTTTTCTGAGAATGCTACTGTCTAGTTTTTATATGAAGCTATTTCCTTTACTACCATAGGCCTCAAAGCGGTCCATATCTCAACTTGCAGACGCTACACAACGAGAGTTTCCAAAGTGCTCTGTCAAAGGGAATGTTCAACTCTGTGAGGTGAATGCAATCATCACAAAGTAGTTTCTGAGAATGCTTCTATCTACTATTTATGTGAAGATATTTCTTTTTCCACCACAAACCTCAAAGCCCTCCAAATATCCACTTGCAGATTCTAGAAAAAGAGTGTTTCATAGCTGTTTTTTCCGAAAGAAAGTTCAACTCTGGAAGTTGAATACAAACATCACCAAGGAGATCCTGAGCATGCTTCTGTGTAATTTTTATGTGAAGATGATTCCGTTTCCAACGAAACCTTCAAAGAGGTCTGCATGTCCCCTTGCAGATTCCAGAGAAAGAGAGTTTCAAAACTGCGCTCTCAAAAGGAGTGTTCAACTCTGTGAGTTGAGTGCAGTCATCACAGAAAAGTTTCTGAGAATGCTTCTCTCTAGTTTTTATGTGACGATAATTCGTTTTCCACCACAGGCCTGAAAGCTCTCCAAATGTCCACTTGCAGATATTCCGAAAAGCATGTTTCAGAACTGCTCTATGAAAAGCAATGTGAAACTCTGTGAGTTGAACGCAAACATCACAGAGAAGTTTCTGAGAATGCTTCTGTTTAGTTTTTATGTGAAGATATTCCCGTTTCCAAAGACATCTTCAAAGAGGACCACATATCCACTTGCAGATTCCACAAAAAGAGAGATTCAAAACTGCTCTATCCTTAGGAGGGTTCAACGCTGTGAGTTGAATGCAATCGTCACAGAGAAGTTTCTGAGAAGGCTTCTGTCTAGATTTTATTTGAAGATGTACCCGTTTCGAACGAAGGCCAAAGAGTGGTCCAAATATCCACCAGCAGATCCTACAAAAAGAGTGTTTCAAAGCTGAACTATCAAAGGAAGGTTCAACTCTGGGATTTGAATGCAAACATCACAAAGAATTTTGTGAGAATGCTTCCGTTTAGTTAGGTGCAGTTATCACGTTTCCAACGAAATCCTCAGAGAGGTCCAAATATCCACTCGCAGATTCTACAGAAAGTGTGTTTCAAACCTTCTCCATCCAAAGGAATGTTCAGCTCTGTGTGTTAAACTCAATCATCACAAAGTATTTTCTGAGAATGCTTCTGTCTAGATTTTATGTGAAGCTCTTCCCTTTACTACCATAGGCCTCAAAGCGCTCCAAATCTCCACTAGGAGATTCTACAACAAGAGTGTTTCCAAACTGCTCTGTCAATAGGAGTGCTCCACTCCGTGAGGTGAATGCAATCATCACAAAGGAGTTTCTGAGAAGGCTTCTATCTAGTATTTATGTGGAGATATTTCCTTTTCCACCACAAACCTCACAGCCCTCCAAATGTCCACTTGCAGATTCTAGAAAAAGAGTGTTTCATAGCTGCTCTTTCCGAAGGAAAGTTCAACTCTGGAAGTTGAATACAAACATCACCAAGGAGTTCCTGAGGATGCTTCTGTGTAATTTTTAT
Organism: Homo sapiens; assembly: GCF_000001405.40. Lineage (NCBI taxonomy): Eukaryota > Metazoa > Chordata > Mammalia > Primates > Hominidae > Homo > Homo sapiens. Next base: position 23,095,800 of record NC_000017.11, on the reverse strand, counting down.
GTGAAGATGATTCCGTTTCCAATGAAACCTTCAAAGAGGTCTGCATGTCCCCTTGCAGATTCCAGAGAAAGAGAGTTTCCAAACTGCGCTCTCAAAAGGAGTGTTGAACTCTGTGAGTTGAATGCAGTCATCACAGAAAAGTTTCTGAGAATGCTTCTGTCTAGATGTTATGTGAAGATATACCCGTTTCGAACGAAGTCCACAGAGTGGTCCGAATATCCACTTGTAGATCCTGCAAAAAGAGTGTTTCCAACCTGAACTTTCAAAGGAAGGTTCAGTTCTGGGATTTGAATGCAAACATCACAAGAAGATTCTGAGACTGCTTCTGTTTACTTAGCTGAAATTATCCCGTTTGCAACGAATTCCTCAGACAGGTCCAAATATCCACTTGCAGATTCTACAGAAAGTGTGTTTCGAAACTACTCCATTCCAAGGAAAGTACTGCTCTGTGTGTTCAACTCAATCATCCCAGAGAATTTTCTGAGAAAGCTTCTGTCTTGTTTTTATAGGAAGTTATTTCCTTTACTACGATAGGCCTCAAAGAAGTGCAGTTATCCACTTGCAGTTTCTACAAAAAGAGTGTTTCAAACCTGAACTATCAAAGAAAGGTTCAACACTGTGGGTTGAATGCAAACATCACGAAGAAGGTTCTGAGAATGCTTCTGTTTAGTTCTGTGCGGTGTATCCCGTTTCCAACGAAATCCTCAGGGAGGCCCAAGTATCCGCTTGCAGATCCTACAGATAGTGTGTTTCCAAACTGCTCCATCCAAAGGAATGTTCAGCCCTGTGAGTTAAACTCAGTCGTCACAAAGAGTTTTCTGAGAATGCTGCTGTCTAATTTATATGAAGCTGTTTCCTTTACTACCATAGGCCTCAAAGCGTTCCATATCTCCACTTGCAGATTCTACACAACGAGAGTTTCCAAAGTGCTCTGTGAAAGGGAATGTTCACCTCTGTGACTTGAATGAAATCGTCACAAAGTAGTTTCTGAGAATGCATCTATCTAGTTCTTACGGGAAGATAATTCCTTTTCCACCTCAGGCCTCAAAGCCCTCCAAATATCCACTTGCAGATTCTAGAAAAAGAGTGTTTCAAAGCTTCTCTCTCAAAAGGAAAGTTCAACTCTGTGAGTTGAAATCAAACATCACAAAGAAGTTTCTGAGAATGCTTCTGTTTAGCTTTTCTGTGAAGATTATCCCGTTTCCAACGAAATCTTCAAAGAGGCCCAAACATCCACTTGCAGATGCCACAGAAAGAGTGTTTGGAAACTGCTGTTTGGAAAGGAACCTTCAACTCTGTGAGTTGAATGCAGTCATCACAAACAAGTTTCTGACAAGGCTTCTCTCTAGTTTTTACGTGACGATAATTCGTTTTCCACCACAGGCCGGAAATCTCTCCAAATGTCCACTTGCAGACCCTACGAAAAGCAAGTTTCTCATCTGCTCTATGAATAGCAACGTGAAACTCTGTGAGTTGAACACAAACATCACAGAGAAGTTTCTGAGAATGCTTCTGTTTAGTTTTTATGTGAAGATATTCCCGTTTCCAAAGACATCTTCAAAGAGGACCACATATCCACTTGCAGATTCCACAAAAAGAGAGATTCAAAACTGCTCTATCCATAGGAGGGTTCAACTCTTTGAGTTGAATGCAATCGTCACAGAGAAGTTTCTGAGAAGGCTTCTGTCTAGATTTTATTTGAAGATGTACCCTATTCGAACGAAGGCCAAAGAGTGGTCCAAATATCCACCTGCAGATCCTACAAAAAGAGTGTTTCAAAGCTGAACTATCAAAGGAAGGTTCAACTCTGGGATTTGAATGCAAACATCACAAAGATTTTTGTGAGAATGCTTCCGTTTAGTTAGGTGCAGTTATCCCGTTTCCAACGAAATCCTCCGAGAGGTCCAAATATCCACTCGCAGATTCTACAGAAAGTGTGTTTCAAACCTTCTCCATCCAAAGGAATGTTCAGCTCTGTGTGTTAAACTCAATCATCACAAAGTATTTTCTGAGAATGCTTCTGTCTAGATTTTATGTGAAGCTCTTCCCTTTACCACCATAGGCCTCAAAGCGCTCCAAATCTCCACTAGCCGATTCTACAAGAAGAGTGTTTCCAAACTGCTCTGTCAATAGGAATGCTCCACTCCGTGAGGTGAATGCAATCATCACAAAGTAGTTTCTGAGAAGGCTTCTATCTAGTATTTATGTGGAGATATTTCCTTTTCCACCACAAACCTCACAGCCCTCCCAATGTCCACTTGCAGATTCTAGAAAAAGAGTGTTTCATAGCTGCTCTTTCCGAAGGAAAGTTCAACTCTGGAAGTTGAATACAAACATCACCAAGGAGTTCCTGAGGATGCTTCTGTGTAATTTTTATGTGAAGATGATTCCGTTTCCAACGAAATCTTCAAAGAGGTCTGCATGTCCCCTTGCAGATTCCAGAGATAGAGAGTTTCAAAACTGCGCTCTCAAAAGGAGTGTTCAACTCTGTGAGTTGAATGCAGTCATCACAGAAAAGTTTCTGAGAATGCTTCTGTCTAGATGTTATGTGAAGATATACCCGTTTCGAACGAAGTCCACAGAGTGGTCCGAATATACACTTGTAGATCCTGCAAAAAGAGTGTTTCCAACCTGAACTTTCAAAGGAAGGTTCAATTCTGGGATTTGAATGCAAACATCACAAGAAGATTCTGAGACTGCTTCTGTTTACTTAGCTGAAATTATCCCGTTTGCAACGAATTCCTCAGACAGGTCCAAATATCCACTTGCAGATTGTACAGAAAGTGTGTTTCGAAACTACTCCATCCCAAAGAAAGTACTGCTCTGTGAGTTCAACTCAATCATCCCAGAGAATTTTCTGAGAAAGCTTCTGTCTTGTTTTTATAGGAAGTTATTTCCTTTACTACGATAGGCCTCAAAGAAGTGCAGTTATCCACTTGCAGTTTCTACAAAAAGAGTGTTTCAAACCTGAACTATCAAAGAAAGGTTCAACACTGTGGGTTGAATGCAAACATCACGAAGAAGGTTCTGAGAATGCTTCTGTTTAGTTCTGTGCGGTTTATCCCGTTTCCCACGAAATCCTCAGGGAGGCCCAAGTATCCGCTTGCAGATCCTACAGATAGTGTGTTTCCAAACTGCTCCATCCAAAGGAATGTTCAGCCCTGTGAGTTAAACTCAGTCGTCACAAAGAGTTTTCTGAGAATGCTGCTGTCTAGTTTTTATATGAAGCTGTTTCCTTTACTACCATAGGCCTCAAAGCGGTCCATATCTCCACTTGCAGATTCTACACAACGAGAGTTTCCAAAGTGCTCTCTGAAAGGGAATGTTCACCTCTGTGACTTGAATGCAATCGTCACAAAGTAGTTTCTGAGAATGCATCTATCTAGTATTTATGTGGAGATATTTCCTTTTCCACCACAAACCTCACAGCCCTCCCAATGTCCACTTGCAGATTCTAGAAAAAGAGTGTTTCAAAGCTTCTCTCTCAAAAGGAAAGTTCAACTCTGTGAGTTGAAAGCAAACATCACAAAGAAGTTTCTGAGAATGCTTCTGTTTAGCTTTTCTGTGAAGATTATCCCGTTTCCAACGAAATCTTCAAAGAGGCCCAAACATCCACTTGCAGATGCCACAGAAAGAGTGTTTGGAAACTTCTGTTTGAAAAGGAACCTTCAACTCTGTGAGTTGAATGCAGTCATCACAAACAAGTTTCTGACAATGCTTCTCTCTAGTTTTTACGTGACGATAATTCGTTTTCCACCACAGGCCTGAAAGCTCTCCAAATGTCCACTTGCAGACCCTACGAAAAGCATGTTTCTCATCTGCTCTATGAAAAGCAACGTGAAACTCTGTGAGTTGAACACAAACATCACAGAGAAGTTTCTGAGAATGCTTCTGTTTAGTTTTTATGTGAAGATATTCCCGTTTCCAAAGACATCTTCAAAGAGGACCACATATCCACTTGCAGATTCCACAAAAAGAGAGATTCAAAACTGCTCCATCCATAGGAGGGTTCAACTCTCTGAGTTGAATGCAATCGTCACAGAGAAGTTTCTGAGAAGGCTTCTGTCTAGATTTTATTTGAAGATGTACCCGTTTCGAACGAAGGCCAAAGAGTGGTCCAAATATCCACTTTCAGATCCTCCAAAAAGAGTGTTTCAAAGCTGAACTATCAAAGGAAGGGTCAACTCTGGGATTTGAATGCAAACATCACAAAGAATTTTGTGAGAATGCTTCCGTTTATTTAGGTGCAGTTATCCCGTTTCCAACGAAATCCTCAGAGAGTTCCAAATATCCACTCGCAGATTCTACAGAAAGTGTGTTTCAAACCTTCTCCATCCAAAGGAATGTGCAGCTCTGTGTGTTAAACTCAATCATCACAAAGTATTTTCTGAGAATGCTTCTGTCTAGATTTTATGTGAAGCTCTTCCCTTTACTACCATAGGCCTCAAAGCGCTCCAAATCTCCACTAGCAGATTCTACAACAAGAGTGTTTCCAAACTGCTCTGTCAATAGGAATGCTCCACTCCGTGAGGTGAATGCGATCATCACAAAGTAGTTTCTGAGAAGGCTTCTATCTAGTATTTACGTGGAGATATTTCCTTTTCCACCACAAACCTCACAGCCCTCCCAATGTCCACTTGCAGATTCTAGAAAAAGAGTGTTTCATAGCTGCTCTTTCCGAAGGAAACTTCAACTCTGGAAGTTGAATACAAACATCACCAAGGAGTTCCTGAGAATGCTTCTGTGTAATTTTTATGTGAAGATGATTCCGTTTCCAACGAAAACTTCAAAGAGGTCTGCATGTCCCCTTGCAGATTCCAGAGAAAGAGAGTTTCAAATCTGCGCTCTCAAAAGGAGTGTTCAACTCTGTGAGTTGAATGCAGTCATCACAGAAAAGTTTCTGAGAATGCTTCTGTCTAGATGTTATGTGAAGATATACCCGTTTCGAACGAAGTCCACAGAGTGGTCCGAATATCCACTTGTAGATCCTGCAAAAAGAGTGTTTCCAACCTGAACTTTCAAAGGAAGGTTCAGTTCTGGGATTTGAATGCAAACATCACAAGAAGATTCTGAGACTGCTTCTGTTTACTTATCTGAAATTATCCCGTTTGCAACGAATTCCTCAGACAGGTCCAAATATCCACTTGCAGATTCTACAGAAAGTGTGTTTCGATACTATTCCATCCCAAGGAAAGTACTGCTCTGTGAGTTCAACTCAATCATCGCAGAGAATTTTCTGAGAAAGCTTCTGTCTTGTTTTTATAGGAAGTTATTTCCTTTACTACGATAGGCCTCAAAGAAGTGCAGTTATCCACTTGCAGTTTCTACAAAAAGAGTGTTTCAAACCTGAACTATCAAAGAAAGGTTCAACACTGTGGGTTGAATGCAAACATCACGAAGAAGGTTCTGAGAATGCTTCTGTTTCGTTCTGTGCGGTTTATCCCGTTTCCAACGCAATCCTCAGAGAGGCCCAAGTATCCGCTTGCAGATCCTACAGATAGTGTGTTTCCAAACTGCTCCATCCAAAGGAATGTTCAGCCCTGTGAGTTAAACTCAGTCGTCACAAAGAGTTTTCTGAGAATGCTGCTGTCTAGTTTTTATATGAAGCTGTTTCCTTTACTACCATAGGCCTCAAAGCGGTCCATATCTCCACTTGCAGATTCTACACAACGAGGGTTTCCAAAGTGCTCTCTGAAAGGGAATGTTCACCTCTGTGACTTGAATGCAATCGACACAAAGTAGTTTCTGAGAATGCATCTATCTAGTTTTAACGGGAAGATAATTCCTTTTCCACCACAGGCCTCAAAGCCCTCCAAATATCCACTTGCAGATTCTAGAAAAAGAGTGTTTCAAAGCTTCTCTCTCAAAAGGAAAGTTCAACTCTGTGAGTTGAAAGCAAACATCACAAAGAAGTTTCTGAGAATGCTTCTGTTTAGCTTTTCTGTGAAGATTATCCCGTTTCCAACGAAATCTTCAAAGAGGCCCAAACATCCACTTGCAGATGCCACAGAAAGAGTGTTTGGAAACTGCTGTTTGAAAAGGAACCTTCAACTCTGTGAGTTGAATGCAATCATCACAAACAAGTTTCTGACAATGCTTCTCTCTAGTTTTTACGTGACGATAATTCGTTTTCCACCACAGGCCTGAAATCTCTCCAAATGTCCACTTGCAGACCCTACGAAAAGCATGTTTCTCATCTGCTCTATGAAAAGCAACGTGAAACTCTGTGAGTTGAACACAAACATCACAGAGAAGTTTCTGAGAATGCTTCTGTTTAGTTTTTATGTGAAGATATTCCCGTTTCCAAAGACATCTTCAAAGAGGACCACATATCCACTTGCAGATTCCACAAAAAGAGAGATTCAAAACAGCTCTATCCATAGGAGGGTTCAACGCTTTGAGTTGAATGCAATCGTCACAGAGAAGTTTCTGAGAAGGCTTCTGTCTAGATTTTATTTGAAGATGTACCCGTTTCGAACGAAGGCCAAAGAGTGGTCCAAATATCCACCAGCAGATCCTACAAAAAGAGTGTTTCAAAGCTGAACTATCAAAGGAAGGGTCAACTCTGGGATTTGAATGCAAACATCACAAAGAATTTTGTGAGAATGCTTCCGTTTAGTTAGGTGCAGTTATCCCGTTTCCAACGAAATCCTCAGAGAGGTCCAAATATCCACTCGCAGATTCTATAGAAAGTGTGTTTCAAACCTTCTCCATCCAAAGGAATGTTCAGCTCTGTGTGTTAAACTCAATCATCACAAAGTATTTTCTGAGAATGCTTCTGTCTAGATTTTATGTGAAGCTCTTCCCTTTACTACCATAGGCCTCAAAGCGCTCCAAATCTCCACTAGCAGATTCTACAACAAGAGTGTTTCCAAACTGCTCTGTCAATAGGAATGCTCCACTCCGTGAGGTGAATGCAATCATCACAAAGTAGTTTCTGAGAAGGCTTCTATCTAGTATTTATGTGGAGATATTTCCTTTTCCACCACAAACCTCACAGCCCTCCCAATGTCCACTTGCAGATTCTAGAAAAAGAGTGTTTCAAAGCTTCTCTCTCAAAAGGAAAGTTCAACTCTGTGAGTTGAAAGCAAACATCACAAAGAAGTTTCTGAGAATGCTTCTGTTTAGCTTTTCTGTGAAGATTATCCCGTTTCCAACGAAATCTTCAAAGAGGCCCAAACATCCACTTGCAGATGCCACAGAAAGAGTGTTTGGAAACTGCTGTTTGAAAAGGAACCTTCAACTCTGTGAGTTGAATGCAGTCATCACAAACAAGTTTCTGACAATGCTTCTCTCTAGTTTTTACGTGACGATAATTCGTTTTCCACCACAGGCCTGAAAGCTCTCCAAATGTCCACTTGCAGACCCTACGAAAAGCATGTTTCTCATCTGCTCTATGAAAAGCAACGTGAAACTCTGTGATTTGAACACAAACATCACAGAGAAGTTTCTGAGAATGCTTCTGTTTAGTTTTTATGTGAAGATATTCCCGTTTCCAAAGACATCTTCAAAGAGGACCACATATCCACTTGCAGATTCCACAAAAAGAGAGATTCAAAACTGCTCTATCCATAGGAGGGTTCAACGCTTTGAGTTGAATGCAATCGTCACAGAGAAGTTTCTGAGAAGGCTTCTGTCTAGATTTTATTTGAAGATGTACCCTTTTCGAACGAAGGCCAAAGAGTGGTCCAAATATCCACCTGCAGATCCTACAAAAAGAGTGTTTCAAAACTGAACTATCAAAGGAAGGTTCAACTCTGGGATTTGAATGCAAACATCACAAAGAATTTTGTGAGAATGCTTCCGTTTAGTTAGGTGCAGTTATCCCGTTTCCAACGAAATCCTCAGAGAGGTCCAAATATCCACTCGCAGATTCTACAGAAAGTGTGTTTCAAACCTTCTCCATCCAAAGGAATGTTCAGCTCTGTGTGTTAAACTCAATCATCACAAAGTATTTTCTGAGAATGCTTCTGTCTAGATTTTATGTGAAGCTCTTCCCTTTACTACCATAGGCCTCAAAGCGCTCCAACTCTCCACTAGCCGATTCTACAAGAAGAGTGTTTCCAAACTGCTCTGTCAATAGGAATGCTCCACTCCGTGAGGTGAATGCAGTCATCACAAAGTAGTTTCTGAGAAGGCTTCTATCTAGTATTTATGTGGAGATATTTCCTTTTCCACCACAAACCTCACAGCCCTCCCAATGTCCACTTGCAGATTCTAGAAAAAGAGTGTTTCATAGCTGCTCTTTCCGAAGGAAAGTTCAACTCTGGAAGTTGAATACAAACATCACCAAGGAGTTCCTGAGGAGGCTTCTGTGTAATTTTTATGTGAAGATGATTCCGTTTCCAACGAAACCTTCAAAGAGGTCTGCATGTCCCCTTGCAGATTCCAGAGAAAGAGAGTTTCAAAACTGCGCTCTCAAAAGGAGTGTTCAACTCTGTGAGTTGAATGCAGTCATCACAGAAAAGTTTCTGAGAATGCTTCTGTCTAGATGTTATGTGAAGATATAGCCGTTTCGAACGAAGTCCACAGAGTGGTCCGAATATCCACTTGTAGATCCTGCAAAAAGAGTGTTTCCAACCTGAACTTTCAAAGGAAGGTTCAATTCTGGGATTTGAATGCAAACATCACAAGAAGATTCTGAGACTGCTTCTGTTTACTTAGCTGAAATTATCCCGTTTGCAACGAATTCCTCAGACAGGTCCAAATATCCACTTGCAGATTCTACAGAAAGTGTGTTTCGAAACTACTCCATCCCAAGGAAAGTACTGCTCTGTGAGTTCAACACAATCATCCCAGAGATTTTTCTGAGAAAGCTTCTGTCTTGTTTTTATAGGAAGTTATTTCCTTTACTACGATAGGCCTCAAAGAAGTGCAGTTATCCACTTGCAGTTTCTACAAAAAGAGTGTTTCAAACCTGAACTATCAAAGAAAGGTTCAACACTGTGGGTTGAATGCAAACATCACGAAGAAGGTTCTGAGAATGCTTCTGTTTAGTTCTGTGCGGTTTATCCCGTTTCCCACGAAATCCTCAGGGAGGCCCAAGTATCCGCTTGCAGATCCTACAGATAGTGTGTTTCCAAACTGCTCCATCCAAAGGAATGTTCAGCCCTGTGAGTTAAACTCAGTCGTCACAAAGAGTTTTCTGAGAATGCTGCTGTCTAGTTTTTACATGAAGCTGTTTCCTTTACTACCATAGGCCTCAAAGCGGTCCATATCTCCACTTGCAGATTCTACACAACGAGAGTTTCCAAAGTGCTCTCTGAAAGGGAATGTTCACCTCTGTGACTTGAATGCAATCGTCACAAAGTACTTTCTGAGAATGCATCTATCTAGTTCTTACGGGAATATAATTCCTTTTCCACCTCAGGCCTCAAAGGCCTCCAAATATCCACTTGCAGATTCTAGAAAAAGAGTGTTTCAAAGCTTCTCTCTCAAAAGGAAAGTTCAACTCTGTGAGTTGAAAGCAAACATCACAAAGAAGTTTCTGAGAATGCTTCTGTTTAGCTTTTCTGTGAAGATTATCCCGTTTCCAACGAAATCTTCAAAGAGGCCCAAACATCCACTTGCAGATGCCACAGAAAGAGTGTTTGGAAACTGCTGTTTGAAAAGGAACCTTCAACTCTGTGAGTTGAATGCAGTCATCACAAACAAGTTTCTGACAATGCTTCTCTCTAGTTTTTACGTGACGATAATTCGTTTTCCACCACAGGCCGGAAATCTCTCCAAATGTCCACTTGCAGACCCTACGAAAAGCATGTTTCTCATCTGCTCTATGAAAAGCAACGTGAAACTCTGTGAGTTGAACACAAACATCACAGAGAAGTTTCTGAGAATGCTTCTGTTTAGTTTTTATGTGAAGATATTCCCGTTTCCAAAGACATCTTCAATGAGGACCACATATCCACTTGCAGATTCCACAAAAAGAGAGATTCAAAACTGCTCTATCCATAGGAGGGTTCAACGCTTTGAGTTGAATGCAATCGTCACAGAGAAGTTTCTGAGAAGGCTTCTGTCTAGATTTTATTTGAATATGTACCCGTTTCGAACGAAGGCCAAAGGGTGGTCCAAATATCCACTTGCAGATCCTACAAAAAGAGTGTTTCAAAGCTGAACTATCAAAGGAAGGTTCAACTCTGGGATTTGAATGCAAACATCACAAAGAATTTTGTGAGAATGCTTCCGTTTAGTTAGGTGCAGTTATCCCGTTTCCAACGAAATCCTCAGAGAGGTCCAAATATCCACTCGCAGATTCTACAGAAAGTGTGTTTCAAACCTTCTCCCTCCAAAGGAATGTTCAGCTCTATGTGTTAAACACAATCATCACAAAGAATTTTCTGAGAATGCTTGTGTCTAGATTTTATGTGAAGCTCTTCCCTTTACTACCATAGGCCTCAAAGCACTCCAAATCTCCACTAGCAGATTCTACAACAAGAGTGTTTCCAAACTGCTCTGTCAATAGGAATGCTCCACTCCGTGAGGTGAATACAATCATCACAAAGTAGTTTCTGAGAAGTCTTCTATCTAGTATTTATGTGGAGATATTTCCTTTTCCACAACAAACCTCACAGCCCTCCCAATGTCCACTTGCAGATTCTAGAAAAAGAGTGTTTCATAGCTGCTCTTTCCGAAGGAAAGTTCAACTCTGGAAGTTGAATACAAACATCACCAAGGAGTTCCTGAGGATGCTTCTGTGTAATTTTTATGTGAAGATGATTCCGTTTCCAACGAAACCTTCAAAGAGGTCTGCATGTCCCCTTGCAGATTCCAGAGAAAGAGAGTTTCAAAACTGCGCTCTCAAAAGGAGTGTTCAACTCTGTGAGTTGAATGCAGTCATCACAGAAAAGTTTCTGAGAATGCTTCTGTCTAGATGTTATGTGAAGATATACCCGTTTCGAACGAAGTCCACAGAGTGGTCCGAATATCCACTTGTAGATCCTGCAAAAAGAGTGTTTCCAACATGAACTTTTAAAGGAAGGTTCAATTCTGGGATTTGAATGGAAACATCACAAGAAGATTCTGAGACTGCTTCTGTTTACTTAGCTGAAATTATCCCGTTTGCAACGAATTCCTCAGACAGGTCCAAATATCCACTTGCAGATTCTACAGAAAGTGTGTTTCGAAACTACTCCATCCCAAGGAAAGTACTGCTCTGTGAGTTCAACTCAATCATCCCAGAGAATTTTCTGAGAAAGCTTCTGTCTTGTTTTTATAGGAAGTTATTTCCTTTACTACGATAGGCCTCAAAGAAGTGCAGTTATCCACTTGCAGTTTCTACAGAAAGAGTGTTTCAAACCTGAACTATCAAAGAAAGGTTCAACACTGTGGGTTGAATGCAAACATCACGAAGAAGGTTCTGAGAATGCTTCTGTTTAGTTCTGTGCGGTTTATCCCGTTTCCAACGAAATCCTCACAGAGGCCCAAGTATCCGCTTGCAGATCCTACAGATAGTGTGTTTCCAAACTGCTCCATCCAAAGGAATGTTCAGCCCTGTGAGTTAAACTCAGTCGTCACAAAGAGTTTTCTGAGAATGCTGCTGTCTAGTTTTTATATGAAGCTGTTTCCTTTACTACCATAGGCCTCAAAGCGGTCCATATCTAAACTTGCAGATTCTACACAACGAGAGTTTCCAAAGTGCTCTGTGAAAGGGAATGTTCACCTCTGTGACTTGAATGTAATCGCCACAAAGTAGTTTCTGAGAATGCATCTATCTAGTTCTTACGGGAAGATAATTCCTTTTCCACCTCAGGCCTCAAAGCCCTCCAAATATCCACTTGCAGATTCTAGAAAAAGAGTGTTTCAAAGCTTCTCTCTCAAAAGGAAAGTTCAACTCTGTGAGTTGAAAGCAAACATCACAAAGAAGTTTCTGAGAATGCTTCTGTTTAGCTTTTCTGTGAAGATTATCCCGTTTCCAACGAAATCTTCAAAGAGGCCCAAACATCCACTTGCAGATGCCACAGAAAGAGTGTTTGGAAACTGCTGTTTGAAAAGGAACCTTCAACTCTGTGAGTTGAATGCAGTCATCACAAACAAGTTTCTGACAATGCTTCTCTCTAGTTTTTACGTGACGATAATTCGTTTTCCACCACAGGCCTGAAAGCTCTCCAAATGTCCACTTGCAGACCCTACGAAAAGCATGTTTCTCATCTGCTCTATGAAAAGCAACGTGAAACTCTGTGAGTTGAACACAAACATCACAGAGAAGTTTCTGAGAATGCTTCTGTTTAGTTTTTCTGTGAAGATATTCCCGTTTCCAAAGACATCTTCAAAGAGGACCACACATCCACTTGAAGATTCCACAAAAAGAGAGATTCAAAACTGCTCTATCCATAGGAGGGTTCAACGCTTTGAGTTGAATGCAATCGTCACAGAGAAGTTACTGAGAAGGCTTCTGTCTAGATTTTATTTGAAGATGTACCCGTTTCGAACGAAGGCCAAAGAGTGGTCCAAATATCCACCTGCAGATCCTACAAAAAGAGTGTTTCAAAGCTGAACTATCAAAGGAAGGTTCAACTCTGGGATTTGAATGCAAACATCACGAAGAATTTTGTGAGAATGCTTCCGTTTAGTTAGGTGCAGTTATCCCGTTTCCAACGAAATCCTCAGAGAGGTCCAAATATCCACTCGCAGATTCTACAGAAAGTGTGTTTCAAACCTTCTCCATCCAAAGGAATGTTCAGCTCTGTGTGTTAAACTCAATCATCACAAAGTATTTTCTGAGAATGCTTCTGTCTAGATTTTATGTGAAGCTCTTCCCTTTACTACCATAGGCCTCAAAGCGCTCCAAATCTCCACTAGCAGATTCTACAACAAGAGTGTTTCCAAACTGCTCTGTCAATAGGAATGCTCAACTCTGTGAGGTGAATGCAATCATCACAAAGTAGTTTCTGAGAAGGCTTCTATCTAGTATTTATGTGGAGATATTTCCTTTTCCACCACAAACCTCACAGCCTTCCCAATGTCCACTTGCAGATTCTAGAAAAAGAGTGTTTCATAGCTGCTCTTTCCGAAGGAAAGTTCAACTCTGGAAGTTGAATACAAACATCACCAAGGAGTTCCTGAGGATGCTTCTGTGTAATTTTTATGTGAAGATGATTCCGTTTCCAACGAAACCTTCAAAGAGGTCTGCATGTCCCCTTGCAGATTCCAGAGAAAGAGAGTTTCAAAACTGCGCTCTCAAAAGGAGTGTTCCACTCTGTGAGTTGAATGCAGTCATCACAGAAAAGTTTCTGAGAATGCTTCTGTCTAGATGTTATGTGAAGATATATCCGTTTCGAATGAAGTCCACAGAGTGGTCCGAATATCCACTTGCAGATCCTGCAAAAAGAGTGTTTCCAACCTGAACTTTCAAAGGAAGGTTCAATTCTGGGATTTGAATGCAACCATCACAAGAAGATTCTGAGACTGCTTCTGTTTACTTAGCTGAAATTATCCCGTTTGCAACGAATTCCTCAGACAGGTCCAAATATCCACTTGCAGACTCTACAGAAAGTGTGTTTCGAAACTACTCCATCCCAAGGAAAGTACTGCTCTGTGAGTTCAACTCAATCATCCCAGAGAAGTTTCTGAGAAAGCTTCTGTCTTGTTTTTATAGGAAGTTATTTCCTTTACTACGATAGGCCTCAAAGAAGTGCAGTTATCCACTTGCAGTTTCTACAAAAAGAGTGTTTCAAACCTGAACTATCAAAGAAAGGTTCAACACTGTGGGTTGAATGCAAACATCACGAAGAAGGTTCTGAGAATGCTTCTGTTTAGTTCTGAGCGGTTTATCCCGTTTCCAACGAAATCCTCAGAGAGGCCCAAGTATCCGCTTGCAGATCCTACAGATAGTGTGTTTCCAAACTGCTCCATCCAAAGGAATGTTCAGCCCTGTGAGTTAAACTCAGTTGTCACAAAGAGTTTTCTGAGAATGCTGCTGTCTAGTTTTTATATGAAGCTGTTTCCTTTACTACCATAGGCCTCAAAGCGGTCCATATCTCCACTTGCAGATTCTACACAACGAGAGTTTCCAAAGTGCTCTCTGAAAGGGAATGTTCACCTCTGTGACTTGAATGCAATCGTCACAAAGTAGTTTCTGAGAATGCATCTATCTAGTTCTTACAGGAAGATAATTCCTTTTCCACCTCAGGCCTCAAAGCCCTCCAAATATCCACTTGCAGATTCTAGAAAAAGAGTGTTTCAAAGCTTCTCTGTCAAAAGGAAAGTTCAACTCTATGAGTTGAAAGCAAACATCACAAAGAAGTTTCTGAGAATGCTTCTGTTTAGCTTTTCTGTGAAGATTATCCCGTTTCCAACGAAATCTTCAAAGAGGCCCAAACATCCACTTGCAGATGCCACAGAAAGAGTGTTTGGAAACTGCTGTTTGAAAAGGAACCTTCAACTCTGTGAGTTGAATGCAGTCATCACAAACAAGTTTCTGACAATGCTTCTCTCTAGTTTTTACGTGACGATAATTCGTTTTCCACCACAGGCCTGAAAGCTCTCCAAATGTCCACTTGCAGACCCTACGAAAAGCATGTTTCTCATCTGCTCTATGAAAAGCAACGTGAAACTCTGTGAGTTGAACACAAACATCACAGAGAAGTTTCTGAGAATGCTTCTGTTTAGTTTTTATGTGAAGATATTCCCGTTTCCAAAGACATCTTCAAAGAGGACCACATATCCACTTGCAGATTCCACAAAAAGAGAGATTCAAAACTGCTCTATCCATAGGAGGGCTCAACGCTTTGAGTTGACTGCAATCATCCCAGAGAAGTTTCTGAGAAGGCTTCTGTCTAGATTTTATTTGAAGATGTACCCTTTTCGAACGAAGGCCAAAGAGTGGTCCAAATATCCACCAGCAGATCCTACAAAAAGAGTGTTTCAAAGCTGAACTATCAAAGGAAGGTTCAACTCTGGGATTTGAATGCAAACATCACAAAGAATTTTGTGAGAATGCTTCCGTTTAGTTAGGTGCAGTTATCCCGTTTCCAACGAAATCCTCAGAGAGGTCCAAATATCCACTCGCAGATTCTACAGAAAGTGTGTTTCAAACCTTCTCCATCCAAAGGAATGTTCAGCTCTGTGTGTTAAACTCAATCATCACAAAGTATTTTCTGAGAATGCTTCTGTCTAGATTTTATGTGAAGCTCTTCCTTTTACTACCATAGGTCTCAAAGCGCTCCAAATCTCCACTAGCAGATTCTACAACAAGAGTGTTTCCAACTGCTCTGTCAATAGGAATGCTCCACTCCGTGAGGTGAATGCAATCATCACAAAGTAGTTTCTGAGAAGGCTTCTATCTAGTATTTATGTGGAGATATTTCCTTTTCCACCACAAACCTCACAGCCCTCCCAATGTCCACTTGCAGATTCTAGAAAAAGAGTGTTTCATAGCTGCTCTTTCCGAAGGAAAGTTCAACTCTGGAAGTTGAATACAAACATCACCAAGGAGTTCCTGAAGATGCTTCTGTGTAATTTTTATGTGAAGATGATTCTGTTTCCAATGAAACCTTCAAAGAGGTCTGCATGTCCCCTTGCAGATTCCAGAGAAAGAGAGTTTCAAAACTGCGCTCTCAAAAGGAGTGTTCAACTCTGTGAGTTGAATGCAGTCATCACAGAAAAGTTTCTGAGAATGCTTCTGTCTAGATGTTATGTGAAGATATACCCGTTTCGAACGAAGGCCACAGAGTGGTCCAAATATCCACTTGTAGATACTGCAAAAAGAGAGTTTCAAACCTGAACTTTCAAAGGAAGGTTCAATTCTGGGATTCGAATGCAAACATCACAAAGAAGATTCGGAGATTGCTTCTGTTTACTTAGCTGAAATTATCCCGTTTGCAACGAATTCCTCAGACAGGTCCAAATATCCACTTGCAGATTCTACAGAAAGTGTGTTTCGAAACTACTCCATCCCAAGGAAAGTACTGCTCTGTGAGTTCAACTCAATCATCCCAGAGAATTTTCTGAGAAAGCTTCTGTCTTGTTTTTATAGGAAGTTATTTCCTTTACTACGATAGGCCTCAAAGAAGTGCAGTTATCCACTTGCAGTTTCTACAAAAAGAGTGTTTCAAACCTGAACTATCAAAGAAAGGTTCAACACTGTGGGTTGAATGCAAACGTCACGAAGGAGGTTCTGAGAATGCTTCTGTTTAGTTCTGTGCGGTGTATCCCGTTTCCAACGAAATCCTCAGGGAGGCCCAAGTATCCGCTTGCAGATCCTACAGATAGTGTGTTTCCAAACTGCTCCATCCAAAGGAATGTTCAGCCCTGTGAGTTAAACTCAGTCGTCACAAAGGGTTTTCTGAGAATGCTGCTGTCTAGTTTTTATATGAAGCTGTTTCCTTTACTACCATAGGCCTCAAAGCGGTCCATATCTCCACTTGCAGATTCTACACAACGAGAGTTTCCAAAGTGCTCTCTGAAAGGGAATGTTCACCTCTGTGACTTGAATGCAATCGTCACAAAGTAGTTTCTGAGAATGCATCTATCTAGTTCTTACGGGAAGATAATTCCTGTTCCACCTCAGGCCTCAAAGCTCTCCAAATATCCACTTGCAGATTCTAGAAAAAGAGTGTTTCAAAGCTTCTCTCTCAAAAGGAAAGTTCAACTCTGTGAGTTGAAAGCAAACATCACAAAGAAGTTTCTGAGCATGCTTCTGTTTAGCTTTTCTGTGAAGATTATCCCGTTTCCAACGAAATCTTCAAAGAGGCCCAAACATCCACTTGCAGATGCCTCAGAAAGAGTGTTTGGAAACTGCTGTTTGAAAAGGAACCTTCAACTCTGTGAGTTGAATGCAGTCATCACAAACAAGTTTCTGACAATGCTTCTCTCTAGTTTTTACGTGACGATAATTCGTTTTCGACCACAGGCCTGAAAGCTCTCCAAATGTCCACTTGCAGACCCTACGAAAAGCATGTTTCTCATCTGCTCTATGAAAAGCAACGTGAAACTCTGTGAGTTGAACACAAACATCACAGAGAAGTTTCTGAGAATGCTTCTGTTTAGTTTTTATGTGAAGATATTCCCGTTTCCAAAGACATCTTCAAAGAGGACCACATATCCACTTGCAGATTCCACAAAAACAGAGATTCAAAACGACTCTATCCATAGGAGGTTTCAACGCTTTGAGTTGAATGCAATCGTCACAGAGAAGTTTCTGAGAAGGCTTCTGTCTAGATTTTATTTGAAGATGTACCCGTTTTGAACGAAGGCCAAAGAGTGGTCCAAATATCCACCTGCAGATGCTACAAAAAGAGTGTTCCAAAGCTGAACTATGAAAGGAAGTTTCAACTCTGGGATTTGAATGCAAACATCACAAAGAATTTTGTGAGAATGCTTCCGTTTAGTTAGGTGCAGTTATCCCGTTTCCAACGAAATCCTCAGAGAGGTCCAAATATCCACTCGCAGATTCTACAGAAAGTGTGTTTCAAACCTTCTCCATCCAAAGGAATGTTCAGCTCTGTGTGTTAAACTCAATCATCACAAAGTATTTTCTGAGAATGCTTCTGTCTAGATTTTATGTGAAGCTCTTCCCTTTACTACCATAGGCCTCAAAGCGCTCCAACTCTCCACTAGCCGATTCTACAAGAAGAGTGTTTCCAAACTGCTCTGTCAATAGGAATGCTCCACTCCGTGAGGTGAATGCAGTCATCACAAAGTAGTTTCTGAGAAGGCTTCTATCTAGTATTTATGTGGAGATATTTCCTTTTCCACCACAAACCTCACAGCCCTCCCAATGTCCACTTGCAGATTCTAGAAAAAGAGTGTTTCATAGCTGCTCTTTCCGAAGGAAAGTTCAACTCTGGAAGTTGAATACAAACATCACCAAGGAGTTCCTGAGGATGCTTCTGTGTAATTTTTATGTGAAGATGATTCCGTTTCCAACGAAACCTTAAAAGAGGTCTGCATGTCCCCTTGCAGATTCCAGAGAAAGAGAGTTTCAAAACTGCGCTCTCAAAAGGAGTGTTCAACTCTGTGAGTTGAATGCAGTCATCACAGAAAAGTTTCTGAGAATGCTTCTGTCTAGATGTTATGTGAAGATATACCCGTTTCGAACGAAGTCCACAGAGTGGTCCGAATATCCACTTGTAGATCCTGCAAAAAGAGTGTTTCCAACCTGAACTTTCAAAGGAAGGTTCAATTCTGGGATTTGAATGCAAACATCACAAGAAGATTCTGAGACTGCTTCTGTTTACTTAGCTGAAATTATCCCGTTTGCAACGAATTCCTCAGACAGGTCCAAATATCCACTTGCAGATTCTACAGAAAGTGTGTTTCGAAACTACTCCATCCCAAGGAAAGTACTGCTCTGTGAGTTCAACTCAATCATCCCAGAGAATTTTCTGAGAAAGCTTCTGTCTTGTTTTTATAGGAAGTTATTTCCTTTACCACGATAGGCCTCAAAGAAGTGCAGTTATCCAATTGCAGTTTCTACAAAAAGAGTGTTTCAAACCTGAACTATCAAAGAAAGGTTCAACACTGTGGGTTGAATGCAAACATCACGAAGAAGGTTCTGAGAATGCTTCTGTTTAGTTCTGTGCGGTTTATCCCGTTTCCAACGAAATCCTCAGGGAGGCCCAAGTATCCGCTTGCAGATCCTACAGATAGTGTGTTTCCAAACTGCTCCATCCAAAGGAATGTTCAGCCCTGTGAGTTAAACTCAGTCGTCACAAAGAGTTTTCTGAGAATGCTGCTGTCTAGTTTTTATATGAAGCTGTTTCCTTTACTACCATAGGCCTCAAAGCAGTCCATATCTCCACTTGCAGATTCTACACAACGAGAGTTTCCAAAGTGCTCTCTGAAAGGGAATGTTCACCTCTGTGACTTGAATGCAATCGTCACAAAGTAGTTTCTGAGAATGCATCTATCTAGTTCTTACGGGAAGATAATTCCTTTTCCACCACAGGCCTCAAAGCCCTCCAAATATCCACTTGCAGATTCTAGAAAAAGAGTGTTTCAAAGCTTCTCTCTCAAAAGGAAAGTTCAACTCTGTGAGTTGTAAGCAAACATCACAAAGAAGTTTCTGAGAATGCTTCTGTTTAGCTTTTCTGTGAAGATTATCCCGTTTCCAACGAAATCTTCAAAGAGGCCCAAACATCCACTTGCAGATGCCACAGAAAGAGTGTTTGGAAACTGCTGTTTGAAAAGGAACCTTCAACTCTGTGAGTTGAATGCAGTCATCACAAACAAGTTTCTGACAATGCTTCTCTCTAGTTTTTACGTGACGATAATTCGTTTTCCACCACAGGCCGGAAATCTCTCCAAATGTCCACTTGCAGACCCTACGAAAAGCATGTTTCTCATCTGCTCTATGAAAAGCAACGTGAAACTCTGTGAGTTGAACACAAACATCACAGAGAAGTTTCTGAGAATGCTTCTGTTTAGTTTTTATGTGAAGATATTCCCGTTTCCAAAGACATCTTCAAAGAGGACCACATATCCACTTGCAGATTCCACAAAAAGAGAGATTCAAAACTGCTCTATCCATAGGAGGGTTCAACTCTTTGGGTTGAATGCAATCGTCACAGAGAAGTTTACTGAGAAGGCTTTCTGTCTAGATTTTATTTGAAGATGTACCTTTTTCGAACGAAGGCAAAAGAGTGGTCCAAATATCCACCTGCAGATCCTAGAAAAAGAGTGTTTCAAAGCTGAACTATCAAAGGAAGGTTCAACTCTGGGATTTGAATGCAAACATCACAAAGAATTTTGTGAGAATGCTTCCGTTTAGTTAGGTGCAGTTATCCCGTTTCCAACGAAATCCTCAGAGAGTTCCAAATATCCACTCGCAGATTCTACAGAAAGTGTGTTTCAAACCTTGTCCATCCAAAGGAATGTTCAGCTCTGTGTGTTAAACTCAATCATCACAAAGTATTTTCTGAGAATGCTTCTGTCTAGATTTTATGTGAAGCTCTTCCCTTTACTACCATAGGCCTCAAAGCGCTCCAAATCTCCACTAGCAGATTCTACAACAAGAGTGTTTCCAAACTGCTCTGTCAATAGGAATGCTCCACTCCGTGAGGTGAATGCAATCATCACAAAGTAGTTTCTGAGAAGGCTTCTATCTAGTATTTATGTGGAGATATTTCCTTTTCCACCACAAACCTCACAGCCCTCCCAATGTCCACTTGCAGATTCTAGAAAAAGAGTGTTTCATAGCTGCTCTTTCCGAAGGAAAGTTCAACTCTGGAATTTGAATACAAACATCACCAAGGAGTTCCTGAGAATGCTTCTGTGTAATTTTTATGTGAAGATGATTCCCGTTTCCAACGAAACCTTCAAAGAGGTCTGCATGTCCCCTTGCAGATTCCAGAGAAAGAGAGTTTCAAAACTGCGCTCTCAAAAGGAGTGTTCAACTCTGTGAGTTGAATGCAGTCATCACAGAAAAGTTTCTGAGAATGCTTCTGTCTAGATGTTATGTGAAGATATACCCGTTTCGAACGAAGGCCACAGAGTGGTCCAAATATCCACTTGTAGATACTGCAAAAAGAGAGTTTCAAACCTGAACTTTCAAAGGAAGGTTCAATTCTGGGATTCGAATGCAAACATCACAAAGAAGATTCTGAGATTGCTTCTGTTTACTTAGCTGAAATTATCCCGTTTGCAACGAATTCCTCAGACAGGTCCAAATATCCACTTGCAGATTCTACAGAAAGTGTGTTTCGAAACTACTCCATCCCAAGGAAAGTACTGCTCTGTGAGTTCAACTCAATCATCCCAGAGAATTTTCTGAGAAAGCTTCTGTCTTGTTTTTATAGGAAGTTATTTCCTTTATTACGATAGGCCTCAAAGAAGTGCAGTTATCCACTTGCAGTTTCTACAAAAAGAGTGTTTCAAACCTGAACTATCAAAGAAAGGTTCAACACTGTGGGTTGAATGCAAACATCACGAAGAAGGTTCTGAGAATGCTTCTGTTTAGTTCTGTGCGGTTTATCCCGTTTCTAACGAAATCCTCAGAGAGGCCCAAGTATCCGCTTGCAGATCCTACAGATAGTGTGTTTCCAAACTGCTCCATCCAAAGGAATGTTCAGCCCTATGAGTTAAACTCAGTCGTCACAAAGAGTTTTCTGAGAATGCTTGCTGTCTAGTTTTTATATGAAGCTGTTTCCTTTACTACCATAGGCCTCAAAGCGGTCCATATCTCCACTTGCAGATTCTACACAACGAGAGTTTCCAAAGTGCTCTCTGAAAGGGAATGTTCACCTCTGTGACTTGAATGCAATCGTCACAAAGTAGTTTCTGAGAATGCATCTATCTAGTTCTTACGGGAAGATAATTCCTTTTCCACCACAGGCCTCAAAGCCCTCCAAATATCCACTTGCAGATTCTAGAAAAAGAGTGTTTCAAAGCTTCTCTCTCAAAAGGAAAGTTCAACTGCTGTGAGTTGAAAGCAAACATCACAAAGAAGTTTCTGAGAATGCTTCTGTTTAGCTTTTCTGTGAAGATTATCCCGTTTCCAACGAAATCTTCAAAGAGGCCCAAACATCCACTTGCAGATGCCACAGAAAGAGTGTTTGGAAACTGCTGTTTGAAAAGGAACCTTCAACTCTGTGAGTTGAATGCAGTCATCACAAACAAGTTTCTGACAATGCTTCTCTCTAGTTTTTACGTGACGATAATTCGTTTTCCACCACAGGCCTGAAATCTCTCCAAATGTCCACTTGCAGACCCTACGAAAAGCATGTTTCTCATCTACTCTATGAAAAGCAACGTGAAACTCTGTGAGTTGAACACAAACATCACAGAGAAGTTTCTGAGAATGCTTCTGTTTAGTTTTTATGTGAAGATATTCCCGTTTCCAAAGACATCTTCAAAGAGGACCACATATCCACTTGCAGATTCCACAAAAAGAGAGATTCAAAACTGCTCTATCCATAGGAGCGTTCAACGCTTTGAGTTGAATGCAATCGTCACAGAGAAGTTTCTGAGAAGGCTTCTGTCTAGATTTTATTTGAAGATGTACCCGTTTCGAAGGAAGGCCAAAGAGTGGTCCAAATATCCACTTGCAGATCCTACAAAAAGAGTGTTTCAAACCTGAACTATCAAAGGAAGGTTCAACTCTGGGATTTGAAAGCAAACATCACGAAGAATTTTGTGAGAATGCTTCCGTTTAGTTAGGTGCAGTTATCCCGTTTCCAACGAAATCCTCAGAGAGGTCCAAATATCCACTCGCAGGTTCTACAGAAAGTGTGTTTCAAACCTGCTCCATCCAAAGGAATGTTCAGCTCTGTGTGCTAAACTCAATCATCACAAAGTATTTTCTGAGAATGCTTCTGTCTAGATTTTATGTGAAGCTCTTCCCTTTACTACCATAGGCCTCAAAGCGCTCCAAATCTCCACTAGCCGATTCTACAAGAAGAGTGTTTCCAAACTGCTCTGTCAATAGGAATGCTCCACTCCGTGAGGTGAATGCAGTCATCACAAAGTAGTTTCTGAGAAGGCTTCTATCTAGTATTTACGTGGAGATATTTCCTTTTCCACCACAAACCTCACAGCCCTCCCAATGTCCACTTGCAGATTCTAGAAATGGAGTGTTTCATAGCTGCTCTTTCCGAAGGAAAGTTCAACTCTGGAAGTTGAATACAAACATCACCAGGGAGTTCCTGAGAATGCTTCTGTGTAATTTTTATGTGAAGATGATTCCGTTTCCAACGAAACCTTCAAAGAGGTCTGCATGTCCCCTTGCAGATTCCAGAGAAAGAGAGTTTCAAAACTGCGCTCTCAAAAGGAGTGTTCAACTCTGTGAGTTGAATGCAGTCATCACAGAAAAGTTTCTGAGAATGCTTCTGTCTAGATGTTATGTGAAGATATACCCGTTTCGAACGAAGTCCACAGAGTGGTCCGAATATCCACTTGTAGATCCTGCAAAAAGAGTGTTTCCAACCTGAACTTTCAAAGGAAGGTTCAATTCTGGGATTTGAATGCAACCATCACAAGAAGATTCTGAGACTGCTTCTGTTTACTTAGCTGAAATTATCCCGTTTGCAACGAATTCCTCAGACAGGTCCAAATATCCACTTGCAGATTTTACAGAAAGTGTGTTTCGAAACTACTCCATCCCAAGGAAAGTACTGCTCTGTGAGTTCAACTCAATCATCCCAGAGAATTTTCTGAGAAAGCTTCTGTCTTGTTTTTATAGGAAGTTATTTCCTTTACTACGATAGGCCTCAAAGAAGTGCAGTTATCCACTTGCAGTTTCTACAAAAAGAGTGTTTCAAACCTGAACTATCAAAGAAAGGTTCAACACTGTGGGTTGAATGCAAACATCACGAAGAAGGTTCTGAGAATGCTTCTGTTTAGTTCTGTGCGGTTTATCCCGTTTCCAACGAAATCCTCAGGGAGGCCAAAGTATCCGCTTGCTGATCCTACAGATAGTGTGTTTCCAAACTGCTCCATCCAAAGGAATGTTCAGCCCTGTGAGTTAAACTCAGTCGTCACAAAGAGTTTTCTGAGAATGCTGCTGTCTAGTTTTTATATGAAGCTGTTTCCTTTACTACCATAGGCCTCAAAGCGGTCCATATCTCCACTTGAAGATTCTACACAACGAGAGTTTCCAAAGTGCTCTGTGAAAGGGAATGTTCACCTCTGTGACTTGAATGCAATCGTCACAAAGAAGTTTCTGAGAATGCATTCTATCTAGTTCTTACGGGAAGATAATTCCTTTTCCACCTCAGGCCTCAAAGCCCTCCAAATATCCACTTGCAGATTCTAGAAAAAGAGTGTTTCAAAGCTTCTCTCTCAAAAGGAAAGTTCAACTCTGTGAGTTGAAAGCAAACATCAAAAAGAGGTTTCTGAGAATGCTTCTGTTTAGCTTTTCTGTGAAGATTATCCCGTTTCCAACGAAATCTTCAAAGAGGCCCAATCATCCACTTGCAGATGCCACAGAAAGAGTGTTTGGAAACTGCTGTTTGAAAAGGAACCTTCAACTCTGTGAGTTGAATGCAGTCATCACAAACAAGTTTCTGACAATGCTTCTCTCTAGTTTTTACGTGACGATAATTCGTTTTCCACCACAGGCCTGAAATCTCTCCAAACGTCCACTTGCAGACCCTACGAAAAGCATGTTTCTCATCTGCTCTATGAAAAGCAACGTGAAACTCTGTGAGTTGAACACAAACATCACAGAGAAGTTTCTGAGAATGCTTCTGTTTAGTTTTTATGTGAAGATATTCCCGTTTCCAAAGACATCTTCAAAGAGGACCACATATCCACTTGCAGATTCCACAAAAAGAGAGATTCAAAACTGCTCTATCCATAGGAGGGTTCAACGCTTTGAGTTGAATGCAATCATCACGGAGAAGTTTCTGAGAAGGCTTCTGTCTAGATTTTATTTGAAGATGTACCCGTTTCGAACGAAGGCCAAAGAGTGGTCCAAATATCCACCTGCAGAACCTACAAAAAGAGTGTTTCAAAGCTGAACTATCAAAGGAAGGTTCAACTCTGGGATTTGAATGCAAACATCAAAGAGAATTTTGTGAGAATGCTTCCGTTTAGTTAGGTGCAGTTATCCCGTTTCCAACGAAATCCTCAGAGAGGTCCAAATATCCACTCGCAGATTCTACAGAAAGTGTGTTTCAAACCTTCTCCATCCAAAGGAATGTTCAGCTCTGTGTGTTAAACTCAATCATCACAAAGTATTTTCTGAGAATGCTTCTGTCTAGATTTTATGTGAAGCTCTTCCCTTTACTACCATAGGCCTCAAAACGCTCCAAATCTCCACTAGCCGATTCTACAAGAAGAGTGTTTCCAAACTGCTCTGTCAATAGGGATGCTCAACTCCGTGAGGTGAATGCAATCATCACAAAGTAGTTTCTGAGAAGGCTTCTATCTAGTATTTATGTGGAGATATTTCCTTTTCCACCACAAACCTCACAGCCCTCCCAATGTCCACTTGCAGATTCTAGAAAAAGAGTGTTTCATAGCTGCTCTTTCCGAAGGAAAGTTCAACTCTGGAAGTTGAATACAAACATCACCAAGGAGTTCCTGAAGATGCTTCTGTGTAATTTTTATGTGAAGATGATTCCGTTTCCAACGAAACCTTCAAAGAGGTCTGCATGTCCCCTTGCAGATTCCAGAGAAAGAGAGTTTCAAAACTGCGCTCTCAAAAGGAGTGTTGAACTCTGTGAGTTGAATGCAGTCATCACAGAAAAGTTTCTGAGAATGCTTCTGTCTAGATGTTATGTGAAGATATGCCCGTTTCGAACGAAGTCCACAGAGTGGTCCGAATATCCACTTGTAGACCCTGCAAAAAGAGTGTTTCAAACCTGAACTTTCAAAGGAAGGTTCAATTCTGGGATTTGAATGCAAACATCACAAGAAGATTCTGGGACTGCTTCTGTTTACTTAGCTGAAATTATCCCGTTTGCAACAAATTCCTCAGACAGGTCCAAATATCCACTTGCAGATTCTACAGAAAGTGTGTTTCGAAACTACTCCAACCCAAGGAAAGTATTGCTCTGTGAGTTCAAGTCAATCATCCCAGAGAATTTTCTGAGAAAGCTTCTGTCTTGTTTTTATAGGAAGTTATTTCCTTTACTACGATAGGCCTCAAAGAAGTGCAGTTATCCACTTGCAGTTTCTACAAAAAGAGTGTTTCAAACCTGAACTATCAAAGAAAGGTTCAACACTGTGGGTTGAATGCAAACATCACGAAGAAGGTTCTGAGAATGCTTCTGTTTAGTTCTGTGCGGTTTATCCCGTTTCCAACGAAATCCTCAGGGAGGCCCAAGTATCCGCTTGCAGATCCTACAGATAGTGTGTTTCCAAACTGCTCCATCCAAAGGAATGTTCAGCCCTGTGAGTTAAACTCAGTCGTCACAAAGAGTTTTCTGAGAATGCTGCTGTCTAGTTTTTATATGAAGTTGTTTCCTTTACTACCATAGGCCTCAAAGCGGTCCATATCTCCACTTGCAGATTCTACACAACGAGAGTTTCCAAAGTGCTCTCTGAAAGGGAATGTTCACCTCCGTGACTTGAATGCAATCGTCACAAAGTAGTTTCTGAGAATGCATCTATCTAGTTCTTGTGGGAAGATAATTCCTTTTCCACCACAGGCCTCAAAGCGCTCCAAATATCCACTTGCAGATTCAAGAAAAAGAGTGTTTCAAAGCTTCTCTCTCAAAAGGAAAGTTCAACTCTGTGAGTTGAAAGCAAACATCACAAAGAAGTTTCTGAGAATGCTTCTGTTTAGCTTTTCTGTGAAGATTATCCCGTTTCCAACGAAATCTTCAAAGAGGCCCAAACATCCACTTGCAGATGCCACAGAAAGAGTGTTTGGAAACTGCTGTTTGAAAAGGAACCTTCAACTCTGTGAGTTGAATGCAGTCATCACAAACAAGTTTCTGACAATGCTTCTCTCTAGTTTTTACGTGACGATAATTCGTTTTCCACCACAGGCCTGAAATCTCTCCAAACGTCCACTTGCACACCCTACGAAAAGCATGTTTCTCATCTGCTCTATGAAAAGCAACGTGAAACTCTGTGAGTTGAACACAAACATCACAGAGAAGTTTCTGAGAATGCTTCTGTCTAGTTTTTATGTGAAGATATTCCCGTTTCCAAAGACATCTTCAAAGAGGACCACATATCCACTTGCAGATTCCACAAAAAGAGAGATTCAAAACTGCTCTATCCATAGGAGGGTTCAACGCTTTGAGTTGAATGCAATCGTCACAGAGAAGTTTCTGAGAAGGCTTCTGTCTAGATTTTATTTGAAGATGTACCCGTTTCGAACGAAGGCCAAAGAGTGGTCCAAGTATCCACTTGCAGATCCTACAAAAAGAGTGTTTCAAAGCTGAACTATCAAAGGAAGGTTCAACTCTGGGATTTGAATGCAAACATCACAAAGAATTTTGTGAGAATGCTTCCGTGTAGTTAGGTGCAGTTATCGCGTTTCCAACGAAATCCTCAGAGAGGTCCAAATATCCACTTGTAGATTCTACAAAAAGTGTGTCTCAAACCTGCTCCATCCAAAGGAATGTTCAGCTCTGTGAGTTAAACTCAATCATCACAAAGTATTTTCTGAGAATGCTTCTGTCTAATTTTTCTATGAAGCTATTCCCTTTACTACCATAGGCCTCAAAGCGCTCCAAATCTCCACTTGCACATTCCACAACAAGAGTGTTTCCAAACTGCTCTGTCAATAGGAATGCTCCACTCCGTGAGGTGAATGCAATCATCACAAAGTAGTTTCTGAGAAGGCTTCTATCTAGTATTTATGTGGAGATATTTCCTTTTCCACCACAAACCTCACAGCCCTCCCAATGTCCACTTGCAGATTCTAGAAAAAGAGTGTTTCATAGCTGCTCTTTCTGAAGGAAAGTTCAACTCTGGAAGTTGAATACAAACATCACCAAGGAGTTCCTGAGAATGCTTCTGTGTAATTTTTATGTGAAGATGATTCCGTTTCCAATGAAACCTTCAAAGAGGTCTGCATGTCCCCTTGCAGATTCCAGAGAAAGAGAGTTTCAAAACTGCGCTCTCAAAAGGAGTGTTCAACTCTGTGAGTTGAATGCAGTCATCACAGAAAAGTTTCTGAGAATGCTTCTGTCTAGATGGTATGTGAAGATATACCCGTTTCGAACGAAGTCCACAGAGAGGTCCGAATATCCACTTGTAGATCCTGCAAAAAGAGTGTTTCCAAACTGAACTTTCAAAGGAAGGTTCAATTCTGGGATTTGAATGCAAACATCACAAGAAAATTCTGAGACTGCTTCTGTTTACTTAGCTGAAATTATCCCGTTTGCAACGAATTCCTCAGACAGGTCTAAATATCCACTTGCAGATTCTACAGAAAGTGTGTTTCGAAACTACTCCATCCCAAGGAAAGTACTGCTCTGTGAGTTCAACACAATCATCCCAGAGATTTTTCTGAGAAAGCTTCTGTCTTGTTTTTATAGGAAGTTATTTCTTTTACTACGATAGGCCTCAAAGAAGTGCAGTTATCCACTTGCAGTTTCTACAAAAAGAGTGTTTCAAACCTGAACTATCAAGGAAAGGTTCAACACTGTGGGTTGAATGCAAACATCACGAAGAAGGATCTGAGAATGCTTCTGTTTAGTTCTGTGCGGTTTATCCCGTTTCCAACGAAATCCTCAGAGAGGCCCAAGTATCCGCTTGCAGATCCTACAGATAGTGTGTTTCCAAACTGCTCCAT
Source organism: Homo sapiens (assembly GCF_000001405.40). NCBI lineage: Eukaryota > Metazoa > Chordata > Mammalia > Primates > Hominidae > Homo > Homo sapiens. Next base: position 23,067,668 of record NC_000017.11, on the reverse strand, counting down.
CCAAAGGAATGTTCAGCCCTGTGAGTTAAACTCAGTCATCACAAAGAGTTTTCTGAGAATGCTGCTGTCTAGTTTTTATATGAAGTTGTTTCCTTTACTACCATAGGCCTCAAAGCGGTCCATATTTCCACTTGCAGATTCTACACAACGAGAGTTTCCAAAGTGCTCTCTGAAAGGGAATGTTCACCTCCGTGACTTGAATGCAATCGTCACAAAGTAGTTTCTGAGAATTCATCTATCTAGTTCTTACGGGAAGATAATTCCTTTTCCACCACAGGCCTCAAAGCCCTGCAAATATCCACTTGCAGATTCTAGAAAAAGAGTGTTTCAAAGCTTCTCTCTCAAAAGGAAAGTTCAACTCTGTGAGTTGAAAGCAAACATCACAAAGAAGTTTCTGGGAATGCTTCTGTTTAGCTTTTCTGTGAAGATTATCCCGTTTCCAACGAAATCTTCAAAGAGGCCCAAACATCCACTTGCAGATGCCACAGAAAGAGTGTTTGGAAACTGCTGTTTGAAAAGGAACCTTCAACTCTGTGAGTTGAATGCAGTCATCACAAACAAGTTTCTGACAATGCTTCTCTCTAGTTTTTACGTGACGATAATTCGTTTTCCACCACAGGCCTGAAAGCTCTCCAAATGTCCACTTGCAGACCCTACGAAAAGCATGTTTCTCATCTGCTCTATGAAAAGCAACGTGAAACTCTGTGAGTTGAACACAAACATCACAGAGAAGTTTCTGAGAATGCTTCTGTTTAGTTTTTATGTGAAGATATTCCCGTTTCCAAAGACATCTTCAAAGAGGTTCACATATCCACTTGCAGATTCCACAAAAAGAGAGATTCAAAACTGCTTTATCCATAGGAGCGTTCAACTCTGTGAGTTGAACGCAATCACCACAGAGAAGTTTCTGAGAAGGCTTCTGTCTAGATTTTATTTGAAGATGTACCCGTTTCGAAGGAAGGCCAAAGAGTGGTCCAAATATCCACTTGCAGATCCTACAAAAAGAGTGTTTCAAACCTGAACTATCAAAGGAAGGTTCAACTCTGGGATTTGAAAGCAAACATCACGAAGAATTTTGTGAGAATGCTTCCGTTTAGTTAGGTGCAGTTATCCCGTTTCCAACGAAATCCTCAGAGAGGTCCAAATATCCACTCGCAGATTCTACAGAAAGTGTGTTTCAAACCTGCTCCATCCAAAGGAATGTTCAGCTCTGTGTGTTAAACTCAATCATCTCAAAGTATTTTCTGAGAATGCTTCTGTCTAGATTTTATGTGAAGCTCTTCCCTTTACTACCATAGGCCTCAAAGCGCTCCAAATCTCCACTAGCAGATTCTACAACAAGAGTGTTTCCAAACTGCTCTGTCAATAGGAATGCTCAACTCTGTGAGGTGAATGCAATCATCACAAAGTAGTTTCTGAGAAGGCTTCTATCTAGTATTTATGTGGAGATATTTCCTTTTCCACCACAAACCTCACAGCCCTCCTAATGTCCACTGGCAGATTCTAGAAAAAGAGTGTTTCATAGCTGCTCTTTCCGAAGGAAAGTTCAACTCAGGAAGTTGAATACAAACATCACCAAGGAGTTCCAGAGGATGCTTCTGTGTAATTTTTATGTGAAGATGATTCCGTTTCCAACGAAACCTTCAAAGAGGTCTGCATGTCCCCTTGCAGATTCCAGAGAAAGAGCGTTTCAAAACTGCGCTCTCAAAAGGAGTGTTCAACTCTGTGAGTTGAATGCAGTCATCACAGAAAAGTTTCTGAGAATGCTTCTGTCTAGATGTTATGTGAAGATATACCCGTTTCGAACGAAGTCCACAGAGTGGTCCGAATATACACTTGTAGATCCTGCAAAAAGAGTGTTTCCAACCTGAACTTTCAAAGGAAGGTTCCATTCTGGGATTTGAATGCAAACATCACAAGAAGATTCTGAGACTGCTTCTGTTTACTTAGCTGAAATTATCCCGTTTGCAACGAATTCCTCAGACAGGTCCAAATATCCACTTGCAGATTCTACAGAAAGTGTGTTTCGAAACTACTCCATCCCAAGGAAAGTACTGCTCTGTGAGTTCAACTCAATCATCCCAGAGAATTTTCTGAGAAAGCTTCTGTCTTGTTTTCATAGGAAGGTATTTCCTTTACTACGATAGGCCTCAAAGAAGTGCAGTTATCCACTTGCAGTTTCTACAAAAAGAGTGTTTCAAACCTGAACTATCGAAGAAAGGTTCAACACTGTGGGTTGAATGCAAACATCACGAAGAAGGTTCTGAGAATGCTTCTGTTTAGTTCTGTGTGGTTTATCCCGTTTCCAACGAAATCCTCAGAGAGGCCCAAGTATCCGCTTGCAGATCCTACAGATAGTGTGTTTCCAAACTGCTCCATCCAAAGGAATGTTCAGCCCTGTGAGTTAAACTCAGTCGTCACAAAGAGTTTTCTGAGAATGCTGCTGTCTAGTTTTTATATGAAGCTGTTTCCTTTACTACCATCGGCCTCAAAGCGGTCCATATCTCCACTTGCAGATTCTACACAACGAGAGTTTCCAAAGTGCTCTCTGAAAGGAAATGTTCACCTCTGTGACTTGAATGCAATCGTCACAAAGTAGTTTCTGAGAATGCATCTATCTAGTTCTTACGGGAAGATAATTCCTTTTCCACCACAGGCCTCAAAGCCCTCCAAATATCCACTTGCAGATTCTAGAAAAAGAGTGTTTCAAAGCTTCTCTCTCAAAAGGAAAGTTCAACTCTGTGAGTTGAAAGCAAACATCACAAAGAAGTTTCTGAGAATGCTTCTGTTTAGCTTTTCTGTGAAGATTATCCCGTTTCCAACGAAATCTTCAAAGAGGCCCAAACATCCACTTGCAGATGCCACAGAAAGAGTGTTTGGAAACTGCTGTATGAAAAGGAACCTTCAACTCTGTGAGTTGAATGCAGTCATCACAAACAAGTTTCTGACAATGCTTCTCTCTAGTTTTTACGTGACGATAATTCGTTTTCCACCACAGGCCGGAAATCTCTCCAAATGTCCACTTGCAGACCCTACGAAAAGCATGTTTCTCATCTGCTCTATGAAAAGCAACGTGAAACTCTGTGAGTTGAACACAAACATCACAGAGAAGTTTCTGAGAATGCTTCTGTTTAGTTTTTATGTGAAGATATTCCCGTTTCCAAAGACATCTTCAAAGAGGACCACATATCCACTTGCAGATTCCACAAAAAGAGAGATTCAAAACTGCTCTATCCATAGGAGGGTTCAACGCTTTGAGTTGAATGCAATCATCACAGAGAAGTTTCTGAGAAGGCTTCTGTCTAGATTTTATTTGAAGATGTACCCTTTTCGAATGAAGGCCAAAGTGTGGTCCAAATATCCAACTGCAGATCCTACAAAAAGAGTGTTTCAAAGCTGAACTATCAAAGGAAGGTTCAACTCTGGGATTTGAATGCAAACATCACAAAGAATTTTGTGAGAATGCTTCCGTTTAGTTAGGTGCAGTTATCCCGTTTCCAACGAAATCCTCAGAGAGGTCCAAATATCCACTCGCAGATTCTACAGAAAGTGTGTTTCAAACCTGCTCCATCCAAAGGAATGTTCAGCTCTGTGTGTTAAACTCAATCATCACAAAGTATTTTCTGAGAATGCTTCTGTCTAGATTTTATGTGAAGCTCTTCCCTTTACTACCATAGGCCTCAAAGCGCTCCAAATCTCCACTAGCCGATTCTACGAGAAGAGTGTTTCCAAACTGCTCTGTCAATAGGAATGCTCCACTCCGTGAGGTGAATGCAATCATCACAAAGTAGTTTCTGAGAAGGCTTCTATCTAGTATTTATGTGGAGATATTTCCTTTTCCACCACAAACCTCACAGCCCTCCCAATGTCCACTTGCAGATTCTAGAAAAAGAGTGTTTCATAGCTGCTCTTTCCGAAGGAAAGTTCAACTCTGGAAGTTGAATACAAACATCACCAAGGAGTTCCTGAGAATGCTTCTGTGTAATTTTTATGTGAAGATGATTCCGTTTCCAACGAAACCTTCAAAGAGGTCTGCATGTCCCCTTGCAGATTCCAGAGAAAGAGAGTTTCAAAACTGCGCTCTCAAAAGGAGTGTTCAACTGTGTGAGTTGAATGCAGTCATCACAGAAAAGTTTCTGAGAATGCTTCTGTCTAGATGTTATGTGAAGATATACCCGTTTCGAACGAAGTCCACAGAGTGGTCCGAATATCCACTTGTAGATCCTGCAAAAAGAGTGTTTCCAACCTGAACTTTCAAAGGAAGGTTCAATTCTGGGATTTGAATGCAAACATCACAAGAAGATTCTGAGACTGCTTCTGTTTACTTAGCTGAAATTATCCCGTTTGCAACGAATTCCTCAGACAGGTCCAAATATCCACTTGCAGATTCTACAGAAAGTGTGTTTCGAAACTACTCCATCCCAAGGAAAGTACTGCTCTGTGAGTTCAACTCAATCATCCCAGAGAATTTTCTGAGAAAGCTTCTGTCTTGTTTTTATAGGAAGTTATTTCCTTTACTACGATAGGCCTCAAAGAAGTGCAGTTATCCACTTGCAGTTTCTACAAAAAGAGTGTTTCAAACCTGAACTATCAAAGAAAGGTTCAACACTGTGGGTTGAATGCAAACATCACGAAGAAGGTTCTGATAATGCTTCTGTTTAGTTCTGTGCGGTTTATCCCGTTTCCAACGAAATCCTCAGAGAGGCCCAAGTATCCGCTTGCAGATCCTACAGATAGTGTGTTTCCAAACTGCTCCATCCAAAGGAATGTTCAGCCCTGTGAGTTAAACTCAGTCATCACAAAGAGTTTTCTGAGAATGCTGCTGTCTAGTTTTTATACGAAGCTGTTTCCTTTACTACCATAGGCCTCAAAGGGCTCCATATCTCCACTTGCAGATTCTACACAACGAGAGTTTCCAAAGTGCTCTGTGAAAGGGAATGTTCACGTCTGTGACTTGAATGCAATCGTCACAAAGTAGTTTCTGAGAATGCATCTATCTAGTTTTAACGGGAAGATAATTCCTTTTCCACCACAGGCCTCAAAGCCCTCCAAATATCCACTTGCAGATTCTAGAAAAAGAGTGTTTCAAAGCTTCTCTCTCAAAAGGAAAGTTCAACTCTGTGAGTTGAAAGCAAACATCACAAAGAAGTTTCTGAGAATGCTTCTGTTTAGCTTTTCTGTGAAGATTATCCCGTTTCCAACGAAATCTTCAAAGAGGCCCAAACATCCACTTGCAGATGCCACAGAAAGAGTGTTTGGAAACTGCTGTTTGAAAAGGAACCTTCAACTCTGTGAGTTGAATGCAGTCATCACAAACAAGTTTCTGACAATGCTTCTCTCTAGTTTTTACGTGACGATAATTCGTTTTCCACCACAGGCCTGAAAGCTCTCCAAATGTCCACTTGCAGACCCTACGAAAAGCATGTTTCTCATCTGCTCTATGAAAAGCAACGTGAAACTCTGTGAGTTGAACACAAACATCACAGAGAAGTTTCTGAGAATGCTTCTGTTTAGATTTAATGTGAAGATATTCCCGTTTCCAAAGACATCTTCAAAGAGGACCACATATCCACTTGCAGATTCCACAAAAAGAGAGATTCAAAACTGCTCTATCCATAGGAGGGTTCAACGCTTTGAGTTGAATGCAATCGTCACAGAGAAGTTTCTGAGAAGGCTTCTGTCTAGATTTTATTTGAAGATGTACCCGTTTCGAACGAAGGCCAAAGAGTGGTCCAAATATCCACTTGCAGATCCTACAAAAAGAGTGTTTCAAAGCTGAACTATCAAAGGAAGGTTCAACTCTGGGATTTGAATGCAAACATCACAAAGAATTTTGTGAGAATGCTTCCGTTTAGTTAGGTGCAGTTATCCCGTTTCCAACGAAATCCTCAGAGAGGTCCAAATATCCACTCGCAGATTCTACAGAAAGTGTGTTTCAAACCTTCTCCATCCAAAGGAATGTTCAGCTCTGTGTGTTAAACTCAATCATCACAAAGTATTTTCTGAGAATGCTTCTTTCAAGATTTTATGTGAAGCTCTTCCCTTTACTACCATAGGCCAAAGCGCTCCAAATCTCCACTAGGAGATTCTACAACAAGAGTGTTTCCAAACTGCTCTGTCAATAGGAATGCTCCACTCCGTGAGGTGAATGCAATCATCACAAAGGAGTTTCTGAGAAGGCTTCTATCTAGTATTTATGTGGAGATATTTCCTTTTCCACCACAAACCTCACAGCCCTCCCAATGTCCACTTGCAGATTCTAGAAAAAGAGTGTTTCATAGCTGCTCTTTCCGAAGAAAAGTTCAACTCTGGAAGTTGAATACAAACATCACCAAGGAGTTCCTGAGGATGCTTCTGTGTAATTTTTATGTGAAGATGATTCTGTTTCCAACGAAACCTTCAAAGAGGTCTGCATGTCCCCTTGCAGATTCCAGAGAAAGAGAGTTTCAAAACTGCGCTCTCAAAAGGAGTGTTCAACTCTGTGAGTTTTATGCAGTCATCACAGAAAAGTTTCTGAGAATGCTTCTGTCTAGATGTTATGTGAAGATATACCCGTTTCGAACGAAGTCCACAGAGTGGTCCGAATATCCACTTGTAGATCCTGCAAAAAGAGTGTTTCCAACCTGAACTTTCAAAGGAAGGTTCAATTCTGGGATTTGAATGCAAACATCACAAGAAGATTCTGAGACTGCTTCTGTTTACTTAGCTGAAATTATCCCGTTTGCAACGAATTCCTCAGACAGGTCCAAATATCCACTTGCAGATTCTACAGAAAGTGTGTTTCGATACTACTCCATCCCAAGGAAAGTACTGCTCTGTGAGTTCAACTCAATCATCCCAGAGAATTTTCTGAGAAAGCTTCTGTCTTGTTTTTATAGGAAGTTATTTCCTTTACTACGATAGGCCTCAAAGAAGTGCAGTTATCCACTTGCAGTTTCTACAAAAAGAGTGTTTCAAACCTGAACTATCAAAGAAAGGTTCAACACTGTGGGTTGAATGCAAACATCACGAAGAAGTTCTGAGAATGCTTCTGTTTAGTTCTGTGCGGTTTATCCCGTTTCCAACGAAATCCTCAGGGAGACCCAAGTATCCGCTTGCAGATCCTACAGATAGTGTGTTTCCAAACTGCTCCATCCAAAGGAATGTTCAGCCCTGTGAGTTAAACTCAGTCGTCACAAAGAGTTTTCTGAGAATGCTGCTGTCTAGTTTTTATATGAAGCTGTTTCCTTTACTACCATAGGCCTCAAAGCGGTCCATATCTCCACTTGCAGATTCTACACAACGAGAGTTTCCAAAGTGCTCTCTGAAAGGGAATGTTCACCTCTGTGACTTGAATGCAATCGTCACAAAGTAGTTTCTGAGAATGCATCTATCTAGTTCTTACGGGAAGATAATTCCTGTTCCACCTCAGGCCTCAAAGCCCTCCAAATATCCACTTGCAGATTCTAGAAAAAGAGTGTTTCAAAGCTTCTCTCTCAAAAGGAAAGTTCAACTCTGTGAGTTGAAAGCAAACATCACAAAGAAGTTTCTGAGCATGCTTCTGTTTAGCTTTTCTGTGAAGATTATCCCGTTTCCAACGAAATCTTCAAAGAGGCCCAAACATCCAATTGCAGATGCCACAGAAAGAGTGTTTGGAAACTGCTGTTTGAAAAGGAACCTTCAACTCTGTGAGTTGAATGCAGTCATCACAAAGAAGTTTCTGACAATGCTTCCCTCTAGTTTTTACGTGACGATAATTCGTTTTCCACCACAGGCCTGAAAGCTCTCCAAATGTCCACTTGCAGACCCTACGAAAAGCATGTTTCTCATCTGCTCTATGAAAAGCAATGTGAAACTCTGTGAGTTGAACACAAACATCACAGAGAAGTTTCTGAGAATGCTTCTGTTTAGTTTTTATGTGAAGATATTCCCCTTTCCAAAGACATCTTCAAAGAGGACCACACATCCACTTGCAGATTCCACAAAAAGAGAGATTCAAAACTGCTCTATCCATAGGAGGCTCCAACGCTTTGAGTTGAATGCAATCGTCACAGAGAAGGTTCTGAGAAGGCTTCTGTCTAGATTTTATTTGAATATGTACCCGTTTCGAACGAAGGCCAAAGAGTGGTCCAAATATCCACTTGCAGATCCTACAAAAAGAGTGTTTCAAAGCTGAACTATCAAAGGAAGGATCAACTCTGGGATTTGAATGCAAACATCACAAAGAATTTTGTGAGAATGCTTCCGTTTAGTTAGGTGCAGTTATCCCGTTTCCAACGAAATCCTCAGAGAGGTCCAAATATCCACTCGCAGATTCTACAGAAAGTGTGTTTCAAACCTTCTCCATCCAAAGGAATGTTCAGCTCTGTGTGTTAAACTCAATCATCACAAAGTATTTTCTGAGAATGCTTCTGTCTAGATTGTATGTGAAGCTCTTCCCTTTACTACCATAGGCCTCAAAGCGCTCCAAATCTCCACTAGCCGATTCTACGAGAAGAGTGTTTCCAAACTGCTCTGTCAATAGGAATGCTCCACTCCGTGAGGTGAATGCAATCATCACAAAGTAGTTTCTGAGAAGGCTTCTATCTAGTATTTATGTGGAGATATTTCCTTTTCCACCACAAACCTCACAGCCCTCCCAATGTCCACTTGCAGATTCTAGAAAAAGAGTGTTTCATAGCTGCTCTTTCCGAAGGAAAGTTCAACTCTGGAAGTTGAATACAAACATCACCAAGGAGTTCCTGAGGATGCTTCTGTGTAATTTTTATGTGAAGATGATTCCGTTTCCAACGAAACCTTCAAAGAGGATCTGCATGTCTCCTTGCAGATTCCAGAGAAAGAGAGTTTCCAAACTGCGCTCTCAAAAGGAGTGTTCAACTCTGTGAGTTGAATGCAGTCATCACAGAAAAGTTTCTGAGAATGCTTCTGTCTAGATGTTATGTGAAGATATACCCGTTTCGAACGAAGTCCACAGAGTGGTCCGAATATCCACTTGTAGATCCTGCAAAAAGAGTGTTTCCAACCTGAACTTTCAAAGGAAGTTTCAATTCTGGGATTTGAATGCAAACATCAGAAGAAGATTCTGAGACTGCTTCTGTTTACTTAGCTGAAATTATGCCGGTTGCAACGAATTCCTCAGACAGGTCCAAATATCCACTTGCAGATTCTACAGAAAGTGTGTTTCGAAACTGCTCCATCCCAAGGAAAGTACTGCTCTGTGAGTTCAAGTCAATCATCCCAGAGAATTTTCTGAGAAAGCTTCTGTCTTGTTTTTATAGGAAGTTATTTCCTTTACTACGATAGGCCTCAAAGAAGTGCAGTTATCCACTTGCAGTTTCTACAGAAAGAGTGTTTCAAACCTGAACTATCAAAGAAAGGTTCAACACTGTGGGTTGAATGCAAACATCACGAAGAAGGTTCTGAGAATGCTTCTGTTTAGTTCTGTGCGGTTTATCCCGTTTCCCACGAAATCCTCAGGGAGGCCCAAGTATCCGCTTGCAGATCCTACAGATAGTGTGTTTCCAAACTGCTCCATCCAAAGGAATGTTCAGCCCTGTGAGTTTAACTCAGTCGTCACAAAGAGTTTTCTGAGAATGCTGCTGTCTAGTTTTTATATGAAGCTGTTTCCTTTACTACCATAGGCCTCAAAGCGGTCCATATCTCCACTTGCAGATTCTACACAACGAGAGTTTCCAAAGTGCTCTCTGAAAGGGAATGTTCACCTCTGTGACTTGAATGCAATCGTCACAAAGTAGTTTCTGAGAATGCATCTATCTAGTTCTTACGGGAAGATAATTCCTTTTCCACCACAGGCCTCAAAGCCCTCCAAATATCCACTTGCAGATTCTAGAAAAAGAGTGTTTCAAAGCTTCTCTCTCAAAAGGAAAGTTCAACTCTGTGATTTGAAAGCAAACATCACAAAGAAGTTTCTGAGAATGCTTCTGTTTAGCTTTTCTGTGAAGATTATCCCGTTTCCAACGAAATCTTCAAAGAGGCCCAAACATCCACTTGCAGATGCCACAGAAAGAGTGTTTGGAAACTGCTGTTTGAAAAGGAACCTTCAACTCTGTGAGTTGAATGCAGTCATCACAAACAAGTTTCTGACAATGCTTCTCTCTAGTTTTTACGTGACGATAATTCGTTTTCCACCACAGGCCTGAAAGCTCTCCAAATGTCCACTTGCAGACCCTACGAAAAGCATGTTTCTCACCTGCTCTATGAAAAGCAACGTGAAACTCTGTGAGTTGAACACAAACATCACAGAGAAGTTTCTGAGAATGCTTCTGTTTAGTTTTTATGTGAAGATATTCCCGTTTCCAAAGACATCTTCAAAGAGGACCACATATCCACTTGCAGATTCCACAAAAAGAGAGATTCAAAACTGCCCTATCCATAGGAGGGTTCAACGCCTTGAGTTGAATGCAATCATCACAGAGAAGTTTCTGAGAAGGCTTCTGTCTAGATTTTATTTGAAGATGTACCCGTTTCGAACGAAGGCCAAAGAGTGGTCCAAATATCCACTTGCAGATCCTACAAAAAGAGTGTTTCAAAGCTGAACTATCAAAGGAAGGGTCAACTCTGGGATTTGAATGCAAACATCACAAAGAATTTTGTGAGAATGCTTCCGTTTAGTTAGGTGCAGTTATCCCGTTTCCAACGAAATCCTCAGAGAGGTCCAAATATCCACTCGCAGATTCTACAGAAAGTGTGTTTCAAACCTTCTCCATCCAAAGGAATGTTCAGCTCTGTGTGTTAAACTCAATCATCACAAAGTATTTTCTGAGAATGCTTCTGTCTAGATTTTATGTGAAGCTCTTCCCCTTACTACCATAGGCCTCAAAGCGCTCCAAATCTCCACTAGCAGATTCTACAACAAGAGTGTTTCCAAACTGCTCTGTCAATAGGAATGCTCCACTCCGTGAGGTGAATGCAATCATCACAAAGGAGTTTCTGAGAAGGCTTCTATCTAGTATTTATGTGGAGATATTTCCTTTTCCACCACAAACCTCACAGCCCTCCCAATGTCCACTTGCAGATTCTAGAAAAAGAGTGTTTCATAGCTGCTCTTTCCGAAGGAAAGTTCAGCTCTGGAAGTTGAATACAAACATCACCAAGGAGTTCCTGAGGATGCTTCTGTGTAATTTTTATGTGAAGATGATTCCGTTTCCAACGAAACCTTCAAAGAGGTCTGCATGTCCCCTTGCAGATTCCAGAGAAAGAGAGTTTCAAAACTGCGCTCTCAAAAGGAGTGTTCAACTCTGTGAGTTGAATGCAGTCATCACAGAAAAGTTTCTGAGAATGCTTCTGTCTAGATGTTATGTGAAGATATACCCGTTTCGAACGAAGTCCACAGAGTGGTCCGAATATCCACTTGTAGATCCTGCAAAAAGAGTGTTTCCAACCTGAACTTTCAAAGGAAGGTTCAATTCTGGGATTTGAATGCAAACATCACAAGAAGATTCTGAGACTGCTTCTGTTTACTTATCTGAAATTATCCCGTTTGCAACGAATTCCTCAGACAGGTCCAAATATCCACTTGCAGATTCTACAGAAAGTGTGTTTCGATACTATTCCATCCCAAGGAAAGTACTGCTCTGTGAGTTCAACTCAATCATCGCAGAGAATTTTCTGAGAAAGCTTCTGTCTTGTTTTTATAGGAAGTTATTTCCTTTACTACGATAGGCCTCAAAGAAGTGCAGTTATCCACTTGCAGTTTCTATAAAAACAGTGTTTCAAACCTGAACTATCAAAGAAAGGTTCAACACTGTGGGTTGAATGCAAACATCACGAAGAAGGTTCTGAGAATGCTTCTGTTTAGTTCTGGGCGGTTTATCCCGTTTCCAACGAAATCCTCAGGGAGGCCCAAGTATCCGCTTGCAGATCCTACAGATAGTGTGTTTCCAAACTGCTCCATCCAAAGGAATGTTCAGCCCTGTGAGTTAAACTCAGTCGTCACAAAGAGTTTTCTGAGAATGCTGCTGTCTAGCTTTTATATGAAGCTGTTTCCTTTACTACCATAGGCCTCAAAGCGGTCCATATCTCCACTTGCAGATTCTACACAACGAGAGTTTCCAAAGTGCTCTCTGAAAGGGAATGTTCACCTCTGTGACTTGAATGCAATCGTCACAAAGTAGTTTCTGAGAATGCATCTATCTAGTTCTTACGGGAAGATAATTCCTTTTCCACCTCAGGCCTCAAAGCCCTCCAAATATCCACTTGCAGATTCTAGAAAAAGAGTGTTTCAAAGCTTCTCTCTCAAAAGGAAAGTTCAACTCTGTGAGTTGAAAGCAAACATCACAAAGAAGTTTCTGAGAATGCTGCTGTTTAGCTTTTCTGTGAAGATTATCCCGTTTCCAACGAAATCTTCAAAGAGGCCCAAACATCCACTTGCAGATGCCACAGAAAGAGTGTTTGGAAACTGCTGTTTGAAAAGGAACCTTCAACTCTGTGAGTTGAATGCAGTCATCACAAACAAGTTTCTGACAATGCTTCTCTCTAGTTTTTACGTGACGATAATTCGTTTTCCACCACAGGCCTGAAAGCTCTCCAAATGTCCACTTGCAGACCCTACGAAAAGCATGTTTCTCATCTGCTCTATGAAAAGCAACGTGAAACTCTGTGAGTTGAACACAAACATCACAGAGAAGTTTCTGAGAATGCTTCTGTTTAGTTTTTATGTGAAGATATTCCCGTTTCCAAAGACATCTTCAAAGAGGACCACATATCCACTTGCAGATTCCACAAAAAGAGAGATTCAAAACTGCTCTATCCATAGGAGGGTTCAACTCTTTGAGTTGAATGCAATCATCACAGAGAAGTTCCTGAGAAGGCTTCTGTCTAGATTTTATTTGAAGATGTACCCGTTTCGAACGAAGGCCAAAGAGTGGTCCAAGTATCCACTTGCAGATCCTACAAAAAGAGTGTTTCAAAGCTGAACTATCAAAGGAAGGTTCAACTCTGGGATTTGAATGCAAACATCACAAAGAATTTTGTGAGAATGCTTCCGTTTAGTTAGGTGCAGTTATCCGGTTTCCAACGAAATCCTCAGAGAGGTCCAAATATCCACTCGCAGATTCTACAGAAAGTGTGTTTCAAACCTTCTCCATCCAAAGGAATGTTCAGCTCTGTGTGTTAAACTCAATCATCACAAAGTATTTTCTGAGAATGCTTCTGTCTAGATTTTATGTGAAGCTCTTCCCTTTACTACCATAGGCCTCAAAGCGCTCCAAATCTCCACTAGCCGATTCTACAAGAAGAGTGTTTCCAAACTGCTCTGTCAATAGGAATGCTCCACTCCGTGAGGTGAATGCAATCATCACAAAGTAGTTTCTGAGAAGGCTTCTATCTAGTATTTATGTGGAGATATTTCCTTTTCCACCACAAACCTCACAGCCCTCCCAATGTCCACTTGCAGTTTCTAGAAAAAGAGTGTTTCATAGCTGCTCTTTCCGAAGGAAAGTTCAACTCTGGAAGTTGAATACAAACATCACCAAGGAGTTCCTGAGGATGCTTCTGTGTAATTTTTATGTGAAGATGATTCCGTTTCCAACGAAACCTTCAAAGAGGTCTGCATGTCCCCTTGCAGATTCCAGAGAAAGAGAGTTTCAAAACTGCGCTCTCAAAAGGAGTGTTCAACTCTGTGAGTTGAATGCAGTCATCACAGAAAAGTTTCTGAGAATGCTTCTGTCTAGATGTTATGTGAAGATATACCCGTTTCGAACGAAGTTCACAGAGTGGTCCCAATATCCACTTGTAGATCCTGCAAAAAGAGTGTTTCCAACCTGAACTTTCAAAGGAAGGTTCAATTCTGGGATTTGAATGCAAACATCACAAGAAGATTCTGAGACTGCTTCTGTTTACTTAGCTGAAATTATCCCGTTTGCAACGAATTCCTCAGACAGGTCCAAATATCCACTTGCAGATTCTACAGAAAGTGTGTTTCGAAACTACTCCATCCCAAGGAAAGTACTGCTCTGTGAGTTCAACTCAATCATCCCAGAGAATTTTCTGAGAAAGCTTCTGTCTTGTTTTTATAGGAAGTTATTTCCTTTACTACGATAGGCCTCAAAGAAGTGCAGTTATCCACTTGCAGTTTCTACAAAAAGAGTGTTTCAAACCTGAACTATCAAAGAAAGGTTCAACACTGTGGGTTGAATGCAAACATCACGAAGAAGGTTCTGAGAATGCTTCTGTTTAGTTCTGTGCGGTTTATCCCGTTTCCAACGAAATCCTCAGGGAGGCCCAAGTATCCGCTTGCAGATCCTACAGATAGTGTGTTTCCAAACTGATCCATCCAAAGGAATGTTCAGCCCTGTGAGTTAAACTCAGTCGTCACAAAGAGTTTTCTGAGAATGCTGCTGTCTAGTTTTTATATGAAGCTGTTTCCTTTACTACCATAGGCCTCAAAGCGGTCCATATCTCCACTTGCAGATTCTACACAACGAGAGTTTCCAAAGTGCTCTGTGAAAGGGAATGTTCACCTCTGTGACTTGAATGCAATCGTCACAAAGTAGTTTCTGAGAATGCATCTATCTAGTTCTTACGGGAAGATAATTCCTTTTCCACCACAGGCCTCAAAGCCCTCCAAATATCCACTTGCAGATTCTAGAAAAAGAGTGTTTCAAAGCTTCTCTCTCAAAAGGAAAGTTCAACTCTGTGAGTTGAAAGCAAACATCACAAAGAAGTTTCTGAGAATGCTTTCTGTTTAGCTTTTCTGTGAAGATTATCCCGTTTCCAACGAAATCTTCAAAGAGGCCCAAACATCCACTTGCAGATGCCACAGAAAGAGTGTTTGGAAACTGCTGTTTGAAAAGGAACCTTCAACTCTGTGAGTTGAATGCAGTCATCACAAACAAGTTTCTGACAATGCTTTCTCTCTAGTTTTTACGTGACGATAATTCGTTTTCCACCACAGGCCTGAAAGTTCTCCAAATGTCCACTTGCAGACCCTACGAAAAGCATGTTTCTCATCTGCTCTATGAAAAGCAACGTGAAACTCTGTGAGTTGAACACAAACATCACAGAGAAGTTTCTGAGAATGCTTCTGTTTAGTTTTTATAAGAAGATATTCCCGTTTCCAAAGACAACTTCAAAGAGGACCACATATCCACTTGCAGATTCCACAAAAAGAGAGATTCAAAACTGCTCTATCCATAGGAGGGTTCAACGCTTTGAGTTGAATGCAATCATCCCAGAGAAGTTTCTGAGAAGGCTTCTGTCTAGATTTTATTTGAAGATGTACCCGTTTTGAACGAAGGCCAAAGAGTGGTCCAAATATCCACCTGCAGATCCTACAAAAAGAGTGTTCCAAAGCTGAACTATCAAAGGAAGGTTCAACTCTGGGATTTGAATGCAAATATCACAAAGAATTTTGTGAGAATGCTTCCGTTTAGTTAGGTGCAGTTATCCCGTTTCCAACGAAATCCTCAGAGAGGTCCCAATATCCACTCGCAGATTCTACAGAAAGTGTGGTTCAAACCTTCTCCATCCAAAGGAATGTTCAGCTCTGTGTGTTAAACTCAATCATCACAAAGTATTTTCTGAGAATGCTTCTGTCTAGATTTTATGTGAAGCTCTTCCCTTTACTACCATAGGCCTCAAAGCGCTCCAAATCTCCACTAGCCTATTCTACAACAAGAGTGTTTCCAAACTGCTCTGTCAATAGGAATGCTCAACTCCGTGAGGTGAATGCAATCATCACAAAGTAGTTTCTGAGAAGGCTTCTATCTAGTATTTATGTGGAGATATTTCCTTTTCCACCACAAACCTCACAGCTCTCCCAATGTCCACTTGCAGATTCTAGAAAAAGAGTGTTTCATAGCTGCTCTTTCCGAAGGAAAGTTCAACTCTGGAAGTTGAATACAAACATCACCAAGGAGTTCCTGAGAATGCTTCTGTGTAATTTTTATGTGAAGATGATTCCGTTTCCAACGAAACCTTCAAAGAGGTCTGCATGTCCCCTTGCAGATTCTAGAGAAAGAGAGTTTCAAAACTGCGCTCTCAAAAGGAGTGTTCCACTCTGTGAGTTGAATGCAGTCATCACAGAAAAGTTTCTGAGAATGCTTCTGTCTAGATGTTATGTGAAGGTATACCCGTTTCGAACGAAGTCCACAGAGTGGTCCGAATATCCACTTGTAGAGACTGCAAAAAGAGTGTTTCCAACCTGAACTTTCAAAGGAAGGTTCAATTCTGGGATTTGAATGCAACCATCACAAGAAGATTCTGAGACTGCTTCTGTTTACTTAGCTGAAATTATCCCGTTTGCAACGAATTCCTCAGACAGGTCCAAATATCCACTTGCAGATTCTACAGAAAGTGTGTTTCGAAACTACTCCATCCCAAGGAAAGTACTGCTCTGTGAGTTCAAGTCAATCATCCCAGAGAATTTTCTGAGAAAGCTTCTGTCTTGTTTTTATAGGAAGTTATTTCCTTTACTACGATAGGCCTCAAAGAAGTGCAGTTATCCACTTGCAGTTTCTACAAAAAGAGTGTTTCAAACCTGAACTATCAAAGAAAGGTTCAACACTGTGGGTTGAATGCAAACGTCACGAAGAAGGTTCTGAGAATGCTTCTGTTTAGTTCTGTGCGGTTTATCCCGTTTCCAACGAAATCCTCAGGGAGGCCCAAGTATCCGCTTGCAGATCCTACAGATAGTGTGTTTCCAAACTGCTCCATCCAAAGGAATGTTCAGCCCTGTGAGTTAAACTCAGTCGTCACAAAGAGTTTTCTGAGAATGCTGCTGTCTAGTTTTTATATGAAGCTGTTTCCTTTACTACCATAGGCCTCAAAGCGGTCCATATCTCCACTTGCAGATTCTACACAACGAGAGTTTCCAAAGTGCTCTCTGAAAGGGAATGTTCACCTCTGTGACTTGAATGCAATCGTCACAAAGTAGTTTCTGAGAATGCATCTATCTAGTTCTTACGGGAAGATAATTCCTTTTCCACCTCAGGCCTCAAAGCCCTCCAAATATCCACTTGCAGATTCTAGAAAAAGAGTGTTTCAAAGCTTCTCTCTCAAAAGGAAAGTTCAACTCTGTGAGTTGAAAGCAAACATCACAAAGAAGTTTCTGAGAATGCTTCTGTTTAGCTTTTCTGTGAAGATTATCCCGTTTCCAACGAAATCTTCAAAGAGGCCCAAACATCCACTTGCAGATGCCACAGAAAGAGTGTTTGGAAACTGCTGTTTGAAAAGGAACCTTCAACTCTGTGAGTTGAATGCAGTCATCACAAACAAGTTTCTGACAATGCTTCTCTCTAGTTTTTACGTGACGATAATTCGTTTTCCACCACAGGCCTGAAATCTCTCCAAATGTCCACTTGCAGACCCTACGAAAAGCATGTTTCTCATCTGCTCTATGAAAAGCAACGTGAAACTCTGTGAGTTGAACACAAACATCACAGAGAAGTTTCTGAGAATGCTTCTGTTTAGTTTTTATGTGAAGATATTCCCGTTTCCAAAGACATCTTCAAAGAGGACCACATATCCACTTGCAGATTCCACAAAAAGAGAGATTCAAAACTGCTCTATCCATAGGAGGGTTCAACGCTTGGAGTTGAATGCAATCGTCACAGAGAAGTTTCTGAGAAGGCTTCTGTCTAGATTTTATTTGAAGATGTACCCGTTTCGAACGAAGGCCAAAGAGTGGTCCAAATATCCACTTGCAGATCCTACAAAAAGAGTGTTTCAAAGCTGAACTATCAAAGGAAGGTTCAACTCTGGGATTTGAATGCAAACATCACAAAGAATTTTGTGAGAATGCTTCCGTTTAGTTAGGTGCAGTTATCCCGTTTCCAACGAAATCCTCAGAGAGGTCCAAATATCCACTCGCAGATTCTACAGAAAGTGTGTTTCAAACCTTCTCCATCCAAAGGAATGTTCAGCTCTGTGTGTTAAACTCAATCATCACAAAGTATTTTCTGAGAATGCTTCTGTCTAGATTTTATGTGAAGCTCTTCCCTTTACTACCATAGGCCTCAAAGCGCTCCAACTCTCCACTAGCCGATTCTACAAGAAGAGTGTTTCCAAACTGCTCTGTCAATAGGAATGCTCCACTCCGTGAGGTGAATGCAGTCATCACAAAGTAGTTTCTGAGAAGGCTTCTATCTAGTATTTACGTGGAGATATTTCCTTTTCCACCACAAACCTCACAGCCCTCCCAATGTCCACTTGCAGTTTCTAGAAAAAGAGTGTTTCATAGCTGCTCTTTCCGAAGGAAAGTTCAAGTCTGGAAGTTGAATACAAACATCACCAAGGAGTTCCTGAGAATGCTTCTGTGTAATTTTTATGTGAAGATGATTCCGTTTCCAACGAAACTTTCGAAGAGGTCTGCATGTCCCCTTGCAGATTCCAGAGAAAGAGAGTTTCAAAACTGCGCTCTCAAAAGGAGTGTTCAACTCTGTGAGTTGAATGCAGTCATCACAGAAAAGTTTCTGAGAATGCTTCTGTCTAGATGTTATGTGAAGATATACCCGTTTCGAACGAAGTCCACAGAGTGGTCCGAATATCCACTTGTAGATCCTGCAAAAAGAGTGTTTCCAACCTGAACTTTCAAAGGAAGGTTCAATTCTGGGATTTGAATGCAAACATCACAAGAAGATTCTGAGACTGCTTCTGTTTACTTAGCTGAAATTATCCCGTTTGCAACGAATTCCTCAGACAGGTCCAAATATCCACTTGCAGATTCTACAGAAAGTGTGTTTCGAAACTACTCCATCCCAAGGAAAAGTACTGCTCTGTGAGTTCAACTCAATCATCCCAGAGAATTTTCTGAGAAAGCTTCTGTCTTGTTTTTATAGGAAGTTATTTCCTTTACTACGATAGGCCTCAAAGAAGTGCAGTTATCCACCTGCAGTTTCTACAAAAAGAGTGTTTCAAACCTGAACTATCAAAGAAAGGTTCAACACTGTGGGTTGAATGCAAACATCACGAAGAAGGTTCTGAGAATGCTTCTGTTTAGTTCTGTGCGGTTTATTCCGTTTCCAACGAAATCCTCAGAGAGGCCCAAGTATCCGCTTGCAGATCCTACAGATAGTGTGTTTCCAAACTGCTCCATCCAAAGGAATGTTCAGCCCTGTGAGTTAAACTCAGTCGTCACAAAGAGTTTTCTGAGAATGCTGCTGTCTAGTTTTTATATGAAGCTGTTTCCTTTACTACCATAGGCCTCAAAGCGGTCCATATCTCCACTTGCAGATTCTACACAACGAGGGTTTCCAAAGTGCTCTCTGAAAGGGAATGTTCACCTCTGTGACTTGAATGCAATCGTCACAAAGTAGTTTCTGAGAATGCATCTATCTAGTTCTTACGGGAAGATAATTCCTTTTCCACCTCAGGCCTCAAAGCCCTCCAAATCTCCACTTGCAGATTCTAGAAAAAGAGTGTTTCAAAGCTTCTCTCTCAAAAGGAAAGTTCAACTCTGTGAGTTGAAAGCAAACGTCACAAAGAAGTTTCTGAGAATGCTTCTGTTTAGCTTTTCTGTGAAGATTATCCCGTTTCCAACGAAATCTTCAAAGAGGCCCAAACATCCACTTGCAGATGCCACAGAAAGAGTGTTTGGAAACTGCTCTTTGAAAAGGAACCTTCAACTCTGTGAGTTGAATGCAGTCATCACAAACAAGTTTCTGACAATGCTTCTCTCTAGTTTTTACGTGACGATAATTCGTTTTCCACCACAGGCCGGAAATCTCTCCAAATGTCCACTTGCAGACCCTACGAAAAGCATGTTTCTCATCTGCTCTATGAAAAGCAACGTGAAACTCTGTGAGTTGAACACAAACATCACAGAGAAGTTTCTGAGAATGCTTCTGTTTAGTTTTTATGTGAAGATATTCCCGTTTCCAAAGACATCTTCAAAGAGGACCACACATCCACTTGCAGATTCCACAAAAACAGAGATTCAAAACTGCTCTATCCATAGGAGGGTCCAACGCTTTGAGTTGAATGCAATCGTCACAGAGAAGTTTCTGAGAAGGCTTCTGTCTAGATTTTATTTGAAGATGTACCCGTTTCGAATGAAGGCCAAAGAGTGGTCCAAATATCCACCTGCAGAACCTACAAAAAGAGTGTTTCAAAGCTGAACTATCAAAGGAAGGTTCAACTCTGGGATTTGAATGCAAACATCACAAAGAATTTTGTGAGAATGCTTCCGTTTAGTTAGGTGCAGTTATCCCCTTTCCAACGAAATCCTCAGAGAGGTCCAAATATCCACTCGCAGATTCTACAGAAAGTGTGTTTCAAACCTTCTCCATCCAAAGGAATGTTCAGCTCTGTGTGTTAAACTCAATCATCACAAATTATTTTCTGAGAATGCTTGTGTCTAGATTTTATGTGAAGCTCTTCCCTTTACTACCATAGGCCTCAAAGCGCTCCAAATCTCCACTAGCAGATTCTACAACAAGAGTGTTTCCAAACTGCTCTGTCAATAGGAATGCTCCACTCCGTGAGGTGAATGCAATCATCACAAAGTAGTTTCTGAGAAGGCTTCTATCTAGTATTTATGTGGAGATATTTCCTTTTCCACCACAAACCTCACAGCTCTCCCAATGTCCACTTGCAGATTCTAGAGAAAGTGTGTTTCATAGCTGCTCTTTCCGAAGGAAAGTTCAACTCTGGAAGTTGAATACAAACATCACCAAGGAGTTCCTGAGAATGCTTCTGTGTAATTTTTATGTGAAGATGATTCCGTTTCCAACGAAACCTTCAAAGAGGTCTGCATGTCCCCTTGCAGATTCCAGAGAAAGAGAGTTTCAAAACTGCGCTCTCGAAAGGAGTGTTCAACTCTGTGAGTTGAATGCAGTCATCACAGAAAAGTTTCTGAGAATGCTTCTGTCTAGATGTTATGTGAAGATATACCCGTTTCGAACGAAGTCCACAGAGTGGTCCGAATATCCACTTGTAGATCCTGCAAAAAGAGTGTTTCCAACCTGAACTTTCAAAGGAAGGTTCAATTCTGGGATTTGAATGCAAACATCACAAGAAGATTCTGAGACTGCTTCTGTTTACTTAGCTGAAATTATCCCGTTTGCAACGAATTCCTCAGACAGGTCCAAATATCCACTTGCAGATTCTACAGAAAGTGTGTTTCGAAACTACTCCATCCCAAGGAAAGTACTGCTCTGTGAGTTCAACTCAATCATCCCAGAGAATTTTCTGAGAAAGCTTCTGTCTTGTTTTTATAGGAAGTTATTTCCTTTACTACGATAGGCCTCAAAGAAGTGCAGTTATCCACTTGCAGTTTCTACAAAAAGAGTGTTTCAAACCTGAACTATCAAAGAAAGGTTCAACACTGTGGGTTGAATGCAAACGTCATGAAGAAAGTTCTGAGAATGCTTCTGTTTAGTTCTGTGCGGTTTATCCCGTTTCCAACGAAATCCTCAGAGAGGCCCAAGTATCCGCTTGCAGATCCTAGAGATAGTGTGTTTCCAAACTGCTCCATCGAAAGGAATGTTCAGCCCTTTGAGTTAAACTCAGTCGTCACAAAGAGTTTTCTGAGAATGCTGCTGTCTAGTTTTTATATGAAGCTGTTTCCTTTACTACCATAGGCCTCAAAGCGGTCCATATCTAAACTTGCAGATTCTACACAACGAGAGTTTCCAAAGTGCTCTGTGAAAGGGAATGTTCACCTCTGTGACTTGAATGTAATCGCCACAAAGTAGTTTCTGAGAATGCATCTATCTAGTTCTTGTGGGAAGATAATTCCTTTTCCACCACAGGCCTCAAAGCGCTCCAAATATCCACTTGCAGATTCAAGAAAAAGAGTGTTTCAAAGCTTCTCTCTCAAAAGGAAAGTTCAACTCTGTGAGTTGAAAGCAAACATCACAAAGAAGTTTCTGAGAATGCTTCTGTTTAGCTTTTCTGTGAAGATTATCCAGTTTCCAACGAAATCTTCAAAGAGGCCCAAACATCCACTTGCAGATGCCACAGAAAGAGTGTTTGGAAACTGCTGTTTGAAAAGGAACCTTCAACTCTGTGAGTTGAATGCAGTCATCACAAACAAGTTTCTGACAATGCTTCTCTCTAGTTTTTCCGTGACGATAATTCGCTTTCCACCACAGGCCTGAAATCTCTCCAAATGTCCACTTGCAGACCCTACGAAAAGCATGTTTCTCATCTGCTCTATGAAAAGCAACGTGAAACTCTGTGAGTTGAACACAAACATCACAGAGAAGTTTCTGAGAATGCTTCTGTTTAGTTTTTATGTGAAGATATTCCCGTTTGCAAAGACATCTTCAAAGAGGACCACATATCCACTTGCAGATTCCACAAAAAGAGAGATTCAAAACTGCTCTATCCATAGGAGGGTTCAACGCTTTGAGTTGAATGCAATCGTCACAGAGAAGTTTCTGAGAAGGCTTCTGTCTAGATTTTATTTGAATATGTACCCTTTTCGAACGAAGGCCAAAGAGTGGTCCAAATATCCACCTGCAGATCCTACAAAAAGAGTGTTTCAAAGCTGAACTATCAAAGGAAGGTTCAACTCTGGGATTTGAATGCAAACATCACAAAGAATTTTGTGAGAATGCTTCCGTTTAGTTAGGTGCAGTTATCCCGTTTCCAACGAAATCCTCAGAGAGGTCCAAATATCCACTCGCAGATTCTACAGAAAGTGTGTTTCAAACCTTCTCCATCCAAAGGAATGTTCAGCTCTGTGTGTTAAACTCAATCATCACAAAGTATTTTCTGAGAATGCTTCTGTCTAGATTTTATGTGAAGCTCTTCCCTTTACTACCATAGGCCTCAAAGCGCTCCAACTCTCCACTAGCCGATTCTACAAGAAGAGTGTTTCCAAACTGCTCTGTCAATAGGAATGCTCCACTCCGTGAGGTGAATGCAGTCATCACAAAGTAGTTTCTGAGAAGGCTTCTATCTAGTATTTATGTGGAGATATTTCCTTTTCCACCACAAACCTCACAGCCCTCCCAATGTCCACTTGCAGATTCTAGAAAAAGAGTGTTTCATAGCTGCTCTTTCCGAAGGAAAGTTCAACTCTGGAAGTTGAATACAAACATCACCAAGGAGTTGCCTGAGAATGCTTCTGTGTAATCTTTATGTGAAGATGATTCTGTTTCCAACGAAACCTTCAAAGAGGTCTGCATGTCCCCTTGCAGATTCCAGAGAAAGAGAGTTTCAAAACTGCGCTCTCAAAAGGAGTGTTCAACTCTGTGAGTTGAATGCAGTCATCACAGAAAAGTTTCTGAGAATGCTTCTGTCTAGATGTTATGTGAAGATATACCCGTTTCGAACAAAGTCCACAGAGTGGTCCGAATATCCACTTGTAGATCCTGCAAAAAGAGTGTTTCCAACCTGAACTTTCAAAGGAAGGTTCAATTCTGGGATTTGAATGCAAACATCACAAGAAGATTCTGAGACTGCTTCTGTTTACTTAGCTGAAATTATCCCGTTTGCAACGAATTCCTCAGACAGGTCCAAATATCCACTTGCAGATTCTACAGAAAGTGTGTTTCGAAACTACTCCATCCCAAGGAAAGTACTGCTCTGTGAGTTCAACTCAATCATCCCAGAGAATTTTCTGAGAAAGCTTCTGTCTTGTTTTTATAGGAAGTTATTTCCTTTACTACGATAGGCCTCAAAGAAGTGCAGTTATCCACTTGCAGTTTCTACAAAAAGAGTGTTTCAAACCTGAACTATCAAAGAAAGGTTCAACACTGTGGGTTGAATGCAAACATCACGAAGAAGGTTCTGAGAATGCTTCTGTTTAGTTCTGTGCGGTTTATCCCGTTTCCCACGAAATCCTCAGGGAGGCCCAAGTATCCGCTTGCAGATCCTACAGATAGTGTGTTTCCAAACTGCTCCATCCAAAGGAATGTTCAGCCCTGTGAGTTTAACTCAGTCGTCACAAAGAGTTTTCTGAGAATGCTGCTGTCTAGTTTTTATATGAAGCTGTTTCCTTTACTACCATAGGCCTCAAAGCGGTCCATATCTCCACTTGCAGATTCTACACAACGAGAGTTTCCAAAGTGCTCTCTGAAAGGGAATGTTCACCTCTGTGACTTGAATGCAATCGTCACAAAGTAGTTTCTGAGAATGCATCTATCTAGTTCTTACGGGAAGATAATTCCTGTTCCACCTCAGGCCTCAATGCCCTCCAAATATCCACTTGCAGATTCTAGAAAAAGAGTGTTTCAAAGCTTCTCTCTCAAAAGGAAAGTTCAACTCTGTGAGTTGAAAGCAAACATCACAAAGAAGTTTCTGAGCATGCTTCTGTTTAGCTTTTCTGTGAAGATTATCCCGTTTCCAACGAAATCTTCAAAGAGGCCCAAACATCCACTTGCAGATGCCACAGAAAGAGTGTTTGGAAACTGCTGTTTGAAAAGGAACCTTCAACTCTGTGAGTTGAATGCAGTCATCACAAACAAGTTTCTGACAATGCTTCTCTCTAGTTTTTACGTGACGATAATTCGTTTTCCACCACAGGCCTGAAATCTCTCCAAATGTCCACTTGCAGACCTTACGAAAAGCATGTTTCTCATCTGCTCTATGAAAAGCAACGTGAAACTCTGTGAGTTGAACACAAACATCACAGAGAAGTTTCTGAGAATGCTTCTGTTTAGTTTTTATGTGAAGATATTCCCGTTTCCAAAGACATCTTCAAAGAGGACCACATATCCACTTGCAGATTCCACAAAAAGAGAGATTCAAAACTGCTCTATCCATAGGAGGGTTCAACTCTTTGAGTTGAATGCAATCGTCACAGAGAAGTTTCTGAGAAGGCTTCTGTCTAGATTTTATTTGAAGATGTACCCGTTTCGAATGAAGGCCAAAGAGCGGTCCAAATATCCACCTGCAGACCCTACAAAAAGTGTGTTTCAAAGCTGAACTATCAAAGGAAGGTTCAACTCTGGGATTTGAATGCAAACATCACAAAGAATTTTGTGAGAACGCTTCCGTTTAGTTAGGTGCAGTTATCCCGTTTCCAACGAAATCCTCAGAGAGGTCCCAATATCCACTCGCAGATTCTACAGAAAGTGTGTTTCAAACCTTCTCCATCCAAAGGAATGTTCAGCTCTGTGTGTTAAACTCAATCATCACAAAGTATTTTCTGAGAATGCTTCTGTCTTGATTTTATGTGAAGCTCTTCCCTTTACTACCATAGGCCTCAAAGCGCTCCAAATCTCCACTAGCAGATTCTACAACAAGAGTGTTTCCAAACTGCTCTGTCAATAGGAATGCTCCACTCCGTGAGGTGAATGCAATCATCTGAAAGTAGTTTCTGAGAAGGCTTCTATCTAGTATTTACGTGGAGATATTTCCTTTTCCACCACAAACCTCACAGCCCTCCCAATGTCCACTTGCAGATTCTAGAAATGGAGTGTTTCATAGCTGCTCTTTCCGAAGGAAAGTTCAACTCTGGAAGTTGAATACAAACATCACCAGGGAGTTCCTGAGAATGCTTCTGTGTAATTTTTATGTGAAGATGATTCCCTTTCCAACGAAACCTTCAAAGAGGTCTGCATGTCCCCTTGCAGATTCCAGAGAAAGAGAGTTTCAAAACTGCGCTCTCAAAAGGAGTGTTCAACTCTGTGAGTTGAATGCAGTCATCACAGAAAAGTTTCTGAGAATGCTTCTGTCTAGATGTTATGTGAAGATATACCCGTTTCGAACGAAGTCCACAGTGTGGTCCGAATATCCACTTGTAGATCCTGCAAAAAGAGTGTTTCCAACCTGAACTTTCAAAGGAAGGTTCAATTCTGGGATTTGAATGCAAACATCACAAGAAGATTCTGAGACTGCTTCTGTTTACTTAGCTGAAATTATCCCGTTTGCAACGAATTCCTCAGACAGGTCCAAATATCCACTTGCAGATTCTACAGAAAGTGTGTTTCGAAACTACTCCATCCCAAGGAAAGTACTGCTCTGTGAGTTCAACTCAATCATCCCAGAGAATTTTCTGAGAAAGCTTCTGTCTTGTTTTTATAGGAAGTTATTTCCTTTACTACGATAGGCCTCAAAGAAGTCCAGTTATCCACCTGCAGTTTCTACAAAAAGAGTGTTTCAAACCTGAACTATCAAAGAAAGGTTCAACACTGTGGGTTGAATGCAAACATCACGAAGAAGGTTCTGAGAATGCTTCTGTTTAGTTCTGTGCGGTTTATCCCGTTTCCAACGAAATCCTCAGGGAGGCCCAAGTATCCGCTTGCAGATCCTACAGATAGTGTGTTTCCAAACTGCTCCATCCAAAGGAATGTTCAGCCCTGTGAGTTAAACTCAGTCGTCACAAAGAGTTTTCTGAGAATGCTTGCTGTCTAGTTTTTATATGAAGCTGTTTCCTTTACTACCATAGGCCTCAAAGCGGTCCATATCTCCACTTGCAGATTCTACACAACGAGAGTTTCCAAAGTGCTCTCTGAAAGGGAATGTTCACCTCTGTGACTTGAATGCAATCGTCACAAAGTAGTTTCTGAGAATGCATCTATCTAGTTCTTACGGGAAGATAATTCCTGTTCCACCTCAGGCCTCAAAGCCCTCCAAATATCCACTTGCAGATTCTAGAAAAAGAGTGTTTCAAAGCTTCTCTCTCAAAAGGAAAGTTCAACTCTGTGAGTTGAAAGCAAACATCACAAAGAAGTTTCTTGAGCATGCTTCTGTTTAGCTTTTCTGTGAAGATTATCCCGTTTCCAACGAAATCTTCAAAGAGGCCCAAACATCCACTTGCAGATGCCACAGAAAGAGTGTTTGGAAACTGCTGTTTGAAAAGGAACCTTCAACTCTGTGAGTTGAATGCAGTCATCACAAACAAGTTTCTGACAATGCTTCTCTCTAGTTTTTACGTGACGATAATTCGTTTTCCACCACAGGCCTGAAATCTCTCCAAATGTCCACTTGCAGACCCTACGAAAAGCATGTTTCTCATCTGCTCTATGAAAAGCAACGTGAAACTCTGTGAGTTGAACACAAACATCACAGAGAAGTTTCTGAGAATGCTTCTGTTTAGTTTTTATGTGAAGATATTCCCGTTTCCAAAGACATCTTCAAAGAGGACCACATATCCACTTGCAGATTCCACAAAAAGAGAGATTCAAAACTGCTCTATCCATAGGAGGGTTCAACTCTTTGAGTTGAATGCAATCGTCACAGAGAAGTTTCTGAGAAGGCTTCTGTCTAGATTTTATTTGAAGATGTACCCGTTTCGAACGAAGGCCAAAGAGTGGTCCAAATATCCACCAGCAGATCCTACAAAAAGAGTGTTTCAAAGCTGAACTATCAAAGGAAGTTTCAACTCTGGGATTTGAATGCAAACATCACAAAGAATTTTGTGAGAATGCTTCCGTTTAGTTAGGTGCAGTTATCCCGTTTCCAACGAAATCCTCAGAGAGGTCCAAATATCCACTCGCAGATTCTACAGAAAGTGTGTTTCAAACCTTCTCCATCCAAAGGAATGTTCAGCTCTGTGTGTTAAACTCAATCATCACAAAGTATTTTCTGAGAATGCTTGTGTCTAGATTTTATGTGAAGCTCTTCCCTTTACTACCATAGGCCTCAAAGCGCTCCAAATCTCCACTAGCAGATTCTACAACAAGAGTGTTTCCAAACTGCTCTGTCAATAGGAATGCTCCACTCCGTGAGGTGAATGCAATCATCACAAAGTAGTTTCTGAGAAGGCTTCTATCTAGTATTTATGTGGAGATATTTCCTTTTCCACCACAAACCTCACAGCCCTCCCAATGTCCACTTGCAGATTCTAGAAAAAGAGTGTTTCATAGCTGCTCTTTCCGAAGGAAAGTTCAACTCTGGAAGTTGAATACAAACATCACCAAGGAGTTCCTGAGGATGCTTCTGTGTAATTTTTATGTGAAGATGATTCCGTTTCCAACAAAACCTTCAATGAGCTCTGCATGTCCCCTTGCAGATTCCAGAGAAAGAGAGTTTCAAAACTGCGCTCTCAAAAGGAGTGTTCAACTCTGTGAGTTGAATGCAGTCATCACAGAAAAGTTTCTGAGAATGCTTCTGTCTAGATGTTATGTGAAGATATACCCGTTTCGAACGAAGTCCACAGAGTGGTCCGAATATCCACTTGTAGACCCTGCAAAAAGAGTGTTTCAAACCTGAACTTTCAAAGGAAGGTTCAATTCTGGGATTTGAATGCAAACATCACAAGGAGATTCTGAGACTGCTTCTGTTTACTTAGCTGAAATTATCCCGTTTGCAACGAATTCCTCAGACAGGTCCAAATACCCACTTGCAGATTCTACAGAAAGTGTGTTTCGAAACTACTCCATCCCAAGGAAAGTACTGCTCTGTGAGTTCAACTCAATCATCCCAGAGAATTTTCTGAGAAAGCTTCTGTCTTGTTTTTATAGGAAGTTATTTCCTTTACTACGATAGGCCTCAAAGAAGTGCAGTTATCCACTTGCAGTTTCTACAAAAAGAGTGTTTCAAACCTGAACTATCAAAGAAAGGTTCAACACTGTGGGTTGAATGCAAACATCACGAAGAAGGTTCTGAGAATGCTTCTGTTTAGTTCTGTGCGGTTTATCCCGTTTCCCACGAAATCCTCAGGGAGGCCCAAGTATCCGCTTGCAGATCCTACAGATAGTGTGTTTCCAAACTGCTCCATCCAAAGGAATGTTCAGCCCTGTGAGTTTAACTCAGTCGTCACAAAGAGTTTTCTGAGAATGCTGCTGTCTAGTTTTTATATGAAGCCGTTTCCTTTACTACCATAGGCCTCAAAGCGGTCCATATCTCCACTTGCAGATTCTACACAACGAGAGTTTCCAAAGTGCTCTCTGAAAGGGAATGTTCACCTCTGTGACTTGAATGCAATCGTCACAAAGTAGTTTCTGAGAATGCATCTATCTAGTTCTTACGGGAAGATAATTCCTTTTCCACCTCAGGCCTCAAAGCCCTCCAAATATCCACTTGCAGATTCTGGAAAAAGAGTGTTTCAAAGCTTCTCTCTCAAAAGGAAAGTTCAACTCTGTGAGTTGAAAGCAAACGTCACAAAGAAGTTTCTGAGAATGCTTCTGTTTAGCTTTTCTGTGAAGATTATCCAGTTTCCAACGAAATCTTCAAAGAGGCCCAAACATCCACTTGCAGATGCCTCAGAAAGAGTGTTTGGAAACTGCTGTTTGAAAAGGAACCTTCAACTCTGTGAGTTGAATGCAGTCATCACAAACAAGTTTCTGACAATGCTTCTCTCTAGTTTTTATGTGACGATAATTCGTTTTCCACCACAGGCCGGAAATCTCTCCAAATGTCCACTTGCAGACCCTACGAAAAGCATGTTTCTCATCTGCTCTATGAAAAGCAACATGAAACTCTGGGAGTTGAACACAAACATCACAGAGAAGTTTCTGAGAATGCTTCTGTTTAGTTTTTATGTGAAGATATTCCCGTTTCCAAAGACATCTTCAAAGAGGACCACATATCCACTTGCAGATTCCACAAAAAGAGAGATTCAAAACTGCTCTATCCATAGGAGGGTTCAACGCTTTGAGTTGAATGCAATCGTCACAGAGAAGTTTCTGAGAAGGCTTCTGTCTAGATTTTATTTGAAGATGTACCCGTTTCGAACGAAGGCCAAAGAGTGGTCCAAATATCCACTTGCAGATCCTACAAAAAGAGTGTTTCAAAGCTGAACTATCAAAGGAAGGTTCAACTCTGGGATTTGAATGCAAACATCACAAAGAATTTTGTGAGAATGCTTCCGTTTAGTTAGGTGCAGTTATCCCGTTTCCAACGAAATCCTCAGAGAGGTCCAAATATCCACTCGCAGATTCTACAGAAAGTGTGTTTCAAACCTTCTCCATCCAAAGGAATGTTCAGCTCTGTGTGTTAAACTCAAACATCACAAAGTATTTTCTGAGAATGCTTCTGTCTAGATTTTATGTGAAGCTCTTCCCTTTACTACCATAGGCCTCAAAGCGCTCCAAATCTCCACTAGCAGATTCTACAACAAGAGTGTTTCCAAACTGCTCTGTCAATAGGAATGCTCCACTCCGTGAGGTGAATGCAATCATCACAAAGTAGTTTCTGAGAAGGCTTCTATCTAGTATTTATGTGGAGATATTTCCTTTTCCACCACAAACCTCACAGCCCTCCCAATGTCCACTTGCAGATTCTAGAAAAAGAGTGTTTCATAGCTGCTCTTTCCGAAGGAAAGTTCAACTCTGGAAGTTGAATACAAACATCACCAAGGAGTTCCTGAGGATGCTTCTGTGTAATTTTTATGTGAAGATGATTCTGTTTCCAACGAAACCTTCAAAGAGGTCTGCATGTCCCCTTGCAGATTCCAGAGAAAGAGAGTTTCAAAACTGCGCTCTCAAAAGGAGTGTTCAACTCTGTGAGTTGAATGCAGTCATCACAGAAAAGTTTCTGAGAATGCTTCTGTCTAGATGTTATGTGAAGATATACCCGTTTCGAACGAAGTCCACAGAGTGGTCCGAATATCCACTTGTAGATCCTGCAAAAAGAGTGTTTCCAACCTGAACTTTCAAAGGAAGGTTGAATTCTGGGATTTGAATGCAAACATCACAAGAAGATTCTGAGACTGCTTCTGTTTACTTAGCTGAAATTATCCCGTTTGCAACGAATTCCTCAGACAGGTCCAAATATCCACTTGCAGATTCTACAGAAAGTGTGTTTCGAAACTACTCCATCCCAAGGAAAGTAGTGCTCTGTGAGTTCAAGTCAATCATCCCAGAGAATTTTCTGAGAAAGCTTCTGTCTTGTTTTTATAGGAAGTTATTTCCTTTACTACGATAGGCCTCAAAGAAGTGCAGTTATCCACTTGCAGTTTCTACAAAAAGAGTGTTTCAAACCTGAACTATCAAAGAAAGGTTCAACACTGTGGGTTGAATGCAAACATCACGAAGAAGGTTCTGAGAATGCTTCTGTTTAGTTCTGTGCGGTGTATCCCTTTTCCAACGAAATCCTCAGGGAGGCCCAAGTATCCGCTTGCAGATCCTACAGATAGTGTGTTTCCAAACTGCTCCATCCAAAGGAATGTTCAGCCCTGTGAGTTAAACTCAGTCGTCACAAAGAGTTTTCTGAGAATGCTGCTGTCTAGTTTTTATATGAAGCTGTTTCCTTTACTACCATAGGCCTCAAAGCGGTCCATATCTCCACTTGCAGATTCTACACAACGAGAGTTTCCAAAGTGCTCTCTGAAAGGGAATGTTCACCTCTGTGACTTGAATGCAATCGTCACAAAGTAGTTTCTGAGAATGCATCTATCTAGTTCTTACGGGAAGATAATTCCTTTTCCACCTCAGGCCTCAAAGCCCTCCAAATATCCACTTGCAGATTCTAGAAAAAGAGTGTTTCAAAGCTTCTCTCTCAAAAGGAAAGTTCAACTCTGTGAGTTGAAAGCAAACATCACAAAGAAGTTTCTGAGAATGCTTCTGTTTAGCTTTTCTGTGAAGATTATCCCGTTTCCAACGAAATCTTCAAAGAGGCCCAAACATCCACTTGCAGATGCCACAGAAAGAGTGTTTGGAAACTGCTGTTTGAAAAGGAACCTTCAACTCTGTGAGTTGAATGCAGTCATCACAAACAAGTTTCTGACAATGCTTCTCTCTAGTTTTTACGTGACGATAATTCGTTTTCCACCACAGGCCTGAAAGCTCTCCAAATGTCCACTTGCAGACCCTACGAAAAGCATGTTTCTCATCTGCTCTATGAAAAGTAACGTGAAACTCTGTGAGTTGAACACAAACATCACAGAGAAGTTTCTGAGAATGCTTCTGTTTAGTTTTTATGTGAAGATATTCCCGTTTCCAAAGACATCTTCAAAGAGGACCACATATCCACTTGCAGATTCCACAAAAAGAGAGATTCAAAACTGCTCTATCCATAGGAGGGTTCAACGCTTTGAGTTGAATGCAATCGTCACAGAGAAGTTTCTGAGAAGGCTTCTGTCTAGATTTTATTTGAATATGTACCCGTTTCGAACGAAGGCCAAAGAGTGGTCCAAATATCCACTTGCAGATCCTACAAAAAGAGTGTTTCAAAGCTGAACTATCAAAGGAAGGTTCAACTCTGGGATTTGAATGCAAACATCACAAAGAATTTTGTGAGAATGCTTCCGTTTAGTTAGGTGCAGTTATCCCGTTTCCAACGAAATCCTCAGAGAGGTCCAAATATCCACTCGCAGATTCTACAGAAAGTGTGTTTCAAACCTTCTCCATCCAAAGGAATGTTCAGCTCTGTGTGTTAAACTCAATCATCACAAAGTATTTTCTGAGAATGCTTCTGTCTAGATTTTATGTGAAGCTCTTCCCTTTACTACCATAGGCCTCAAAGCGCTCCAAATCTCCACTCGCCGATTCTACAACAAGAGTGTTTCCAAACTGCTCTGTCAATAGGAATGCTCCACTCCGTGAGGTGAATGCAATCATCACAAAGTAGTTTCTGAGAAGGCTTCTAACTAGTATTTATGTGGAGATATTTCCTTTTCCACCACAAACCTCACAGCCCTCCCAATGTCCACTTGCAGATTCTAGAAAAAGAGTGTTTCATAGCTGCTCTTTCCGAAGGAAAGTTCAACTCTGGAAGTTGAATACAAACATCACCAAGGAGTTCCTGAGGATGCTTCTGTGTAATTTTTATGTGAAGATGATTCCGTTTCCAACGAAATCTTCAAAGAGGTCTGCATGTCCCCTTGCAGATTCCAGAGATAGAGAGTTTCAAAACTGCGCTCTCAAAAGGAGTGTTCAACTCTGTGAGTTGAATGCAGTCATCACAGAAAAGTTTCTGAGAATGCTTCTGTCTAGATGTTATGTGAAGATATACCCGTTTCGAACGAAGTCCACAGAGTGGTCCGAATATACACTTGTAGATCCTGCAAAAAGAGTGTTTCCAACCTGAACTTTCAAAGGAAGGTTCAATTCTGGGATTTGAATGCAAACATCACAAGAAGATTCTGAGACTGCTTCTGTTTACTTAGCTGAAATTATCCCGTTTGCAACGAATTCCTCAGACAGGTCCAAATATCCACTTGCAGATTCTACAGAAAGTGTGTTTCGATACTACTCCATCCCAAGGAAAGTACTGCTCTGTGAGTTCAACTCAATCATCCCAGAGAATTTTCTGAGAAAGCTTCTGTCTTGTTTTTATAGGAAGTTATTTCCTTTACTACGATAGGCCTCAAAGAAGTGCAGTTATCCACTTGCAGTTTCTACAAAAAGAGTGTTTCAAACCTGAACTATCAAAGAAAGGTTCAACACTGTGGGTTGAATGCAAACATCACGAAGAAGGTTCTGAGAATGCTTCTGTTTAGTTCTGTGCGGTTTATCCCGTTTCCAACGAAATCCTCAGAGAGGCCCAAGTATCCGCTTGCAGATCCTACAGATAGTGTGTTTCCAAACTGCTCCATCCAAAGGAATGTTCAGCCCTGTGAGTTAAACTCAGTCGTCACAAAGAGTTTTCTGAGAATGCTGCTGTCTAGTTTTTATATGAAGCTGTTTCCTTTACTACCATAGGTCTCAAAGCGGTCCATATCTCCACTTGCAGATTCTACACAACGAGAGTTTCCAAAGTGCTCTGTGAAAGGGAATGTTCACCTCTGTGACTTGAATGCAATCGTCACAAAGTAGTTTCTGAGAATGCATCTATCTAGTTTTAACGGGAAGATAATCCCTTTTCCACCACAAGCCTCAAAGCTCTCCAAATATCCACTTGCAGATTCTAGAAAAAGAGTGTTTCAAAGCTTCACTCTCAAAAGGAAAGTTCAACTCTGTGAGTTGAAAGCAAACATCACAAAGAAGTTTCTGAGAATGCTTCTGTTTAGCTTTTCTGTGAAGAGTATCCCGTTTCCAACGAAATCTTCAAAGAGGCCCAAACATCCACTTGCAGATGCCACAGAAAGAGTGTTTGGAAACTGCTGTTTGAAAAGGAACCTTCAACTCTGTGAGTTGAATGCAGTCATCACAAACAAGTTTCTGACAATGCTTCTCTCTAGTTTTTACGTGACGATAATTCGTTTTCCACCACAGGCCTGAAAGCTCTCCAAATGTCCACTTGCAGACCCTACGAAAAGCATGTTTCTCATCTGCTCTATGAAAAGCAACGTGAAACTCTGTGAGTTGAACACAAACATCACAGAGAAGTTTCTGAGAATGCTTCTGTTTAGTTTTTATGTGAAGATATTCCCGTTTCCAAAGACATCTTCAAAGAGGACCACATATCCACTTGCAGATTCCACAAAAAGAGAGATTAAAAACTGCTCTATCCATAGGAGGGTTCAACTCTTTGAGTTGAATGCAATCGTCACAGAGAAGTTTCTGAGAAGGCTTCTGTCTAGATTTTATTTGAAGATGTACCCGTTTCGAACGAAGGCCAAAGAGTGGTCCAAATATCCACTTGCAGATCCTACAAAAAGAGTGTTTCAAAGCTGAACTATCAAAGGAAGGTTCAACTCTGGGATTTGAATGCAAACATCACAAAGAATTTTGTGAGAATGCTTCCGTTTAGTTAGGTGCAGTTATCCCGTTTCCAACGAAATCCTCAGAGAGTTCCAAATATCCACTCGCAGATTCTACAGAAAGTGTGTTTCAAACCTTCTCCATCCAAAGGAATGTTCAGCTCTGTGTGTTAAACTCAATCATCACAAAGTATTTTCTGAGAATGCTTCTGTCTAGATTTTATGTGAAGCTCCTCCATTTACTACCATAGGCCTCAAAGCGCTCCAATTCTCCACTAGCAGATTCTACAACAAGGGTGTTTCCAAACTGCTCTGTCAATAGGAATTCTCCACTCCGTGAGGTGAATGCAATCATCACAACATAGTTTCTGAGAAGGCTTCTATCTAGTATTTACGTGGAGATATTTCCTTTTCCACCACAAACCTCACAGCCCTCCCAATGTCCACTTGCAGATTCTAGAAAAAGAGTGTTTCATAGCTGCTCTTTCCGAAGGAAAGTTCAACTCTGGAAGTTGAATACAAACATCACCAAGGAGTTCCTGAGAATGCTTCTGTGTAATTTTTATGTGAAGATGATTCCGTTTCCAACGAAACCTTCAAAGAGGTCTGCATGTCCCCTTGCAGATTCCAGAGAAAGAGAGTTTCAAAACTGCGCTCTCAAAAGGAGTGTTCAACTCTGTGAGTTGAATGCAGTCATCACAGAAAAGTTTCTGAGAATGCTTCTGTCTAGATGTTATGTGAAGATATACCCGTTTCGAACGAAGTCCACAGAGTGTTCCGAATATCCACTTGTAGATCCTGCAAAAAGAGTGTTTCCAACCTGAACTTTCAAAGGAAGGTTCAATTCTGGGATTTGAATGCAACCATCACAAGAAGATTCTGAGACTGCTTCTGTTTACTTAGCTGAAATTATCCCGTTTGCAACGAATTCCTCAGACAGGTCCAAATATCCACTTGCAGATTCTACAGAAAGTGTGTTTCGAAACTACTCCATCCCAAGGAAAGTACTGCTCTGTGAGTTCAACTCAATCATCCCAGAGAATTTTCTGAGAAAGCTTCTGTCTTGTTTTTATAGGAAGTTATTTCCTTTACTACGATAGGCCTCAAAGAAGTGCAGTTATCCACTTGCAGTTTCTACAAAAAGAGTGTTTCAAACCTGAACTATCAAAGAAAGGTTCAACATTGTGGGTTGAATGCAAACATCACGAAGAAGGTTCTGAGAATGCTTCTGTTTAGTTCTGTGCGGTTTATCCCGTTTCCAACAAAATCCTCAGAGAGGCCCAAGTATCCGCTTGCAGATCTTACAGATAGTGTGTTTCCAAACTGCTCCATCCAAAGGAATGTTCAACCCTGTGAGTTACACTCAGTCGTCAGAAAGATTTTTCTGAGAATGCTGCTGTCTAGTTTTTATATGAAGCTGTTTCCTTTACTACCATAGGCCTCAAAGCGGTCCATATCTCCACTTGCAGATTCTACACAACGAGAGTTTCCAAAGTGCTCTGTGAAAGGGAATGTTCACCTCTGTGACTTGAATGCAATCGTCACAAAGTAGTTTCTGAGAATGCATCTATCTAGTTCTTACGGGAAGATAATTCGTTTTCCACCACAGGCCTCAAAGCCCTCCAAATATCCACTTGCAGATTCTAGAAAAAGAGTGTTTCAAAGCTTCTCTCTCAAAAGGAAAGTTCAACTCTGTGAGTTGAAAGCAAACATCACAAAGAAGTTTCTGACAATGCTTCTGTTTAGCTTTTCTGTGAAGATTATCCCGTTTCCAACGAAATCTTCAAAGAGGCCCAAACATCCACTTGCAGATGCCACAGAAAGAGTGTTTGGAAACTGCTGTTTGAAAAGGAACCTTCAACTCTGTGAGTTGAATGCAGTCATCACAAACAAGTTTCTGACAATGTTTCTCTCTAGTTTTTATGTGACGATAATTCGTTTTCCACCACAGGCCTGAAATCTCTCCAAATGTCCACTTGCAGACCCTACGAAAACCATGTTTCTCATCTGCTCTATGAAAAGCAACGTGAAACTCTGTGAGTTGAACACAAACATCACAGAGAAGTTTCTGAGAATGCTTCTGTTTAGTTTTTATGTGAAGATACTCCCGTTTCCAAAGACATCTTCAAAGAGGACCACATATCCACTTGCAGATTCCACAAAAAGAGAGATTCAAAACTGCCCTATCCATAGGAGGGTTCAACGCCTTGAGTTGAATGCAATCATCACAGAGAAGTTTCTGAGAAGGCTTCTGTCTAGATTTTATTTGAAGATGTACCCTTTTCGAACGAAGGCCAAAGAGTGGTCCAAATATCCACCTGCAGATCCTACAAAAAGAGTGTTTCAAAGCTGAACTATCAAAGGAAGGTTCAACTCTGGGATTTGAATGCAAACATCACAAAGAATTTTGTGAGAATGCTTCCGTTTAGTTAGGTGCAGTTATCCCGTTTCCAACGAAATCCTCAGAGAGGTCCAAATATCCACTCGCAGATTCTACAGAAAGTGTGTTTCAAACCTTCTCCATCCAAAGGAATGTTCAGCTCTGTGTGTTAAACTCAATCATCACAAAGTATTTTCTGAGAATGCTTCTGTCTAGATTTTATGTGAAGCTCTTCCCTTTACTACCATAGGCCTCAAAGCGCTCCAAATCTCCACTAGCAGATTCTACAACAAGAGTGTTTCCAAACTGCTCTGTCAATAGGAATGCTCCACTCCGTGAGGTGAATGCAATCATCACAAAGTAGTTTCTGAGAAGCCTTCTATCTAGTATTTATGTGGAGATATTTCCATTTCCACCACAAACCTCACAGCCCTCCCAATGTCCACTTGCAGATTCTAGAAAAAGAGTGTTTCATAGCTGCTCTTTCCGAAGGAAAGTTCAACTCTGGAAATTGAATACAAACATCACCAAGGAGTTCCTGAGAATGCTTCTGTGTAACTTTTATGTGAAGATGATTCCGTTTCCAACGAAACCTTCAAAGAGGTCTGCATGTCCCCTTGCAGATTCCAGAGAAAGAGAGTTTCAAAACTGCGCTCTCAAAAGGAGTGTTCAACTCTGTGAGTTGAATGCAGTCATCACAGAAAAGTTTCTGAGAATGCTTCTGTGTAGATGTTATGTGAAGATATACCCGTTTCGAACGAAGTCCACAGAGTGGTCCGAATATCCACTTGTAGATCCTGCAAAAAGAGTGTTTCAAACCTGAACTTTCAAAGGAAGGTTCAATTCTGGGATTTGAATGCAAACATCACAAGAAGATTCTGAGACTGCTTCTGTTTACTTAGCTGAAATTATCCCGTTTGCAACGAATTCCTCAGACAGGTCCAAATATCCACTTGCAGATTCTACATAAAGTGTGTTTCGAAACTACTCCATCCCAAGGAAAGTACTGCTCTGTGAGTTCAACTCAATCATCGCAGAGAATTTTCTGAGAAAGCTTCTGTCTTGTTTTTATAGGAAGTTATTTCCTTTACTACGATAGGCCTCAAAGAAGTGCAGTTATCCACTTGCAGTTTCTACAAAAAGAGTGTTTCAAACCTGAACTATCAAAGAAAGGTTCAACACTGTGGGTTGAATGCAAACATCACGAAGAAGTTTCTGAGAATGCTTCTGTTTAGTTCTGTGCGGTTTATCCCGTTTCCAACGAAATCCTCAGAGAGGCCCAAGTATCCGCTTGCAGATCCTACAGATAGTGTGTTTCCAAACTGCTCCATCCAAAGGAATGTTCAGCCCTGTGAGTTAAACTCAGTCGTCACAAAGAGTTTTCTGAGAATGCTGCTGTCTAGTTTTTATACGAAGCTGTTTCCTTTACTACCATAGGCCTCAAAGCGGTCCATATCTCCACTTGCAGATTCTACACAACGAGAGTTTCCAAAGTGCTCTGTGAAAGGGAATGTTCACCTCTGTGACTTGAATGCAATCGTCACAAAGTAGTTTCTGAAAATGCATCTATCTAGTTCTTACGGGAAGATAATTCGTTTTCCACCACAGGCCTCAAAGCCCTCCAAATATCCACTTGCAGATTCTAGAAAAAGAGTGTTTCAAAGCTTCTCTCTCAAAAGGAAAGTTCAACTCTGTGAGTTGAAAGCAAACATCACAAGGAAGTTTCTGAGAATGCTTCTGTTTAGCTTTTCTGTGAAGATTATCCCGTTTCCAACGAAATCTTCAAAGAGGCCCAAACATCCACTTGCAGATGCCACAGAAAGAGTGTTTGGAAACTGCTGTTTGAAAAGGAACCTTCAACTCTGTGAGTTGAATGCAGTCATCACAAACAAGTTTCTGACAATGCTTCCCTCTAGTTTTTACGTGACGATAATTCGTTTTCCACCACAGGCCTGAAATCTCTCCAAATGTCCACTTGCAGACCCTACGAAAAGCATGTTTCTCATCTGCTCTATGAAAAGCAACGTGAAACTCTGTGAGTTGAACACAAACATCACAGAGAAGTTTCCTGAGAATGCTTCTGTTTAGTTTTTATGTGAACATATTCCCGTTTCCAAAGACATCTTCAAAGAGGACCACATATCCACTTGCAGATTCCACGAAAAGAGAGATTCAAAACTGCTCTATCCATAGGAGGGTTCAACGCTTGGAGTTGAATGCAATCGTCACAGAGAAGTTTCGGAGAAGGCTTCTGTCTAGATTTTATTTGAAGATGTACCCGTTTCGAACGAAGGCCAAAGAGTGGTCCAAATATCCACCTGCAGATCCTACAAAAAGAGTGTTTCAAAGCTGAACTATCAAAGGAAGGTTCAACTCTGGGATTTGAATGCAAACATCACAAAGAATTTTGTGAGAACGTCCGTTTAGTTAGGTGCAGTTATCCCGTTTCCAACGAAATCCTCAGAGAGGTCCAAATATCCACTCGCAGATTCTATAGAAAGTGTGTTTCAAACCTTCTCCATCCAAAGGAATGTTCAGCTCTGTGTGTTAAACTCAATCATCACAAAGTATTTTCTGAGAATGCTTCTGTCTAGATTTTATGTGAAGCTCTTCCCTTTACTACCATAGGCCTCAAAGCGCTCCAAATCTCCACTAGCCGATTCTACAAGAAGAGTGTTTCCAAACTGCTCTGTCAATAGGAATGCTCCACTCCCGTGAGGTGAATGCAATCATCACAAAGTAGTTTTCTGAGAAGGCTTCTATCTAGTATTTACGTGGAGATATTTCCTTTTCCACCACAAACCTCACAGCCCTCCCAATGTCCACTTGCAGATTCTAGAAAAAGTGTGTTTCATAGCTGCTCTTTCCGAAGGAAAGTTCAACTCTGGAAGTTGAATACAAACATCACCAAGGAGTTCCTGAGGATGCTTCTGTGTAATTTTTATGTGAAGATGATTCCATTTCCAACGAAACCTTCAAAGAGGTCTGCATGTCCCCTTGCAGATTCCAGAGAAAGAGAGTTTCAAAACTGCGCTCTCAAAAGGAGTGTTCAA
The DNA here is from genome assembly GCF_000001405.40 of Homo sapiens. Lineage (NCBI taxonomy): Eukaryota > Metazoa > Chordata > Mammalia > Primates > Hominidae > Homo > Homo sapiens. Next base: position 23,027,878 of record NC_000017.11, on the reverse strand, counting down.
CTCTGTGAGTTGAATGCAGTCATCACAGAAAAGTTTCTCAGAATGCTTCTGTCTAGATGTTATGTGAAGATATACCCGTTTCGAACGAAGTCCACAGAGTGGTCCGAATATCCACTTGTAGATCCTGCAAAAAGAGTGTTTCCAACCTGAACTTTCAAAGGAAGGTTCCATTCTGGGATTTGAATGCAAACATCACAAGAAGATTCTGAGACTGCTTCTGTTTACTTAGCTGAAATTATCCCGTTTGCAACGAATTCCTCAGACAGGTCCAAATATCCACTTGCAGATTGTACAGAAAGTGTGTTTCGAAACTACTCCATCCCAAAGAAAGTACTGCTCTGTGAGTTCAACTCAATCATCCCAGAGAATTTTCTGAGAAAGCTTCTGTCTTGTTTTTATAGGAAGTTATTTCCTTTACTACGATAGGCCTCAAAGAAGTGCAGTTATCCACTTGCAGTTTCTACAAAAAGAGTGTTTCAAACCTGAACTATCAAAGAAAGGTTCAACACTGTGGGTTGAATGCAAACATCACGAAGAAGGTTCTGAGAATGCTTCTGTTTAGTTCTGTGCGGTTTATTCCGTTTCCAACGAAATCCTCAGAGAGGCCCAAGTATCCGCTTGCAGATCCTACAGATAGTGTGTTTCCAAACTGCTCCATCCAAAGGAATGTTCAGCCCTGTGAGTTAAACTCAGTCGTCACAAAGAGTTTTCTGAGAATGCTGCTGTCTAGTTTTTATATGAAGCTGTTTCCTTTACTACCATAGGCCTCAAAGCGGTCCATATCTCCACTTGCAGATTCTACACAACGAGAGTTTCCAAAGTGCTCTCTGAAAGGGAATGTTCACCTCTGTGACTTGAATGCAATCGTCACAAAGTAGTTTCTGAGAATGCATCTACCTAGTTCTTACGGGAAGATAATTCCTTTTCCACCTCAAGCCTCAAAGCCCTCCAAATATCCACTTGCAGATTCTAGAAAAAGAGTGTTTCAAAGCTTCTCTCTCAAAAGGAAAGTTCAACTCTGTGAGTTGAAAGCAAACATCACAAAGAAGTTTCTGAGAATGCTTCTGTTTAGCTTTTCTGTGAAGATTATCCCGTTTCCAACGAAATCTTCAAAGAGGCCCAAACATCCACTGCAGATGCCACAGAAAGAGTGTTTGGAAACTGCTGTTTGAAAAGGAACCTTCAACTCTGTGAGTTGAATGCAGTCATCACAAACAAGTTTCTGACAATGCTTCTCTCTAGTTTTTACGTGACGATAATTCGTTTTCCACCACAGGCCTGAAATCTCTCCAAATGTCCACTTGCAGACCCTACGAAAAGCATGTTTCTCATCTGCTCTATGAAAAGCAACGTGAAACTCTGTGAGTTGAACACAAACATCACAGAGAAGTTTCTGAGAATGCTTCTGTTTAGTTTTTATGTGAAGATATTCCCGTTTCCAAAGACATCTTCAAAGAGGACCACATATCCACTTGCAGATTCCACAAAAAGAGAGATTCAAAACTGCTCTATCCATAGGAGGGTTCAACTCTCTGAGTTGAATGCAATCGTCACAGAGAAGTTTCTGAGAAGGCTTCTGTCTAGATTTTATTTGAAGATGTACCCGTTTCGAACGAAGGCCAAAGAGTGGTCCAAATATCCACCTGCAGATCCTACAAAAAGAGTGTTTCAAAGCTGAACTATCAAAGGCAGTTTCAACTCTGGGATTTGAATGCAAACATCACAAAGAATTTTGTGAGAATGCTTCCGTTTAGTTAGGTGCAGTAATCCCGTTTCCAACGAAATCCTCAGAGAGGTCCAAATATCCACTCGCAGATTCTACAGAAAGTGTGTTTCAAACCTGCTCCATCCAAAGGAATGTTCAGCTCTGTGTGTTAAACTCAATCATTACAAAGTATTTTCTGAGAATGCTTCTGTCTAGATTTTATGTGAAGCTCTTCCCTTTACTACCATAGGCCTCAAAGCGCACCAAATCTCCACTAGCAGATTCTACAACAAGAGTGTTTCCAAACTGCTCTGTCAATAGGAATGCTCCACTCCGTGAGGTGAATGCAATCATCACAAAGTAGTTTCTGAGAAGGCTTCTATCTAGTATTTATGTGGAGATATTTCCTTTTCCACCACAAACCTCACAGCCCTCCCAATGTCCACTTGCAGATTCTAGAAAAAGAGTGTTTCATAGCTGCTCTTTCCGAAGGAAAGTTCAACTCTGGAAGTTGAATACAAACATCACCAAGGAGTTCCTGAGAATGCTTCTGTGTAATTTTTATGTGAAGATGATTCCGTTTCCAATGAAACCTTCAAAGAGGTCTGCATGTCCCCTTGCAGATTCCAGAGAAAGAGAGTTTCCAAACTGCGCTCTCAAAAGGAGTGTTGAACTCTGTGAGTTGAATGCAGTCATCACAGAAAAGTTTCTGAGAATGCTTTCTGTCTAGATGTTATGTGAAGATATACCCGTTTCGAACGAAGTCCACAGAGTGGTCCGAATATCCACTTGTAGATCCTGCAAAAAGAGTGTTTCCAACCTGAATTTTCAAAGGAAGGTTCAATTCTGGAATTTGAATGCAAACATCACAAGAAGATTCTGAGACTGCTTCTGTTTACTTAGCTGAAATTATCCCGTTTGCAACGAATTCCTCAGACAGGTCCAAATATCCACTTGCAGATTCTACAGAAAGTGTGTTTCGAAACTACTCCATCCCAAGGAAAGTACTGCTCTGTGAGTTCAACTCAATCATCCCAGAGAATTTTCTGAGAAAGCTTCTGTCTTGTTTTTATAGGAAGTTATTTCCTTTACTACGATAGGCCTCAAAGAAGTGCAGTTATCCACTTGCAGTTTCTACGAAAAGAGTGTTTCAAACCTGAACTATCAAAGAAAGGTTCAACACTGTGGGTTGAATGCAAACATCACGAAGAAGGTTCTGAGAATGCTTCTGTTTAGTTCTGTGCGGTTTATCCCGTTTCCAACGAAATCCTCAGGGAGGCCCAAGTATCCGCTTGCAGATCCTACAGATAGTGTGTTTCCAAACTGCTCCATCTAAAGGAATGTTCAGCCCTGTGAGTTAAACTCAGTCGTCACAAAGAGTTTTCTGAGAATGCTGCTGTCTAGTTTTTATATGAAGCTGTTTCCTTTACTACCATAGGCCTCAAAGCGGTCCATATCTCCACTTGCAGATTCTACACAACGAGAGTTTCCAAAGTGCTCTCTGAAAGGGAATGTTCACCTCTGTGACTTGAATGCAATCGTCACAAAGTAGTTTCTGAGAATGCATCTACCTAGTTCTTACGGGAAGATAATTCCTTTTCCACCTCAGGCCTCAAAGCCCTCCAAATATCCACTTGCAGATTCTAGAAAAAGAGTGTTTCAAAGCTTCTCTCTCAAAAGGAAAGTTCAACTCTGTGAGTTGAAAGCAAACATCACAAAGAAGTTTCTGAGAATGCTTCTGTTTAGCTTTTCTGTGAAGATTATCCCGTTTCCAACGAAATCTTCAAAGAGGCCCAAACATCCACTTGCAGATGCCACAGAAAGAGTGTTTGGAAACTGCTGTTTGAAAAGGAACCTTCAACTCTGTGAGTTGAATGCAGTCATCACAAACAAGTTTCTGACAATGCTTCTCTCTAGTTTTTACGTGACGATAATTCGTTTTCCACCACAGGCCTGAAAGCTCTCCAAATGTCCACTTGCAGACCCTACGAAAAGCATGTTTCTCATCTGCTCTATGAAAAGCAACGTGAAACTCTGTGAGTTGAACACAAACATCACAGAGAAGTTTCTGAGAATGCTTCTGTTTAGTTTTTATGTGAAGATATTCCCGTTTCCAAAGACATCTTCAAAGAGGACCACACATCCACTTGAAGATTCCACAAAAAGAGAGATTCAAAACTGCTCTATCCATAGGAGGGTTCAACGCATTGAGTTGAATGCAATCGTCACAGAGAAGTTACTGAGAAGGCTTCTGTCTAGATTTTATTTGAAGATGTACCCGTTTCGAACGAAGGCCAAAGAGTGGTCCAAATATCCACTTGCAGATCCTACAAAAAGAGTGTTTCAAAGCTGAACTATCAAAGGAAGGGTCAACTCTGGGATTTGAATGCAAACATCACAAAGAATTTTGTGAGAATGCTTCCGTTTAGTTAGGTGCAGTTATCCCGTTTCCAACGAAATCCTCAGAGAGTTCCAAATATCCACTCGCAGATTCTACAGAAAGTGTGTTTCAAACCTTCTCCATCCAAAGGAATGTGCAGCTACTGTGTGTTAAACTCAATCATCACAAAGTATTTTCTGAGAATGCTTCTGTCTAGATTTTATGTGAAGCTCTTCCCTTTACTACCATAGGCCTCAAAGCGCTCCAAATCTCCACTAGCAGATTCTACAACAAGAGTGTTTCCAAACTGCTCTGTCAATAGGAATGCTCCACTCCGTGAGGTGAATGCAATCATCACAAAGTAGTTTCTGAGAAGGCTTCTATCTAGTATTTATGCGGAGATATTTCCTTTTCCACCACAAACCTCACAGCCCTCCCAATGTCCACTTGCAGATTCTAGAAAAAGAGTGTTTCATAGCTGCTCTTTCCGAAGGAAAGTTCAACTCTGGAAGTTGAATACAAACATCACCAAGGAGTTCCTGAGAATGCTTCTGTGTAATTTTTATGTGAAGATGATTCCGTTTCCAACGAAACCTTCAAAGAGGTCTGCATGTCCCCTTGCAGATTCCAGAGAAAGAGAGTTTCAAAACTGCGCTCTCAAAAGGAGTGTTCAACTCTGTGAGTTGAATGCAGTCATCACAGAAAAGTTTCTGAGAATGCTTCTGTCTAGATGTTATGTGAAGATATACCCGTTTCGAACGAAGTCCACAGAGTGGTCCGAATATCCACTTGTAGATCCTGCAAAAAGAGTGTTTCCAACCTGAACTTTCAAAGGAAGGTTCAATTCTGGGATTTGAATGCAAACATCACAAGAAGATTCTGAGACTGCTTCTGTTTACTTAGCTGAAATTATCCCGTTTGCAACGAATTCCTCAGACAGGTCCAAATATCCACTTGCAGATTCTACAGAAAGTGTGTTTCAATACTACTCCATCCCAAGGAAAGTACTGCCCTGTGAGTTCAACTCAATCATCCCAGAGAATTTTCTGAGAAAGCTTCTGTCTTGTTTTTATAGGAAGTTATTTCCTTTACTACGATAGGCCTCAAAGAAGTGCAGTTATCCACTTGCAGTTTCTACAAAAAGAGTGTTTCAAACCTGAACTATCAAAGAAAGGTTCAACACTGTGGGTTGAATGCAAACATCACGAAGAAGGTTCTGAGAATGCTTCTGTTTAGTTCTGTGCGGTGTATCCCTTTTCCAACGAAATCCTCAGAGAGGCCCAAGTATCCGCTTGCAGATCCTACAGATAGTGTGTTTCCAAACTGCTCCATCCAAAGGAATGTTCAGCCCTGTGAGTCAAACTCAGTCGTCAAAAAGAGTTTTCTGAGAATGCTGCTGTCTAGTTTTTATATGAAGCTGTTTCCTTTACTACCATAGGCCTCAAAGCGGTCCATATCTCCACTTGCAGATTCTACACAACGAGAGTTTCCAAAGTGCTCTCTGAAAGGGAATGTTCACCTCTGTGACTTGAATGCAATCGTCACAAAGTAGTTTCTGAGAATGCATCTATCTAGTTCTTACGGGAAGATAATTCCTTTTCCACCTCAGGCCTCAAAGCCCTCCAAATATCCACTTGCAGATTCTAGAAAAAGAGTGTTTCAAAGCTTCTCTCTCAAAAGGAAAGTTCAACTCTGTGAGTTGAAAGCAAACATCACAAAGAAGTTTCTGAGAATGCTTCTGTTTAGCTTTTCTGTGAAGATTATCCCGTTTCCAACGAAATCTTCAAAGAGGCCCAAACATCCACTTGCAGATGCCACAGAAAGAGTGTTTGGAAACTGCTGTTTGAAAAGGAACCTTCAACTCTGTGAGTTGAATGCAGTCATCACAAACAAGTTTCTGACAATGCTTCTCTCTAGTTTTTACGTGACGATAATTCGTTTTCCACCACAGGCCTGAAATCTCTCCAAATGTCCACTTGCAGACCCTACGAAAAGCATGTTTCTCATCTGCTCTATGAAAAGCAACGTGAAACTCTGTGAGTTGAACACAAACATCACAGAGAAGTTTCTGAGAATGCTTCTGTTTAGTTTTTATGTGAAGATATTCCCGTTTCCAAAGACATCTTCAAAGAGGACCACATATCCACTTGCAGATTCCACAAAAAGAGAGATTCAAAACTGCTCTATCCATAGGAGGGTTCAACGCTTTGAGTTGAATGCAATCGTCACAGAGAAGTTTCTGAGAAGGCTTCTGTCTAGATTTTATTTGAAGATGTACCCTTTTCGAACGAAGGCCAAAGAGTGGTCCAAATATCCACCTGCAGATCCTACAAAAAGAGTGTTTCAAAGCTGAACTATCAAAGGAAGGTTCAACTCTGGGATTTGAATGCAAACATCACAAAGAATTTTGTGAGAATGCTTCCGTTTAGTTAGGTGCAGTTATCCCGTTTCCAACGAAATCCTCAGAGAGGTCCAAATATCCACTCGCAGATTCTACAGAAAGTGTGTTTCACACCTTCTCCATCCAAAGGAATGTTCAGCTCTGTGTGTTAAACTCAATCATCACAAAGTATTTTCTGAGAATGCGTCTGTCTAGATTTTATGTGAAGCTCTTCCCTTTACTACCATAGGCCTCAAAGCGCTCCAAATCTCCACTAGCAGATTCTACAACAAGAGTGTTTCCAAACTGCTCTGTCAATAGGAATGCTCCACTCCGTGAGGTGAATGCAATCATCACAAAGTAGTTTCTGAGAAGGCTTCTATCTAGTATTTATGTGGAGATATTTCCTTTTCCACCACAAACCTCACAGCCCCCACAATGTCCACTTGCAGATTCTAGAAAAAGAGTGTTTCATAGCTGCTCTTTCCGAAGGAAAGTTCAACTCTGGAAGTTGAATACAAACATCACCAAGGAGTTCCTGAGGATGCTTCTGTGTAATTTTTATGTGAAGATGATTCCGTTTCCAACGAAACCTTCAAAGAGGTCTGCATGTCCCCTTGCAGATTCCAGAGAAAGAGAGTTTCAAAACTGCGCTCTCAAAAGGAGTGTTCAACTCTGTGAGTTGAATGCAGTCATCACAGAAAAGTTTCTGAGACTGCTTCTGTCTAGATGTTATGTGAAGATATACTCGTTTCGAACGAAGTCCACAGAGAGGACCGAATATCCACTTGTAGACCCTGCAAAAAGAGTGTTTCCAGCCTGAACTTTCAAAGGAAGGTTCAATTCTGGGATTTGAATGCAAACATCACAAGAAGATTCTGAGACTGATTCTGTTTACTTAGCTGAAATTATCCCGTTTGCAACGAATTCCTCAGACAGGTCCAAATATCCACTTGCAGATTCTACAGAAAGTGTGTTTCGAAACTACTCCATCCCAAGGAAAGTACTGCTCTGTGAGTTCAACTCAATCATCCCAGAGAATTTTCTGAGAAAGCTTCTGTCTTGTTTTTATAGGAAGTTATTTCCTTTACTAAGATAGGCCTCAAAGAAGTGCAGTTATCCACTTGCAGTTTCTACAGAAAGAGTGTTTCAAACCTGAACTATCAAAGAAAGGTTCAACACTGTGGGTTGAATGCAAACATCACGAAGAAGGTTCTGAGAATGCTTCTGTTTAGTTCTGTGCGGTTTATCCCGTTTCCAACGAAATCCTCAGGGAGGCCCAAGTATCCGCTTGCAGATCCTACAGATAGTGTGTTTCCAAACTGCTCCATCCAAAGGAATGTTCAGCCCTGTGAGTTAAACTCAGTCGTCACAAAGAGTTTTCTGAGAATGCTGCTGTCTAGTTTTTATATGAAGCTGTTTCCTTTACTACCATAGGCCTCAAAGTGGTCCATATCTCCACTTGCAGATTCTACACAACGAGAGTTTCCAAAGTGCTCTCTGAAAGGGAATGTTCACCTCTGTGACTTGAATGCAATCGTCACAAAGTAGTTTCTGAGAATGCATCTATCTAGTTCTTACGGGAAGATAATTCCTTTTCCACCTCAGGCCTCAAAGCCCTCCAAATATCCACTTGCAGATTCTAGAAAAAGAGTGTTTCAAAGCTTCTCTCTCAAAAGGAAAGTTCAACTCTGTGAGTTGAAAGCAAACATCACAAAGAAGTTTCTGAGAATGCTTCTGTTTAGCTTTTCTGTGAAGAGTATCCCGTTTCCAACGAAATCTTCAAAGAGGCCCAAACATCCACTTGCAGATGCCACAGAAAGAGTGTTTGGAAACTGCTGTTTGAAAAGGAACCTTCAACTCTGTGAGTTGAATGCAGTCATCACAAACAAGTTTCTGACAATGCTTCTCTCTAGTTTTTACGTGACGATAATTCGTTTTCCACCACAGGCCTGAAATCTCTCCAAATGTCCACTTGCAGACCCTACGAAAAGCATGCTTCTCATCTGCTCTATGAAAAGCAACGTGAAACTCTGTGAGTTGAACACAAACATCACAGAGAAGTTTCTGAGAATGCTTCTGTTTAGTTTTTATGTGAAGATATTCCCGTTTCCAAAGGCATCTTCAAAGAGGTCCATATATCCACTTGCAGATTCCACAAAAAGAGAGATTCAAAACTGCTTTATCCATAGGAGGGTTCAACTCTGTGAGTTGATTGCAATCATCACAGAGAAGTTTCTGAGAAGGCTTCTGTCTAGATTTTATTTGAAGATGTACCCGTTTCGAACGAAGGCCAAAGAGTGGTCCAAATATCCACCTGCAGATCCTACAAAAAGAGTGTTTCAAAGCTGAACTATCAAAGGAAGGTTCAACTCTGGGATTTGAATGCAAACATCACAAAGAATTTTGTGAGAATGCTTCCGTTTAGTTAGGTGCAGTTATCCCGTTTCCAACGAAATCCTCAGAGAGGTCCAAATATCCACTCGCAGATTCTACAGAAAGTGTGTTTCAAACCTTCTCCATCCAAAGGAATGTTCAGCTCTGTGTGTTAAACTCAATCATCACAAAGTATTTTCTGAGAATGCTTCTGTCTAGATTTTATGTGAAGCTCTTCCCTTTACTACCATAGGCCTCAAAGCGCACCAAATCTCCACTAGCAGATTCTACAACAAGAGTGTTTCCAAACTGCTCTGTCAATAGGAATGCTCCACTCCGTGAGGTGAATGCAATCATCACAAAGTAGTTTCTGAGAAGGCTTCTATCTAGTATTTACGTGGAGATATTTCCTTTTCCACCACAAACCTCACAGCCCTCCCAATGTCCACTTGCAGATTCTAGAAAAAGAGTGTTTCATAGCTGCTCTTTCCGAAGGAAAGTTCAACTCTGGAAGTTGAATACAAACATCACCAAGGAGTTCCTGAGAATGCTTCTGTGTAATTTTTATGTGAAGATGATTCCGTTTCCAACGAAATCTTCAAAGAGGTCTGCATGTCCCCTTGCAGATTCCAGAGATAGAGAGTTTCAAAACTGCGCTCTCAAAAGGAGTGTTCAACTCTGTGAGTTGAATGCAGTCATCACAGAAAAGTTTCTGAGAATGCTTCTGTCTAGATGTTATGTGAAGATACACCCGTTTCGAACGAAGTCCACAGAGTGGTCCGAATATCCACTTGTAGATCCTGCAAAAAGAGTGTTTCCAACCTGAACTTTCAAAGGAAGGTTCAATTCTGGGATTTCAATGCAACCATCACAAGAAGATTCTGAGACTGCTTCTGTTTACTTAGCTGAAATTATCCCGTTTGCAACGAATTCCTCAGACAGGTCCAAATATCCAATTGCAGATTCTACAGAAAGTGTGTTTCGAAACTACTCCATCCCAAGGAAAGTAGTGCTCTGTGAGTTCAACTCAATCATCCCAGAGAATTTTCTGAGAAAGCTTCTGTCTTGTTTTTATAGGAAGTTATTTCCTTTACTACGATAGGCCTCAAAGAAGTGCAGTTATCCACTTGCAGTTTCTACAAAAAGAGTGTTTCAAACCTGAACTATCAAAGAAAGGTTCAACACTGTGGGTTGAATGCAAACATCACGAAGAAGGTTCTGAGAATGCTTCTGTTTAGTTCTGTGCGGTTTATCCCGTTTCCAACGAAATCCTCAGGGAGGCCCAAGTATCCGCTTGCAGATCCTACAGATAGTGTGTTTCCAAACTGCTCCATCCAAAGGAATGTTCAGCCCTGTGAGTTAAACTCAGTCGTCACAAAGAGATTTCTGAGAATGCTGCTGTCTAGTTTTTATATGAAGCTGTTTCTTTTACTACCATAGGCCTCAAAGCGGTCCATATCTCCACTTGCAGATTCTACACAACGAGAGTTTCCAAAGTGCTCTGTGAAAGGGAATGTTCACCTCTGTGACTTGAATGCAATCGTCACAAAGTAGTTTCTGAGAATGCATCTATCTAGTTCTTACGGGAAGATAATTCGTTTTCCACCACAGGCCTCAAAGCCCTCCAAATATCCACTTGCAGATTCTAGAAAAAGAGTGTTTCAAAGCTTCTCTCTCAAAAGGAAAGTTCAACTCTGTGAGTTGAAAGCAAACATCACAAAGAAGTTTCTGAGAATGCTTCTGTTTAGCTTTTCTGTGAAGAGTATCCCGTTTCCAACGAAATCTTCAAAGAGGCCCAAACATCCACTTGCAGATGCCACAGAAAGAGTGTTTGGAAACTGCTGTTTGAAAAGGAACCTTCAACTCTGTGAGTTGAATGCAGTCATCACAAACAAGTTTCTGTCAATGCTTCCCTCTAGTTTTTACGTGACGATAATTCGTTTTCCACCACAGGCCTGAAATCTCTCCAAATGTCCACTTGCAGACCCTACGAAAAGCATGTTTCTCATCTGCTCTATGAAAAGCAACGTGAAACTCTGTGATTTGGACACAAACATCACAGAGAAGTTTCTGAGAATGCTTCTGTTTAGTTTTAATATGAAGATATTCCCGTTTCCAAAGACATCTTCAAAGAGGACCACATATCCACTTGCAGATTCCACAAAAAGAGAGATTCAAAACTGCTCTATCCATAGGAGGGTTCAACGCTTTGAGTTGAATGCAATCGTCACAGAGAAGTTTCTGAGAAGGCTTCTGTCTAGATTTTATTTGAAGATGTACCCTTTTCGAACGAAGGCCAAAGAGTGGTCCAAATATCCACCTGCAGATCCTACAAAAAGAGTGTTTCAAAGCTGAACTATCAAAGGAAGGTTCAACTCTGGGATTTGAATGCAAACATCACAAAGAATTTTGTGAGAATGCTTCCGTTTAGTTAGGTGCAGTTATCCCGTTTCCAACGAAATCCTCAGAGAGGTCCAAATATCCACTTGTAGATTCTACAAAAAGTGTGTCTCAAACCTGCTCCATCCAAAGGAATGTTCAGCTCTGTGATTTAAACTCAATCATCACAAAGTATTTTCTGAGAATGCTTTTGTCTAGTTTTTCTATGAAGCTATTCCCTTTACTACCATAGGCCTCAAAGCGCTCCAAATCTCCACTTGCACATTCCACAACAAGAGTGTTTCCAAACTGCTCTATCAATAGGAATGTTCAACTCTGTGAGGTGAATGCAATCATCACAAAGCAGTTTCTGAGAATGCTTCTATCTAGTATTTACGTGGAGATATTTCCTTTTCCACCACAAACCTCACAGCCCTCCCAATGTCCACTTGCAGATTCTAGAAAAAGAGTGTTTCATAGCTGCTCTTTCCGAAGGAAAGTTCAACTCTGGAAGTTGAATACAAACATCACCAAGGAGTTCCTGAGAATGCCTCTGTGTAATTTTTATGTGAAGATGATTCCCGTTTCCAACGAAACCTTCAAAGAGGTCTGCATGTCCCCTTGCAGATTCCAGAGAAAGAGAGTTTCAAAACTGCGCTCTCAAAAGGAGTGTTCAACTCTGTGAGTTGAATGCAGTCATCACAGAAAAGTTTCTGAGAATGCTTCTGTCTAGATGTTATGTGAAGATATACCCGTTTCGAACGAAGTCCACAGAGTGGTCCGAATATCCACTTGTAGATCCTGCAAAAAGAGTGTTTCCAACCTGAACTTTCAAAGGAAGGTTCAATTCTGGGATTTGAATGCAAACATCACAAGAAGATTCTGAGACTGCTTCTGTTTACTTAGCTGAAATTATCCCGTTTGCAACGAATTCCTCAGACAGGTCCAAATATCCACTTGCAGATTCTACAGAAAGTGTGTTTCGAAACTACTCCATCCCAAGGAAAGTACTGCTCTGTGAGTTCAACTCAATCATCCCAGAGAATTTTCTGAGAAAGCTTCTGTCTTGTTTTTATAGGAAGTTATTTCCTTTACTACGATAGGCCTCAAAGAAGTGCAGTTATCCACTTGCAGTCTCTACAAAAAGAGTGTTTCAAACCTGAACTCTCAAAGAAAGGTTCAACACTGTGGGTTGAATGCAAACGTCATGAAGAAGGTTCTGAGAATGCTTCTGTTAAGTTCTGTGCGGTTTATCCCGTTTCCAACGAAATCCTCAGGGAGGCCCAAGTATCCGCTTGCAGATCCTACAGATAGTGTGTTTCCAAACTGCTCCATCCAAAGGAATGTTCAGCCCTGTGAGTTAAAGTCAGTCGTCACAAAGAGTTTTCTGAGAATGCTGCTGTCTAGTTTTTATATGAAGCTGTTTCCTTTACTACCATAGGCCTCAAAGCGGTCCATATCTCCACTTGCAGATTCTACACAACGAGAGTTTCCAAAGTGCTCTCTGAAAGGGAATGTTCACCTCTGTGACTTGAATGCAATCGTCACAAAGTAGTTTCTGAGAATGCATCTATCTGGTTCTTACGGGAAGATAATTCCTTTTCCACCTCAGGCCTCAAAGCCCTCCAAATATCCACTTGCAGATTCTAGAAAAAGAGTGTTTCAAAGCTTCTCTCTCAAAAGGAAAGTTCAACTCTGTGAGTTGAAAGCAAACATCACAAAGAAGTTTCTGAGAATGCTTCTGTTTAGCTTTTCTGTGAAGAGTATCCCGTTTCCAACGAAATCTTCAAAGAGGCCCAAACATCCACTTGCAGATGCCACAGAAAGAGTGTTTGGAAACTGCTGTTTGAAAAGGAACCTTCAACTCTGTGAGTTGAATGCAGTCATCACAAACAAGTTTCTGACAATGCTTCTCTCTAGTTTTTACGTGACGATAATTCGTTTTCCACCACAGGCCTGAAATCTCTCCAAATGTCCACTTGCAGACCCTACGAAAAGCATGTTTCTCATCTGCTGTATGAAAAGCAACGTGAAACTCTGTGAGTTGAACACAAACATCACAGAGAAGTTTCTGAGAATGCTTCTGTTTAGTTTTTATGTGAAGATATTCCCGTTTCCAAAGACATCTTCAAAGAGGACCACATATCCACTTGCAGATTCCACAAAAAGAGAGATTCAAAACTGCTCTATCCATAGGAGGGTACAACGCTTTGAGTTGAATGCAATCGTCACAGAGAAGTTTCTGAGAAGGCTTCTGTCTAAATTTTATTTGAAGATGTACCCGTTTCGAACGAAGGCCAAATAGTGGTCCAAATATCCACTTGCAGATCCTACAAAAAGGGTGTTTCAAAGCTGAACTATCAAAGGAAAGTTCAACTCTGGGATTTGAATGCAAACATCACGAAGAATTTTGTGAGAATGCTTCCGCTTAGTTAGGTGCAGTTATCCCGTTTCCAACGAAATCCTCAGAGAGGTCCAAATATCCACTCGCAGATTCTACAGAAAGTGTGTTTCAAACCTTCTCCATCCAAAGGAATGTTCAGCTCTGTGTGTTAAACTCAATCATCACAAAGTATTTTCTGAGAATGCTTCTGTCTACATTTTATGTGAAGCTCTTCCCTTTACTACCATAGGCCTCAAAGCGCTCCAAATCTCCACTAGCAGATTCTACAACAAGGGTGTTTCCAAACTGCTCTGTCAATAGGAATGCTCCACTCCGTGAGGTGAATGCAATCATCACAAAGTAGTTTCTGAGAAGGCTTCTATCTAGTATTTATGTGGAGATATTTCCTTTTCCACCACAAACCTCACAGCCCTCCCAATGTCCACTTGCAGATTCTAGAAAAAGAGTGTTTCATAGCTGCTCTTTCTGAAGGAAAGTTCAACTCTGGAAGTTGAATACAAACATCACCAAGGAGTTCCTGAGAATGCTTCTGTGTAATTTTTATGTGAAGATGATTCCGTTTCCAACGAAACCTTCAAAGAGGTGTGCATGTCCCCTTGCAGATTCCAGAGAAAGAGAGTTTCAAAACTGCGCTCTCAAAAGGAGTGTTCAACTTTGTGAGTTGAATGCAGTCATCACAGAAAAGTTTCTGAGAATGCTTCTGTCTAGATGTTATGTGAAGATATACCCGTTTCGAACGAAGTCCACAGAGTGGTCCGAATATCCACTTGTAGATCCTGCAAAAAGAGTGTTTCCAACCTGAACTTTCAAAGGAAGGTTCAATTCTGGGATTTGAATGCAAACATCACAAGAAGATTCTGAGACTGCTTCTGTTTACTTAGCTGAAATTATCCCGTTTGCAACGAATTCCTCAGACAGGTCCAAATATCCACTTGCAGATTCTACAGAAAGTGTGTTTCGAAACTACTCCATCCCAAGGAAAGTACTGCTCTGTGAGTTCAACTCAATCATCCCAGAGAATTTTCTGAGAAAGCTTCTGTCTTGTTTTTATAGGAAGTTATTTCCTTTACTACGATAGGCCTCAAAGAAGTGCAGTTATCCACTTGCAGTTTCTACAGAAAGAGTGTTTCAAACCTGAACTATCAAAGAAAGGTTCAACACTGTGGGTTGAATGCAAACATCACGAAGAAGGTTCTGAGAATGCTTCTGTTTAGTTCTGTGCGGTTTATCCCGTTTCCAACGAAATCCTCAGGGAGGCCCAAGTATCCGCTTGCAGATCCTACAGATAGTGTGTTTCCAAACTGCTCCATCCAAAGGAATGTTCAGCCCTGTGAGTTAAACTCAGTCGTCACAAAGAGTTTTCTGAGAATGCTGCTGTCTAGTTTTTATATGAAGCTGTTTCCTTTACTACCATAAGCCTCAAAGCGGTCCATATCTCCACTTGCAGATTCTACACAACGAGAGTTTCCAAAGTGCTCTGTGAAAGGGAATGTTCACCTCTGTGACTTGAATGCAATCGTCACAAAGTAGTTTCTGAGAATGCATCTATCTAGTTCTTACGGGAATATAATTCCTTTTCCACCTCAGGCCTCAAAGCCCTCCAAATATCCACTTGCAGGTTCTAGAAAAAGAGTGTTTCAAAGCTTCTCTCTCAAAAGGAAAGTTCAACTCTGTGAGTTGAAAGCAAACATCACAAGGGAAGTTTCTGAGAATGCTTCTGTTTAGCTTTTCTGTGAAGATTATCCCGTTTCCAACGAAATCTTCAAAGAGGCCCAAACATCCACTTGCAGATGCCACAGAAAGAGTGTTTGGAAACTGCTGTTTGAAAAGGAACCTTCAACTCTGTGAGTTGAATGCAGTCATCACAAACAAGTTTCTGACAATGCTTCTCTCTAGTTTTTACGTGACGATAATTCGTTTTCCACCACAGGCCTGAAATCTCTCCAAATGTCCACTTGCAGACCCTACGAAAAGCATGTTTCTCATCTGCTCTATGAAAAGCAACGTGAAACTCTGTGAGTTGAACACAAACATCACAGAGAAGTTTCTGAGAATGCTTCTGTTTAGTTTTTATGTGAAGATATTCCCGTTTCCAAAGACATCTTCAAAGAGGACCACATATCCACTTGCAGATTCCACAAAAAGAGAGATTCGAAACTGCTCTATCCATAGGAGGGTTCAACGCTTTGAGTTGAATGCAATCATCACAGAGAAGTTTCTGAGAAGGCTTCTGTCTAGATTTTATATGAAGATGTAGCCGTTTCGAAGGAAGGCCAAAGAGTGGTCCAAATATCCACTTGCAGATCCTACAAAAAGAGTGTTTCAAAGCTGAACTATCAAAGGAAGGTTCAACTCTGGGATTTGAATGCAAACATCACGAAGAATTTTGTGAGAATGCTTCCGTTTAGTTAGGTGCAGTTATCCCGTTTCCAACGAAATCCTCAGAGAGGTCCAAATATCCACTCGCAGATTCTACAGAAAGTGTGTTTCAAACCTTCTCCATCCAAAGGAATGTTCAGCTCTGTGTGTTAAACTCAATCACCACAAAGTATTTTCTGAGAATGCTTCTGTCTAGATTTTATGTGAAGCTCTTCCCTTTACTACCATAGGCCTCAAAGCGCTCCAAATCTCCACTAGGAGATTCTACAACAAGAGTGTTTCCAAACTGCTCTGTCAATAGGAATGCTCCACTCCGTGAGGTGAATGCAATCATCACAAAGGAGTTTCTGAGAAGGCTTCTATCTAGTATTTATGTGGAGATATTTCCTTTTCCACCACAAACCTCACAGCCCTCCCAATGTCCACTTGCAGATTCTAGAAAAAGAGTGTTTCATAGCTGCTCTTTGCGAAGGAAAGTTCAACTCTGGAAGTTGAATACAAACATCACCAAGGAGTTCCTGAGGATGCTTCCGTGTAATTTTTATGTGAAGATGATTCCGTTTCCAACGAAACCTTCAAAGAGGTCTGCATGTCCCCTTGCAGATTCCAGAGAAGGAGAGTTGCAAAACTGCGCTCTCAAAAGGAGTGTTCAACTCTGTGAGTTGAATGCAGTCATCACAGAAAAGTTTCTGAGAATGCTTCTGTCTAGATGTTATGTGAAGATATACCCGTTTCGAACGAAGTCCACAGAGTGGTCCGAATATCCACTTGTAGATCCTGCAAAAAGAGTGTTTCCAACCTGAACTTTCAAAGGAAGGTTCCATTCTGGGATTTGAATGCAAACATCACAAGAAGATTCTGAGACTGCTTCTGTTTACTTAGGTGAAATTATCCCGTTTGCAACGAATTCCTCAGACAGGTCCAAATATCCACTTGCAGATTCTACAGAAAGTGTGTTTCGAAACTACTCCATCCCAAGGAAAGTACTGCTCTGTGAGTTCAACTCAATCATCCCAGAGAATTTTCTGAGAAAGCTTCTGTCTTGTTTTTATAGGAAGTTATTTCCTTTACTACGATAGGCCTCAAAGAAGTGCAGTTATCCACTTGCAGTTTCTACAAAAAGAGTGTTTCAAACCTGAACTATCAAAGAAAGGTTCAACACTGTGGGTTGAATGCAAACATCACGAAGAAGGTTCTGAGAATGCTTCTGTTTAGTTCTGTGCGGTTTATCCCGTTTCCAACGAAATCCTCAGAGAGGCCCAAGTATCCGCTTGCAGATCCTACAGATAGTGTGTTTCCAAACTGCTCCATCCAAAGGAATGTTCAGCCCTGTGAGTTAAACTCAGTCGTCACAAAGAGTTTTCTGAGAATGCTGGCTGTCTAGTTTTTATATGAAGCTGTTTCCTTTACTACCATAGGCCTCAAAGCGGTCCATATCTCCACTTGCAGATTCTACACAACGAGAGTTTCCAAAGTGCTCTCTGAAAGGGAATGTTCACCTCTGTGACTTGAATGCAATCGTCACAAAGTAGTTTCTGAGAATGCATCTATCTAGTTCTTACGGGAAGATAATTCCTTTTCCACCTCAGGCCTCAAAGCCCTCCAAATATCCACTTGCAGATTCTAGAAAAAGAGTGTTTCAAAGCTTCTCTCTCAAAAGGAAAGTTCAACTCTGTGAGTTGAAAGCAAACATCACAAAGAAGTTTCTGAGAATGCTTCTGTTTAGCTTTTCTGTGAAGATTATCCCGTTTCCAACGAAATCTTCAAAGAGGCCCAAACATCCACTTGCAGATGCCACAGAAAGAGTGTTTGGAAACTGCTGTTTGAAAAGGAATCTTCAACTCTTTGAGAGGAATGCAGTCATCACAAACAAGTTTCTGACAATGCTTCTCTCTGTTTTTACGTGACGATAATTCGTTTTCCACCACAGGCCTGAAATCTCTCCAAATGTCCACTTGCAGACCCTACGAAAAGCATGTTTCTCATCTGCTCTATGAAAAGCAACGTGAAACTCTGTGAGTTGAACACAAACATCACAGAGAAGTTTCTGAGAATGCTTCTGTTTAGTTTTTATGTGAAGATATTCCCGTTTCCAAAGACATCTTCAAAGAGGACCACATATCCACTTGCAGATTCCACAAAAAGAGAGATTCAAAACTGCTCTATCCATAGGGAGGGTTCAACGCTTTGAGTTGAATGCAATCGTCACAGAGAAGTTTCTGAGAAGGCTTCTGTCTAGATTTTATTTGAAGATGTACCCGTTTCGAACGAAGGCCAAAGAGTGGTCCAAATATCCACTTTCAGATCCTCCAAAAAGAGTGTTTCAAAGCTGAACTATCAAAGGAAGGGTCAACTCTGGGATTTGAATGCAAACATCACAAAGAATTTTGTGAGAATGCTTCCGTTTAGTTAGGTGCAGTTATCCCGTTTCCAACGAAATCCTCAGAGAGGTCCAAATATCCACTCGCAGATTCTACAGAAATTGTGTTTCAAACCTTCTCCATCCAAAGGAATGTTCAGCTCTGTGTGTTAAACTCAATCATCACAAAGTATTTTCTGAGAATGCTTCTGTCTAGATTTTATGGGAAGCTCTTCCCTTTACTACCATAGGCCTCAAAGCGCTCCAAATCTCCACTAGCCGATTCTACAAGAAGAGTGTTTCCAAACTGCTCTGTCAATAGGAATGCTCAACTCCGTGAGGTGAATGCCATCATCACAAAGTAGTTTCTGAGAAGGCTTCTATCTAGTGTTTACGTGGACATATTTCCTTTTCCACCACAAACCTCACAGCCCTCCCAATGTCCACTTGCAGATTCTAGAAAAAGAGTGTTTCATAGCTGCTCTTTCCGAAGGAAAGTTCAACTCTGGAAGTTGAATACAAACATCACCAAGGAGTTCCTGAGGGTGCTTCTGTGTAATTTTTATGTGAAGATGATTCCGTTTCCAACGAAACCTTCAAAGAGGTCTGCATGTCCCCTTGCAGATTCCAGAGAAAGAGAGTTTCAAAACTGCGCTCTCAAAAGGAGTGTTCAACTCTGTGAGTTGAATGCAGTCATCACAGAAAAGTTTCTGAGAATGCTTCTGTCTAGATGTTATGTGAAGATATACCCGTTTCGAACGAAGTCCACAGAGTGGTCCGAATATCCACTTGTAGATCCTGCAAAAAGAGTGTTTCAAACCTGAACTTTCAAAGGAAGGTTCAATTCTGGGATTTGAATGCAAACATCACAAGAAGATTCTGAGACTGCTTCTGTTTACTTAGCTGAAATTATCCAGTTTGCAACGAATTCCTCAGACAGGTCCAAATATCCACTTGCAGATTCTACAGAAAGTGTGTTTCGAAACTACTCCATCCCAAGGAAAGTACTGCTCTGTGAGTTCAACTCAATCATCCCAGAGAATTTTCTGAGAAAGCTTCTCTCTTGTTTTTATAGGAAGTTATTTCCTTTACTACGATAGGCCTCAAAGAAGTGCAGTTATCCACTTGCAGTTTCTACAAAAAGAGTGTTTCAAACCTGAACTATCAAAGAAAGGTTCAACACTGTGGGTTGAATGCAAACATCACGAAGAAGGTTCTGAGAATGCTTCTGTTTAGTTCTGTGCGGTTTATCCCGTTTCCAACAAAATCCTCAGAGAGGCCCAAGTATCCGCTTGCAGATCCTACAGATAGTGTGTTTCCAAACTGCTCCATCCAAAGGAATGTTCAGCCCTGTGAGTTAAACTCAGTCGTCACAAAGAGTTTTCTGAGAATGCTGCTGTCTAGTTTTTATATGAAGCTGTTTCCTTTACTACCATAGGCCTCAAAGCGGTCCATATCTCCACTTGCAGATTCTACACAACGAGAGTTTCCAAAGTGCTCTGTGAAAGGGAATGTTCACCTCTGTGACTTGAATGCAATCGTCACAAAGTAGTTTCTGAGAATGCATCTATCTAGTTCTTACGGGAATATAATTCCTTTTCCACCTCAGGCCTCAAAGCCCTCCAAATATCCACTTGCAGGTTCTAGAAAAAGAGTGTTTCAAAGCTTCTCTCTCAAAAGGAAAGTTCAAATCTGTGAGTTGAAAGCAAACATCACAAGGAAGTTTCTGAGAATGCTTCTGTTTAGCTTTTCTGTGAAGATTATCCCGTTTCCAACGAAATCTTCAAAGAGGCCCAAACATCCACTTGCAGATGCCACAGAAAGAGTGTTTGGAAACTGCTGTTTGAAAAGGAACCTTCAACTCTGTGAGTGGAATGCAGTCATCACAAACAAGTTTCTGACAATGCTTCTCTCTAGTTTTTATGTGACGATAATTCGTTTTCCACCACAGGCCGGAAATCTCTCCAAATGTCCACTTGCAGACCCTACGAAAAGCATGTTTCTCATCTGCTCTATGAAAAGCAACATGAAACTCTGGGAGTTGAACACAAACATCACAGAGAAGTTTCTGAGAATGCTTCTGTTTAGTTTTAATGTGAAGATATTCCCGTTTCCAAAGACATCTTCAAAGAGGACCACATATCCACTTGCAGATTCCACAAAAAGAGAGATTCAAAACTGCTCTATCCATAGGACGTTTCAACGCTTTGAGTTGAATGCAATCGTCACAGAGAAGTTTCTGAGAAGGCTTCTGTCTAGATTTTATTTGAAGATGTACCCGTTTCGAAGGAAGGCCAAAGAGTGGTCCAAATATCCACTTGCAGATCCTACAAAAAGAGTGTTTCAAAGCTGAACTATCAAAGGAAGGTTCAACTCTGGGATTTGAATGCAAACATCACGAAGAATTTTGTGAGAATGCTTCCGTTTAGTTAGGTGCAGTTATCCCGTTTCCAACGAAATCCTCAGAGAGGTCCAAATATCCACTCGCAGATTCTAGAGAAAGTGTGTTTCAAACCTGCTCCATCCAAAGGAATGTTCAGCTCTGTGTGTTAAACTCAATCATCACAAAGTATTTTCTGAGAATGCTTCTGTCTTGATTTTATGTGAAGCTCTTCCCTTTACTGCCATAGGCCTCAAAGCGCTCCAAATCTCCACTAGCAGATTCTACAACAAGAGTGTTTCCAAACTGCTCTGTCAATAGGAATGCTCCACTCCGTGAGGTGAATGCAATCATCACAAAGTAGTTTCTGAGAAGGCTTCTATCTAGTATTTACGTGGAGATATTTCCTTTTCCACCACAAACCTCACAGCCCTCCCAATGTCCACTTGCAGATTCTAGAAAAAGGGTGTTTCACAGCTGCTCTTTCCGAAGGAAAGTTCAACTCTGGATGTTGAATACAAACATCACCAAGGAGTTCCTGAGGATGCTTCTGTGTAATTTTTATGTGAAGATGATTCTGTTTCCAATGAAACCTTCAAAGAGGTCTGCATGTCCCCTTGCAGATTCCAGAGAAAGAGAGTTTCAAAACTGCGCTCTCAAAAGGAGTGTTCAACTCTGTGAGTTGAATGCAGTCATCACAGAAAAGTTTCTGAGAATGCTTCTGTCTAGATGGTATGTGAAGATATACCCGTTTCGAACGAAGTCCACAGAGAGGTCCGAATATCCACTTGTAGATCCTGCAAAAAGAGTGTTTCCAAACTGAACTTTCAAAGGAAGGTTCAATTCTGGGATTTGAATGCAAACATCACAAGAAAATTCTGAGACTGCTTCTGTTTACTTAGCTGAAATTATCCCGTTTGCAACGAATTCCTCAGACAGGTCCAAATATCCACTTGCAGATTCTACAGAAAGTGTGTTTCGAAACTACTCCATCCCAAGGAAAGTACTGCTCTGTGAGTTCAACTCAATCATCCCAGAGAATTTTCTGAGAAAGCTTCTGTCTTGTTTTTATAGGAAGTTATTTCCTTTACTACGATAGGCCTCAAAGAAGTGCAGTTATCCACTTGCAGTTTCTACAAAAAGAGTGTTTCAAACCTGAACTATCAAAGAAAGGTTCAACACTGTGGGTTGAATGCAAACATCACGAAGAAGGTTCTGAGAATGCTTCTGTTTAGTTCTGTGCGGTTTATCCCGTTTCCCACGAAATCCTCAGGGAGGCCCAAGTATCCGCTTGCAGATCCTACAGATAGTGTGTTTCCAAACTGCTCCATCCAAAGGAATGTTCAGCCCTGTGAGTGAAACTCAGTCGTCACAAAGAGTTTTCTGAGAATGCTGCTGTCTAGTTTTTATATGAAGCTGTTTCCTTTACTACCATAGGCCTCAAAGCGGTCCATATCTCCACTTGCAGATTCTACACAACGAGAGTTTCCAAAGTGCTCTCTGAAAGGGAATGTTCACCTCTGTGACTTGAATGCAATCGTCACAAAGTAGTTTCTGAGAATGCATCTATCTAGTTCTTACGGGAAGATAATTCCTTTTCCATCACAGGCCTCAAAGCCCTCCAAATATCCACTTGCAGATTCTAGAAAAAGAGTGTTTCAAAGCTTCTCTCTCAAAAGGAAAGTTCAACTCTGTGAGTTGAAAGCAAACATCACAAAGAAGTTTCTGAGAATGCTTCTGTTTAGCTTTTCTGTGAAGATTATCCCGTTTCCAACGAAATCTTCAAAGAGGCCCAAACATCCACTTGCAGATGCCACAGAAAGAGTGTTTGGAAACTGCTGTTTGAAAAGGAACCTTCAACTCTGTGAGTTGAATGCAGTCATCACAAACAAGTTTCTGACAATGCTTCTCTCTAGTTTTTACGTGACGATAATTCGTTTTCCACCACAGGCCTGAAATCTCTCCAAATGTCCACTTGCAGACCCTACGAAAAGCATGATTCTCATCGGCTCTATGAAAAGCAACGTGAAACTCTGTGTGTTGAACACAAACATCACAGAGAAGTTTCTGAGAATGCTTCTGTTTAGTTTTTATGTGAAGATATTCCCGTTTCCAAAGACATCTTCAAAGAGGACCACATATCCACTTGCAGATTCCACAAAAAGAGAGATTCAAAACCGCTCTATCCATAGGAGGGTTCAACGCTTTGAGTTGAATGCAATCGTCACAGAGAAGTTTCTGAGAAGGCTTCTGTCTAGATTTTATATGAAGATGTACCCGTTTCGAAGGAAGGCCAAAGAGTGGTCCAAATATCCACTTGCAGATCCAACAAAAAGAGTGTTTCAAAGCTGAACTATCAAAGGAAGGTTCAACTCTGGGATTTGAATGCAAACATCACGAAGAATTTTGTGAGAATGCTTCCGTTTAGTTAGGTGCAGTTATCCCGTTTCCAACGAAATCCTCAGAGAGGTCCAAATATCCACTCGCAGATTCTACAGAAAGTGTGTTTCAAACCTTCTCCATCCAAAGGAATGTTCAGCTCTGTGTGTTAAACTCAATCATCACAAAGTATTTTCTGAGAATGCTTCTGGCTAGATTTTATGTGAAGCTCTTCCCTTTACTACCATAGGCCTCAAAGCGCTCCAAATCTCCACTAGCCGATTCTACAAGAAGAGTGTTTCCAAACTGCTCTGTCAATAGGAATGCTCCACTCCGTGAGGTGAATGCAATCATCACAAAGTAGTTTCTGAGAAGGCTTCTATCTAGTATTTATGTGGAGATATTTCCTTTTCCACCACAAACCTCACAGCCCTCCCAATGTCCACTTGCAGATTCTAGAAAAAGAGTGTTTCATAGCTGCTCTTTCCGAAGGAAAGTTCAACTCTGGAAGTTGAATACAAACATCACCAAGGAGTTCCTGAGGATGCTTCTGTGTAATTTTTATGTGAAGATGATTCCGTTTCCAACGAAACCTTCAAAGAGGTCTGCATGTCCCCTTGCAGATTCCAGAGAAAGAGAGTTTCAAAACTGCGCTCTCAAAAGGGAGTGTTCAACTGTGTGAGTTGAATGCAGTCATCACAGAAAAGTTTCTGAGAATGCTTCTGTGTAGATGTTATGTGAAGATATACCCGTTTCGAACGAAGTCCACAGAGTGGTCCGAATATCCACTTGTAGATTCTGCAAAAAGAGTGTTTCAAACCTGAACTTTCAAAGGAAGGTTCAATTCTGGGATTTGAATGCAAACATCACAAGAAGATTCTGAGACTGCTTCTGTTTACTTAGCTGAAATTATCCCGTTTGCAACGAATTCCTCAGACAGGTCCAAATACCCACTTGCAGATTCTACAGAAAGAGTGTTTCGAAACT
Organism: Homo sapiens; assembly: GCF_000001405.40. NCBI lineage: Eukaryota > Metazoa > Chordata > Mammalia > Primates > Hominidae > Homo > Homo sapiens. The sequence continues at coordinate 23,003,770 of NC_000017.11, read as the reverse complement.
ACTCCATCCCAAGGAAAGTACTGCTCTGTGAGTTCAACTCAATCATCCCAGAGAATTTTCTGAGAAAGCTTCTGTCTTGTTTTTATAGGAAGTTATTTCCTTTACTACGATAGGCCTCAAAGAAGTGCAGTTATCCACTTGCAGTTTCTACAAAAAGAGTGTTTCAAACGTGAACTATCAAAGAAAGGTTCAACACTGTGGGTTGAATGCAAACATCACGAAGAAGGTTCTGAGAATGCTTCTGTTTAGTTCTGTGCGGTTTATCCCGTTTCCAACGAAATCCTCAGAGAGGCCCAAGTATCCGCTTGCAGATCCTACAGATAGTGTGTTTCCAAACTGCTCCATCGAAAGGAATGTTCAGCCCTGTGAGTTAAACTCAGTCGTCACAAAGAGTTTTCTGAGAATGCTGCTGTCTAGTTTTTATATGAAGCTGTTTCCTTTACTACCATAGGCCTCAAAGCGGTCCATATCTCCACTTGCAGATTCCACACAACGAGAGTTTCCAAAGTGCTCTCTGAAAGGGAATGTTCACCTCTGTGACTTGAATGCAATCGTCACAAAGTAGTTTCTGAGAATGCATCTATCTAGTTCTTACGGGAAGATAATTCCTTTTCCACCACAGGCCTCAAAGCCCTCCAAATATCCACTTGCAGATTCTAGAAAAAGAGTGTTTCAAAGCTTCTCTCTCAAAAGGAAAGTTCAACTCTGTGAGTTGAAAGCAAACATCACAAAGAAGTTTCTGAGAATGCTTCTGTTTAGCTTTTCTGTGAAGATTATCCCGTTTCCAACGAAATCTTCAAAGAGGCCCAAACATCCACTTGCAGATGCCACAGAAAGAGTGTTTGGAAACTGCTGTTTGAAAAGGAACCTTCAACTCTGTGAGTTGAATGCAGTCATCACAAACAAGTTTCTGACAATGCTTCTCTCTCGTTTTTACGTGACGATAATTCGTTTTCCACCACAGGCCTGAAATCTCTCCAAATGTCCACTTGCAGACCCTACGAAAAGCATGTTTCTCATCTGCTCTATGAAAAGCAACGTGAAACTCTGTGAGTTGAACACAAACATCACAGAGAAGTTTCTGAGAATGCTTCTGTTTAGTTTTTATGTGAAGATATTCCCGTTTCCAAAGACATCTTCAAAGAGGACCACACATCCACTTGCAGATTCCACAAAAACAGAGATTCAAAACTGCTCTATCCATAGGAGGGTCCAACGCTTTGAGTTGAATGCAATCGTCACAGAGAAGTTTCTGAGAAGGCTTCTGTCTAGATTTTATTTGAAGATGTACCCGTTTCGAACGAAGGCCAAAGAGTGGTCCAAATATCCACCTGCAGATCCTACAAAAAGAGTGTTTCAAAGCTGAACTATCAAAGGAAGGTTCAACTCTGGGATTTGAATGCAAACATCACAAAGAATTTTGTGAGAATGCTTCCGTTTAGTTAGGTGCAGTTATCCCGTTTCCAACGAAATCCTCAGAGAGGTCCAAATATCCACTCGCAGATTCTACAGAAAGTGTGTTTCAAACCTTCTCCATCCAAAGGAATGTTCAGGTCTGTGTGTTAAACTCAATCATCACAAAGTATTTTCTGAGAATGCTTCTGTCTAGATTTTATGTGAAGCTCTTCCCTTTACTACCATAGGCCTCAAAGCGCTCCAAATCTCCACTAGCCGATTCTACAAGAAGAGTGTTTCCAAACTGCTCTGTCAATAGGAATGCTCCACTCCGTGAGGTGAATGCAATCATCACAAAGTAGTTTCTGAGAAGGCTTCTATCTAGTATTTATGTGGAGATATTTCCTTTTCCACCACAAACCTCACAGCCCTCCCAATGTCCACTTGCAGATTCTAGAAAAAGAGTGTTTCATAGCTGCTCTTTCCGAAGGAAAGTTCAACTCTGGAAGTTGAATACAAACATCACCAAGGAGTTCCTGAGGATGCCTCTGTGTAATTTTTATGTGAAGATGATTCCGTTTCCAACGAAACCTTCAAAGAGGTCTGCATGTCCCCTTGCAGATTCCAGAGAAAGAGAGTTTCAAAACTGCACTCTCAAAAGGAGTGTTCAACTCTGTGAGTTGAATGCAGTCATCACAGAAAAGTTTCTGAGAATGCTTCTGTCTAGATGTTATGTGAAGATATACCCGTTTCGAACGAAGTCCACAGAGTGGTCCGAATATCCACTTGTAGATCCTGCAAAAAGAGTGTTTCCAACCTGAACTTTCAAAGGAAGGTTCAATTCTGGGATTTGAATGCAAACATCACAAGAAGATTCTGAGACTGCTTCTGTTTTCTTAGCTGAAATTATCCCGTTTGCAACGAATTCCTCAGACAGGTCCAAATATCCACTTGCAGATTCTACAGAAAGTGTGTATCGAAACTACTCCATCCCAAGGAAAGTACTGCTCTGTGAGTTCAACTCAATCATCCCAGAGAATTTTCTGAGAAAGCTTCTGTCTTGTTTTTATAGGAAGTTATTTCCTTTACTACGATAGGCCTCAAAGAAGTGCAGTTATCCACTTGCAGTTTCTACAAAAAGAGTGTTTCAAACCTGAACTATCAAAGAAAGGTTCAACACTGTGGGTTGAATGCAAACGTCACGAAGAAGGTTCTGAGAATGCTTCTGTTTAGTTCTGTGCGGTTTATCCCGTTTCCAACGAAATCCTCAGAGAGGCCCAAGTATCCGCTTGCAGATCTTACAGATAGTGTGTTTCCAAACTGCTCCATCCAAAGGAATGTTCAACCCTGTGAGTTACACTCAGTCGTCAGAAAGAGTTTTCTGAGAATGCTGCTGTCTAATTTTTATATGAAGCTGTTTCCTTTACTACCATAGGCGTCAAAGCGGTCCATATCTCCACTTGCAGATTCTACACAACGAGAGTTTCCAAAGTGCTCTGTGAAAGGGAATGTTCACCTCTGTGACTTGAATGCAATCGTCACAAAGTAGTTTCTGAGAATGCATCTATCTAGTTCTTACGGGAAGATAATTCCTGTTCCACCTCAGGCCTCAAAGCCCTCCAAATATCCACTTGCAGATTCTAGAAAAAGAGTGTTTCAAAGCTTCTCTCTCAAAAGGAAAGTTCAACTCTGTGAGTTGAAAGCAAACATCACAAAGAAGTTTCTGAGCATGCTTCTGTTTAGCTTTTCTGTGAAGATTATCCCATTTCCAACGAAATCTTCAAAGAGGCCCAAACATCCACTTGCAGATGCCACAGAAAGAGTGTTTGGAAAGGAACCTTCAACTCTGTGAGTTGAATGCAGTCATCACAAACAAGTTTCTGACAATGCTTCTCTCTAGTTTTTATGTGATGATAATTCGTTTTCCACCACTGGCCTGAAAGCTCTCCAAATGTCCACTTGCAGACACTACGAAAAGCATGTTTCAGAACTGCTCTATGAAAAGCAATGTGAAACTCTGTGAGTTGAACACAAACATCACAGAGAAGTTTCTGAGATTGCTTCTGTTTAGTTTTTATGTGAAGATATTCCCGTTTCCAAAGACATCTTCAAAGAGGACCACATATCCACTTGCAGATTCCACAAAAAGAGAGATTCAAAACTGCTCTATCCATAGGAGGGTTCAACGCTTTGAGTTGAATGCAATCGTCACAGAGAAGTTTCTGAGAAGGCTTCTGTCTAGATTTTATTTGAAGATGTACCCGTTTCGAACGAAGGCCAAAGAGTGGTCCAAATATCCACCTGCAGATCCTACAAAAAGAGTGTTTCAAAGCTGAACTCTCAAAGGAAGGTTCAACTCTGGGATTTGAATGCAAACATCGCAAAGAATTTTGTGAGAATGCTTCCGTTTAGTTAGGTGCAGTTATCCCGTTTCCAACGAAATCCTCAGAGAGGTCCAAATATCCACTCGCAGATTCTACAGAAAGTGTGTTTCAAACCTTCTCCATCCAAAGGAATGTTCAGCTCTGTGTGTTAAACTCAATCATCACAAAGTATTTTCTGAGAATGCTTCTGTCTAGATTTTATGTGAAGCTCTTCCCTTTACTACCATAGGACTCAAAGCGCTCCAAATCTCCTCTAGCCGATTCTACAACAAGAGTGTTTCCAAACTGCTCTGTCAATAGGAATGCTCCACTCCGTGAGGTGAATGCAATCATCACAAAGTAGTTTCTGAGAAGGCTTCTATCTAGTATTTATGTGGAGATATTTCCTTTTCCACCACAAACCTCACAGCCCTCCCAATGTCCACTTGCAGATTCTAGAAAAAGAGTGTTTCAAAGCTTCTCTCTCAAAAGGAAAGTTCAACTCTGTGAGTTGAAAGCAAACATCACAAAGAAGTTTCTGAGAATGCTTCTGTTTAGCTTTTCTGTGAAGATTATCCCGTTTCCAACGAAATCTTCAAAGAGGCCCAAACATCCACTTGCAGATGCCACAGAAAGAGTGTTTGGAAACTGCTGTTTGAAAAGGAACCTTCAACTCTGTGAGTTGAATGCAGTCATCACAAACAAGTTTCTGACAATGCTTCTCTCTAGTTTTTACGTGACGATAATTCGTTTTCCACCACAGGCCTGAAAGCTCTCCAAATGTCCACTTGCAGACCCTACGAAAAGCATGTTTCTCACCTGCTCTATGAAAAGCAACGTGAAACTCTGTGAGTTGAACACAAACATCACAGAGAAGTTTCTGAGAATGCTTCTGTTTAGTTTTTATGTGAAGATATTCCCGTTTCCAAAGACATCTTCAAAGAGGACCACATATCCACTTGCAGATTCCACAAAAAGAGAGATTCAAAACTGCTCTATCCATAGGAGGGTTCAACTCTTTGGGTTGAATGCAATCGTCACAGAGAAGTTTCTGAGAAGGCTTCTGTCTAGATTTTATTTGAAGATGTACCCGTTTCGAACGAAGGCCAAAGAGTGGTCCAAATATCCACCTGCAGATCCTACAAAAAGAGTGTTTCAAAGCTGAACTATCAAAGGAAGGTTCAACTCTGGGATTTGAATGCAAACATCACAAAGAATTTTGTGAGAATGCTTCCGTTTAGTTAGGTGCAGTTATCCCGTTTCCAACGAAATCCTCAGAGAGGTCCCAATATCCACTCGCAGATTCTACAGAAAGTGTGTTTCAAACCTTCTCCATCCAAAGGAATGTTCAGCTCTGTGTGTTAAACTCAATCATCACAAAGTATTTTCTGAGAATGCTTCTGTCTAGATTTTATGGGAAGCTCTTCCCTTTACTACCATAGGCCTCAAAGCGCTCCAAATCTCCACTAGCCGATTCTACAAGAAGAGTGTTTCCAAACTGCTCTGTCAATAGGAATGCTCCACTCCGTGAGGTGAATGCAATCATCACAAAGTAGTTTCTGAGAAGGCTTCTATCTAGTATTTATGTGGAGATATTTCCTTTTCCACCACAAACCTCACAGCCCTCCCAATGTCCACTTGCAGATTCTAGAAAAAGAGTGTTTCATAGCTGCTCTTTCCGAAGGAAAGTTCAACTCTGGAAGTTGAATACAAACATCACCAAGGAGTTCCTGAGAATGCTTCTGTGTAATTTTTATGTGAAGATGATTCTGTTTCCAATGAAACCTTCAAAGAGGTCTGCATGTCCCCTTGCAGATTCCAGAGAAAGAGAGTTTCAAAACTGCGCTCTCAAAAGGAGTGTTCAACTCTGTGAGTTGAATGCAGTCATCACAGAAAAGTTTCTGAGAATGCTTCTGTCTAGATGTTATGTGAAGATATACCCGTTTCGAACGAAGTCCACAGAGTGGTCCGAATATCCACTTGTAGATCCTGCAAAAAGAGTGTTTCCAACCTGAACTTTCAAAGGAAGGTTCAATTCTGGGATTTCAATGCAAACATCACAAGAAGATTCTGAGACTGCTTCTGTTTACTTAGCTGAAATTATCCCGTTTGCAACGAATTCCTCAGACAGGTCCAAATATCCACTTGCAGATTCTACAGAAAGTGTGTTTCGAAACTACTCCATCCCAAGGAAAGTACTGCTCTGTGAGTTCAAGTCAATCATCCCAGAGAATTTTCTGAGAAAGCTTCTGTCTTGTTTTTATGGGAAGTTATTTCCTTTACTACGATAGGCCTCAAAGAAGTGCAGTTATCCACTTGCAGTTTCTACAAAAAGAGTGTTTCAAACCTGAACTATCAAAGAAAGGTTCAACACTGTGGGTTGAATGCAAACGTCACGAAGAAGGTTCTGAGAATGCTTCTGTTTAGTTCTGTGCGGTTTATCCCGTTTCCAACGAAATCCTCAGAGAGGCCCAAGTATCCGCTTGCAGATCCTAGAGATAGTGTGTTTCCAAACTGCTCCATCGAAAGGAATGTTCAGCCCTTTGAGTTAAACTCAGTCGTCACAAAGAGTTTTCTGAGAATGCTGCTGTCTAGTTTTTATATGAAGCTGTTTCCTTTACTACCATAGGCCTCAAAGTGGTCCATATCTCCACTTGCAGATTCTACACAACGAGAGTTTCCAAAGTGCTCTGTGAAAGGGAATGTTCACCTCTGTGACTTGAATGCAATCGTCACAAAGTAGTTTCTGAGAATGCATCTATCTAGTTCTTACGGGAATATAATTCCTTTTCCACCTCAGGCCTCAAAGCCCTCCAAATATCCACTTGCAGGTTCTAGAAAAAGAGTGTTTCAAAGCTTCTCTCTCAAAAGGAAAGTTCAACTCTGTGAGTTGAAAGCAAACATCACAAGGAAGTTTCTGAGAATGCTTCTGTTTAGCTTTTCTGTGAAGATTATCCCGTTTCCAACGAAATCTTCAAAGAGGCCCAAACATCCAATTGCAGATGCCACAGAAAGAGTGTTTGGAAACTGCTGTTTGAAAAGGAACCTTCAACTCTGTGAGTTGAATGCAGTCATCACAAAGAAGTTTCTGACAATGCTTCTCTCTAGTTTTTACGTGACGATAATTCGTTTTCCACCACAGGCCTGAAAGCTCTCCAAATGTCCACTTGCAGACCCTACGAAAAGCATGTTTCTCATCTGCTCTATGAAAAGCAACGTGAAACTCTGTGAGTTGAACACAAACATCACAGAGAAGTTTCTGAGAATGCTTCTGTTTAGTTTTTATGTGAAGATATTCCCGTTTCCAAAGACATCTTCAAAGAGGACCACATATCCACTTGCAGATTCCACAAAAAGAGAGATTCAAAACTGCTCTATCCATAGGAGGGTTCAACGCTTTGAGTTGAATGCAATCGTCACAGAGAAGTTTCTGAGAAGGCTTCTGTCTAGATTTTATTTGAAGATGTACCCTTTTCGAACGAAGGCCAAAGAGTGGTCCAAATATCCACCTGCAGATCCTACAAAAAGAGTGTTTCAAAGCTGAACTATCAAAGGAAGGTTCAACTCTGGGATTTGAATGCAAACATCACAAAGAATTTTGTGAGAATGCTTCCGTTTAGTTAGGTGCAGTTATCCCGTTTCCAACGAAATCCTCAGAGAGGTCCAAATATCCACTCGCAGATTCTACAGAAAGTGTGTTTCAAACCTTCTCCATCCAAAGGAATGTTCAGCTCTGTGTGTTAAACTCAATCATCACAAAGTATTTTCTGAGAATGCTTCTGTCTAGATTTTATGTGAAGCTCTTCCCTTTACTACCATAGGCCTCAAAGCGCTCCAAATCTCCACTAGCCTATTCTACAACAAGAGTGTTTCCAAACTGCTCTGTCAATAGGGATGCTCAACTCCGTGAGGTGAATGCAATCATCACAAAGTAGTTTCTGAGAAGGCTTCTATCTAGTATTTACGTGGAGATATTTCCTTTTCCACCACAAACCTCACAGCCCTCCCAATGTCCACTTGCAGATTCTAGAAAAAGTGTGTTTCATAGCTGCTCTTTCCAAAGGAAAGTTCAACTCTGGAAGTTGAATACAAACATCACCAAGGAGTTCCTGAGGATGCTTCTGTGTAATTTTTATGTGAAGATGATTCCGTTTCCAACGAAACCTTCAAAGAGGTCTGCATGTCCCCTTGCAGATTCCAGAGAAAGAGAGTTTCAAAACTGCGCTCTCAAAAGGAGTGTTCAACTCTGTGAGTTGAATGCAGTCATCACAGAAAAGTTTCTGAGAATGCTTCTGTCTAGATGTTATGTGAAGATATACCCCTTTCGAACGAAGTCCACAGAGTGGTCCGAATATCCACTTGTAGATCCTGCAAAAAGAGTGTTTCCAACCTGAACTTTCAAAGGAAGGTTCAATTCTGGGATTTGAATGCAAACATCACAAGAAGATTCTGAGACTGCTTCTGTTTACTTAGCTGAAATTATCCCGTTTGCAACGAATTCCTCAGACAGGTCCAAATATCCACTTGCAGATTCTACAGAAAGTGTGTTTCGAAACTACTCCATCCCAAGGAAAGTACTGCTCTGTGAGTTCAACTCAATCATCTCAGAGAATTTTCTGAGAAAGCTTCTGTCTTGTTTTTATAGGAAGTTATTTCCTTTACTACGATAGGCCTCAAAGAAGTGCAGTTATCCACTTGCAGTTTCTACAAAAAGAGTGTTTCAAACCTGAACTATCAAAGAAAGGTTCAACACTGTGGGTTGAATGCAAACATCACGAAGAAGGTTCTGAGAATGCTTCTGTTTAGTTCTGTGCGGTTTATCCCGTTTCCAACGAAATCCTCAGGGAGGCCCAAGTATCCGCTTGCAGATCCTACAGATAGTGTGTTTCCAAACTGCTCCATCCAAAGGAATGTTCAGCCCTGTGAGTTAAACTCAGTCGTCACAAAGAGTTTTCTGAGAATGCTGCTGTCTAGTTTTTATATGAAGCTGTTTCCTTTACTACCATAGGCCCCAAAGCAGTCCATATCTCCACTTGCAGATTCTACACAACGAGGGTTTCCAAAGTGCTCTGTGAAAGGGAATGTTCACCTCTGTGACTTGAATGCAATCGTCACAAAGTAGTTTCTGAGAATGCATCTATCTAGTTCTTACGGGAAGATAATTCGTTTTCCACCACAGGCCTCAAAGCCCTCCAAATATCCACTTGCAGATTCTAGAAAAAGAGTGTTTCAAAGCTTCTCTCTCAAAAGGAAAGTTCAACTCTGTGAGTTGAAAGCAAACATCACAAAGAAGTTTCTGAGAATGCTTCTGTTTAGCTTTTCTGTGAAGATTATCCCGTTTCCAACGAAATCTTCAAAGAGACCCAAACATACACTTGCAGATGCCACAGAAAGAGTGTTTTGAAACTGCTGTTTGAAAAGGAACCTTCAACTCTGTGAGTGGAATGCAGTCATCACAAACAAGTTTCTGACAATGCTTCTCTCTAGTTTTTACGTGACGATAATTCGTTTTCCACCACAGGCCTGAAATCTCTCCAAATGTCCACTTGCAGACCCTACGAAAAGCATGTTTCTCATCTGCTCTATGAAAAGCAACGTGAAACTCTGTGAGTTGAACACAAACATCACAGAGAAGTTTCTGAGAATGCTTCTGTTTAGTTTTTATGTGAAGATATTCCCGTTTCCAAAGACATCTTCAAAGAGGACCACATATCCACTTGCAGATTCCACAAAAAGAGAGATTCAAAGCTGCTCTATCCATAGGAGGGTTCAACGCTGTGAGTTGAATGCAATCGTCACAGAGAAGTTTCTGAGAAGGCTTCTGTCTAGATTTTATTTGAAGATGTACCCGTTTCGAACGAAGGCCAAAGAGTGGTTCAAATATCCACCTGCAGAACCTACAAAAAGAGTGTTTCAAAGCTGAACTATCAAAGGAAGGTTCAACTCTGGGATTTGAATGCAAACATCACAAAGAATTTTGTGAGAATGCTTCCGTTTAGTTAGGTGCAGTTATCCCGTTTCCAACGAAATCCTCAGAGAGGTCCAAATATCCACTCGCAGATTCTACAGAAAGTGTGTTTCAAACCTTCTCCATCCAAAGGAATGTTCAGCTCTGTGTGTTAAACTCAATCATCACAAAGTATTTTCTGAGAATGCTTCTGTCTAGATTTTATGTGAAGCTCTTCCCTTTACTACCATAGGCCTCAAAGCGCTCCAAATCTCCACTAGCCGATTCTACAAGAAGAGTGTTTCCAAACTGCTCTGTCAATAGGGATGCTCATCTCCTTGAGGTGAATGCAATCATCACAAAGTAGTTTCTGAGAAGGCTTCTATCTAGTATTTATGTGGAGATATTTCCTTTTCCACCACAAACCTCACAGCCCTCCCAATGTCCACTTGCAGATTCTAGAAAAAGAGTGTTTCATAGCTGCTCTTTCCGAAGGAAAGTTCAACTCTGGAAGTTGAATACAAACATCACCAAGGAGTTCCTGAGGATGCTTCTGTGTAATTTTTATGTGAAGATGATTCCGTTTCCAACGAAACCTTCAAAGAGGTCTGCATGTCCCCTTGCAGATTCCAGAGAAAGAGATTTTCAAAACTGTGCTCTCAAAAGGAGTGTTCAACTCTGTGTGTTGAATGCAGTCATCACAGAAAAGTTTCTGAGAATGCTTCTGTCTAGATGTTATGTGAAGATATACCCGTTTCGAACGAAGTCCACAGAGTGGTCCGAATATCCACTTGTAGATCCTGCAAAAAGAGTGTTTCCAACCTGAACTTTCAAAGGAAGGTTCAATTCTGGGATTTGAATGCAAACATCACAAGAAGATTCTGAGACTGCTTCTGTTTACTTAGCTGAAATTATCCCGTTTGCAACGAATTCCTCAGACAGGTCCAAATATCCACTTGCAGATTCTACAGAAAGTGTGTTTCGAAACTACTCCATCCCAAGGAAAGTACTGCTCTGTGAGTTCAAGTCAATCATCCCAGAAAATTTTCTGAGAAAGCTTCTGTCTTGTTTTTATAGGAAGTTATTTCCTTTACTACGATAGGCCTCAAAGAAGTGCAGTTATCCACTTGCAGTTTCTACAAAAAGAGTGTTTCAAACGTGAACTATCAAAGAAAGGTTCAACACTGTGGGTTGAATGCAAACATCACGAAGAAGGCTCTGAGAATGCTTCTGTTTAGTTCTGTGCGGTTTATCCCGTTTCCAACGAAATCCTCAGGGAGGCCCAAGTATCCGCTTGCAGATCCTACAGATAGTGTGTTTCCAAACTGCTCCATCCAAAGGAATGTTCAGCCCTGTGAGTTAAACTCAGTCGTCACAAAGAGTTTTCTGAGAATGCTGCTGTCTAGTTTTTATATGAAGCTGTTTCCTTTACTACCATAGGCCTCAAAGCGGTCCATATCTCCACTTGCAGATTCTACACAACGAGAGTTTCCAAAGTGCTCTGTGAAAGGGAATGTTCACCTCTGTGACTTGAATGCAATCGTCACAAAGTATTTTCTGAGAATGCATCTATCTAGTTCCTACGGGAAGATAATTCCTTTTCCACCACAGGCCTCAAAGCCCTCCAAATATCCACTTGCAGATTCTAGAAAAAGAGTGTTTCAAAGCTTCTCTCTCAAAAGGAAAGTTCAACTCTGTGAGTTGAAAGCAAACATCACAAAGAAGTTTCTGAGAATGCTTCTGTTTAGCTTTTCTGTGAAGATTATCCCGTTTCCAACGAAATCTTCAAAGAGGCCCAAACATCCACTTGCAGATGCCACAGAAAGAGTGTTTGGAAACTGCTGTTTGAAAAGGAACCTTCAACTCTGTGAGTTGAATGCAGTCATCACAAACAAGTTTCTGACAATGCTTCCCTCTAGTTTTTACTTGACGATTATTCGTTTTCCACCACAGGCCTGAAATCTCTCCAAATGTCCACTTGCAGACCCTACGAAAAGAATGTTTCTCATCTGCTCTATGAAAAGCATCGTGAAACTCTGTGATTTGGACACAAACATCACAGAGAAGTTTCTGAGAATGCTTCTGTTTAGTTTTTATGTGAAGATATTCCCGTTTCCAAAGACATCTTCAAAGAGGACCACATATCCACTTGCAGATTCCACAAAAAGAGAGATTCAAAACTGCTCTATCCATAGGAGGGTTCAACTCTTTGAGTTGAATGCAATCGTCACAGAGAAGTTTCTGAGAAGGCTTCTGTCTAGATTTTATTTGAAGATGTACCCGTTTCGAACGAAGGCCAAAGAGTGGTCCAAATATCCACCTGCAGATCCTACAAAAAGAGTGTTTCAAAGCTGAACTATCAAAGGAAGGTTCAACTTCTGGGATTTGAATGCAAACATCACAAAGAATTTTGTGAGAATGCTTCCGTTTAGTTAGGTGCAGTTATCCCGTTTCCAACGAAATCCTCAGAGAGGTCCAAATATCCACTCGCAGATTCTACAGAAAGTGTGTTTCAAACCTTCTCCATCCAAAGGAATGTTCAGCTCTGTGTGTTAATCTCAATCATCACAAAGTATTTTCTGAGAATGCTTCTGTCTAGATTTTATGTGAAGCTCTTCCCTTTACTACCATAGGCCTCAAAGCGCTCCAAATCTCCACTAGCAGATTCTACAACAAGAGTGTTTCCAAACTGCTCTGTCAATAGGAATGCTCCACTCCGTGAGGTGAATGCAATCATCACAAAGTAGTTTCTGAGAAGCCTTCTATCTAGTATTTACGTGGAGATATTTCCTTTTCCACCACAAACCTCACAGCCCTCCCAATGTCCACTTGCAGATTCTAGAAAAAGAGTGTTTCATAGCTGCTCTTTCCGAAGGAAAGTTCAACTCTGGAAGTTGAATACACACATCACCAAGGAGTTCCTGAGGATGCTTCTGTGTAATTTTTATGTGAAGATGATTCCGTTTCCAAACGAAACCTTCAAAGAGGTCTACATGTCCCCTTGCAGATTCCACAGAAAGAGAGTTTCAAAACTGCGCTCTCAAAAGGAGTGTACAACTCTGTGAGTGGAATGCAGTCATCACAGAAAAGTTTCTGAGAATGCTTCTGTCTAGATGTTATGTGAAGATATACCCGTTTCGAACGAAGACCACAGAGTGGTCCCAAAATAAATTTGTAGATCCTGCAAAAAGAGGGTTTCAAACCTGAACTTTCAAAGGAAGGTTCAACTCTGGGATTTGAATGCAAACATCACAAAGAAGATTCTGAGATTGCTTCTGTTTACTTAGCTGAAATTATCCCGTTTGCAACGAATTCCTCAGACAGGTCCAAATATCCACTTGCAGATTCTACAGAAAGTGTGTTTCGAAACTACTCCATCCCAAGGAAAGTACTGCTCTGTGAGTTCAACTCAATCATCCCAGAGAATTTTCTGAGAAAGCTTCTGTCCTTGTTTTTATAGGAAGTTATTTCCTTTACTACGATAGGCCTCAAAGAAGTGCAGTTATCCACTTGCAGTTTCTACAGAAAGAGTGTTTCAAACCTGAACTATCAAAGAAAGGTTCAACACTGTGGGTTGAATGCAAACATCACGAAGAAGGTTCTGAGAATGCTTCTGTTTAGTTCTGTGCGGTTTATCCCGTTTCCAACGAAATCCTCACAGAGGCCCAAGTATCCGCTTGCAGATCCTACAGATAGTGTGTTTCCAAACTGCTCCATCCAAAGGAATGTTCAGCCCTGTGAGTTAAACTCAGTCGTCACAAAGAGTTTTCTGAGAATGCTGCTGTCTAGTTTTTATACGAAGCTGTTTCCTTTACTACCATAGGCCTCAAAGGGCTCCATAACTCCACTTGCAGATTCTACACAACGAGAGTTTCCAAAGTGCTCTGTGAAAGGGAATGTTCACGTCTGTGACTTGAATGCAATCGTCACAAAGTAGTTTCTGAGAATGCATCTATCTAGTTTTAACGGGAAGATAATTCCTTTTCCACCTCAGGCCTCAAAGCCCTCCAAATATCCACTTGCAGATTCTAGAAAAAGAGTGTTTCAAAGCTTCTCTCTCAAAAGGAAAGTTCAACTCTGTGAGTTGAAAGCAAACATCACAAAGAAGTTTCTGAGAATGCTTCTGTTTAGCTTTTCTGTGAAGATTATCCCGTTTCCAACGAAATCTTCAAAGAGGCCCAAACATCCACTTGCAGATGCCACAGAAAGAGTGTTTGGAAACTGCTGTTTGAAAAGGAACCTTCAACTCTGTGAGTTGAAGGCAGTCATCACAAACAAGTTTCTGACAATGCTTCCCTCTAGTTTTTACGTGACGATAATTCGTTTTCCACCACAGGCCTGAAATCTCTCCAAATGTCCACTTGCAGACCCTACGAAAAGCATGTTTCTCATCTGCTCTATGAAAAGCAACGTGAAACTCTGTGAGTTGAACACAAACATCACAGAGAAGTTTCTGAGAATGCTTCTGTTTAGTTTTTATGTGAAGATATTCCCGTTTCCAAAGACATCTTCAAAGAGGACCACATATCCACTTGCAGATTCCACAAAAAGAGAGATTCAAAACTGCTCTATCCATAGGGAGGGTTCAACGCTTTGAGTTGAATGCAATCGTCACAGAGAAGTTTCTGAGAAGGCTTCTGTCTAGATTTTATTTGAAGATGTACCCGTTTCGAACGAAGGCCAAAGAGTGGTCCAAATATCCACCTGCAGAACCTACAAAAAGAGTGTTTCAAAGCTGAACTATCAAAGGAAGGTTCAACTACTGGGATTTGAATGCAAACATCACAAAGAATTTTGTGAGAATGCTTCCGTTTAGTTAGGTGCAGTTATCCCGTTTCCAACGAAATCCTCAGAGAGGTCCAAATATCCACTCGCAGATTCTACAGAAAGTGTGTTTCAAACCTTCTCCATCCAAAGGAATGTGCAGCTCTGTGTGTTAAACTCAATCATCACAAAGTATTTTCTGAAAATGCTTCTGTCTAGATTGTATGTGAAGCTCTTCCCTTTACTACCATAGGCCTCAAAGCGCTCCAAATCTCCACTAGCCGATTCTACAACAAGAGTGTTTCCAAACTGCTCTGTCAATAGGAATGCTCCACTCCGTGAGGTGAATGCAATCATCACAAAGTAGTTTCTGAGAAGGCTTCTATCTAGTATTTACGTGGAGATATTTCCTTTTCCACCACAAACCTCACAGCCCTCCCAATGTCCACTTGCAGATTCTAGAAAAAGAGTGTTTCATAGCTGCTCTTTCCGAAGGAAAGTTCAACTCTGGAAGTTGAATACAAACATCACCAAGGAGTTCCTGAGAATGCTTCTGTGTAATTTTTATGTGAAGATGATTCTGTTTCCAATGAAACCTTCAAAGAGGTCTGCATGTCCCCTTGCAGATTCCAGAGAAAGAGAGTTTCAAAACTGCGCTCTCAAAAGGAGTGTTCAACTCTGTGAGTTGAATGCAGTCATCACAGAAAAGTTTCTGAGAATGCTTCTGTCTAGATGTTATGTGAAGATATACCCGTTTCGAACGAAGTCCACAGAGTGGTCCGAATATCCACTTGTAGATCCTGCAAAAAGAGTGTTTCCAACCTGAACTTTCAAAGGAAGGTTCAATTCTGGGATTTGAATGCAAACATCACAAGAAGATTCTGAGACTGCTTCTGTTTACTTAGCTGAAATTATCCCGTTTGCAACGAATTCCTCAGACAGGTCCAAATATCCACTTGCAGATTCTACAGAAAGTGTGTTTCGAAACTACTCCATCCCAAGGAAAGTACTGCTCTGTGAGTTCAACTCAATCATCCCAGAGAATTTTCTGAGAAAGCTTCTGTCTTGTTTTTATAGGAAGTTATTTCCTTTACTACGATAGGCCTCAAAGAAGTGCAGTTATCCACTTGCAGTTTCTACAAAAAGAGTGTTTCAAACCTGAACTAGCAAAGAAAGGTTCAACACTGTGGGTTGAATGCAAACATCACGAAGAAGGTTTCTGAGAATGCTTTCTGTTTAGTTCTGTGCGGTTTATCCCGTTTCCAACAAAATCCTCAGAGAGGCCCAAGTATCCGCTTGCAGATCTTACAGATAGTGTGTTTCCAAACTGCTCCATCCAAAGGAATGTTCAACCCTGTGAGTTACACTCAGTCGTCAGAAAGATTTTTCTGAGAATGCTGCTGTCTAGTTTTTATATGAAGCTGTTTCCTTTACTACCATAGGCCTCAAAGCGGTCCATATCTCCACTTGCAGATTCTACACAACGAGAGTTTCCAAAGTGCTCTCTGAAAGGGAATGTTCACCTCTGTGACTTGAATGCAATCGTCACAAAGTAGTTTCTGAGAATGCATCTATCTAGTTCTTACGGGAAGATAATTCCTGTTCCACCTCAGGCCTCAAAGCCCTCCAAATATCCACTTGCAGATTCTAGAAAAAGAGTGTTTCAAAGCTTCTCTCTCAAAAGGAAAGTTCAACTCTGTGAGTTGAAAGCAAACATCACAAAGAAGTTTCTGAGCATGCTTCTGTTTAGCTTTTCTGTGAAGATTATCCCGTTTCCAACGAAATCTTCAAAGAGGCCCAAACATCCACTTGCAGATGCCACAGAAAGAGTGTTTGGAAACTGCTGTTTGAAAAGGAACCTTCAACTCTGTGAGTTGAATGCAGTCATCACAAACAAGTTTCTGACAATGCTTCTCTCTAGTTTTTACGTGACGATAATTCGTTTTCCACCACAGGCCGGAAATCTCTCCAAATGTCCACTTGCAGACCCTACGAAAAGCATGTTTCCCATCTGCTCTATGAATAGCAACGTGAAACTCTGTGAGTTGAACACAAACATCACAGAGAAGTTTCTGAGAATGCTTCTGTTTAGTTTTTATGTGAAGATATTCCCGTTTCCAAAGACATCTTCAAAGAGGACCACATATCCACTTGCAGATTCCACAAAAAGAGAGATTCAAAACTGCTCTATCCATAGGAGGGTTCAACGCTTTGAGTTGAATGCAATCGTCACAGAGAAGTTTCTGAGAAGGCTTCTGTCTAGATTTCATTTGAAGATGTACCCGTTTCGAACGAAGGCCAAAGAGTGGTCCAAATATCCACTTTCAGAACCTACAAAAAGAATGTTTCAAAGCTGAACTATCAAAGGAAAGTTCAACTCTGGGATTTGAATGGAAACATCACAAAGAATTTTGTGAGAATGCTTCCGTTTAGTTAGGTGCAGTTATCCCGTTTCCAATGAAATCCTCAGAGAGGTCCAAATATCCACTCGCAGATTCTACAGAAAGTGTGTTTCAAACCTTCTCCATCCAAAGGAATGTGCAGCTCTGTGTGTTAAACTCAATCATCACAAAGTATTTTCTGAGAATGCTTCTGTCTAGATTTTATGTGAAGCTCTTCCCTTTACTACCATAGGCCTCAAAGCGCTCCAAATCTCCACTAGCCGATTCTACGAGAAGAGTGTTTCCAAACTGCTCTGTCAATAGGAATGCTCCAATACCGTGAGGTGAATGCAATCATCACAAAGTAGTTTCTGAGAAGGCTTCTATCTAGTATTTATGTGGAGATATTTCCTTTTCCACCACAAACCTCACAGCCCTCCCAATGTCCACTTGCAGATTCTAGAAAAAGAGTGTTTCATAGCTGCTCTTTCCGAAGGAAAGTTCAACTCTGGAAGTTGAATACAAACATCACCAAGGAGTTCCTGAGGATGCTTCTGTGTAATTTTTATGTGAAGATGATTCCGTTTCCAACGAAATCTTCAAAGAGGTCTGCATGTCCCCTTGCAGATTCCAGAGAAAGAGAGTTTCAAAACTGCGCTCTCAAAAGGAGTGTTCAACTCTGTGAGTTGAATGCAGTCATCACAGAAAAGTTTCTGAGAATGCTTCTGTCTAGATGTTATGTGAAGATATACCCGTTTCGAACGAAGTCCACAGAGTGGTCCGAATATCCACTTGTAGATCCTGCAAAAAGAGTGTTTCCAACCTGAACTTTCAAAGGAAGGTTCAATTCTGGGATTTGAATGCAAACATCACAAGAAGATTCTGAGACTGCTTCTGTTTACTTAGCTGAAATTATCCCGTTTGCAACGAATTCCTCAGACAGGTCCAAATATCCACTTGCAGATTGTACAGAAAGTGTGTTTCGAAACTACTCCATCCCAAAGAAAGTACTGCTCTGTGAGTTCAACTCAATCATCCCAGAGAATTTTCTGAGAAAGCTTCTGTCTTGTTTTTATAGGAAGTTATTTCCTTTACTACGACAGGCCTCAAAGAAGTGCAGTTATCCACTTGCAGTTTCTACAAAAAGAGTGTTTCAAACCTGAACTATCAAAGAAAGGTTCAACACTGTGGGTTGAATGCAAATATCACGAAGAAGGTTCTGAGAATGCTTCTGTTTAGTTCTGTGCGGTTTATCCCGTTTCCAACGAAATCCTCACAGAGGCCCAAGTATCCGCTTGCAGATCCTACAGATAGTGTGTTTCCAAACTGCTCCATCCAAAGGAATGTTCAGCCCTGTGAGTTAAACTCAGTCGTCACAAAGAGTTTTCTGAGAATGCTGCTGTCTAGTTTTTATATGAAGCTGTTTCCTTTACTACCATAGGCCTCAAAGCGGTCCATATCTCCACTTGCAGATTCTACACAACGAGAGTTTCCAAAGTGCTCTCTGAAAGGGAATGTTCACCTCTGTGACTTGAATGCAATCGTCACAAAGTACTTTCTGAGAATGCATCTATCTAGTTCTTACGGGAAGATAATTCCTTTTCCACCTCAGGCCTCAAAGCCCTCCAAATATCCACTTGCAGATTCTAGAAAAAGAGTGTTTCAAAGCTTCTCTCTCAAAAGGAAAGTTCAACTCTGTGAGTTGAAAGCAAACATCACAAAGAAGTTTCTGAGAATGCTTCTGTTTAGCTTTTCTGAGAAGATTATCCCGTTTCCAACGAAATCTTCAAAGAGGCCCAAACATCCACTTGCAGATGCCACAGAAAGAGTGTTTGGAAACTGCTGTTTGAAAAGGAACCTTCAACTCTGTGAGTTGAATGCAGTCATCACAAACAAGTTTCTAACAATGCTTCTCTCTAGTTTTTACGTGACGATAATTCGTTTTCCACCACAGGCCTGAAAGCTCTCCAAATGTCCACTTGCAGACCCTACGAAAAGCATGTTTCTCATCTGCTCTATGAAAAGCAACGTGAAACTCTGTGAGTTGAACACAAACATCACAGAGAAGTTTCTGAGAATGCTTCAGTTTAGTTTTTATGTGAAGATATTCCCGTTTCCAAAGACATCTTCAAAGAGGACCACATATCCACTTGCAGATTCCACAAAAAGAGAGATTCAAAACTGCTCTATCCATAGGAGGGTTCAACGCTTTGAGTTGAATGCAATCGTCACAGAGAAGTTTCTGAGAAGGCTTCTGTCTAGATTTTATTTGAAGATGTACCCTTTTCGAACGAAGGCCAAAGAGTGGTCCAAATATCCACCTGCAGATCCTACAAAAAGAGTGTTTCAAAGCTGAACTATCAAAGGAAGGTTCAACTCTGGGATTTGAATGCAAACATCACAAAGAATTTTGTGAGAATGCTTCCGTTTAGTTAGGTGCAGTTATCCCGTTTCCAACGAAATCCTCAGAGAGGTCCAAATATCCACTCGCAGATTCTACAGAAAGTGTGTTTCAAACCTTCTCCATCCAAAGGAATGTTCAGCTCTGTGTGTTAAACTCAATCATCACAAAGTATTTTCTGAGAATGCTTCTGTCTAGATTTTATGTGAAGCTCTTCCCTTTACTACCATAGGCCTCAAAGCGCTCCAAATCTCCACTAGCCGATTCTACAACAAGAGTGTTTCCAAACTGCTCTATCAATAGGGATGCTCCACTCCGTGAGGTGAATGCAATCATCACAAAGTAGTTTCTGAGAAGGCTTCTATCTAGTATTTATGTGGAGATATTTCCTTTTCCACCACAAACCTCACAGCCCTCCCAATGTCCACTTGCAAATTCTAGAAAAAGAGTGTTTCATAGCTGTTCTTTCCGAAGGAAAGTTCAACTCTGGAAGTTGAATACAAACATCACCAAGGAGTTCCTGAGGATGCTTCTGTGTAATTTTTATGTGAAGATGATTCCGTTTCCAACGAAACCTTCAAAGAGGTGTGCATGTCCCCTTGCAGATTCCAGAGAAAGAGAGTTTCAAAACTGCGCTCTCAAAAGGAGTGTTCAACTTTGTGAGTTGAATGCAGTCATCACAGAAAAGTTTCTGAGAATGCTTCTGTCTAGATGTTATGTGAAGATATACCCGTTTCGAACGAAGTCCACAGAGTGGTCCGAATATCCACTTGTAGATCCTGCAAAAAGAGTGTTTCCAACCTGAACTTTCAAAGGAAGGTTCAATTCTGGGATTTGAATGCAACCATCACAAGAAGATTCTGAGACTGCTTCTGTTTACTTAGCTGAAATTATCCCGTTTGCAACGAATTCCTCAGACAGGTCCAAATATCCACTTGCAGATTCTACAGAAAGTGTGTTTCGAAACTACTCCATCCCAAGGAAAGTACTGCTCTGTGAGTTCAACTCAATCATCCCAGAGAATTTTCTGAGAAAGCTTCTGTCTTGTTTTTATAGGAAGTTATTTCCTTTACTACGATAGGCCTCAAAGAAGTGCAGTTATCCACTTGCAGTTTCTACAAAAAGAGTGTTTCAAACCTGAACTATCAAAGAAAGGTTCAACACTGTGGGTTGAATGCAAACATCACGAAGAAGGTTCTGAGAATGCTTCTGTTTAGTTCTGTGCGGTTTATCCCGTTTCCAACGAAATCCTCAGGGAGGCCCAAGTATCCGCTTGCAGATCCTACAGATAGTGTGTTTCCAAACTGCTCCATCCAAAGGAATGTTCAGCCCTGTGAGTTAAACTCAGTCGTCACAAAGAGTTTTCTGAGAATGCTTGCTGTCTAGTTTTTATATGAAGCTGTTTCCTTTACTACCATAGGCCTCAAAGCGGTCCATATCTCCACTTGCAGATTCTACACAACGAGAGTTTCCAAAGTGCTCTCTGAAAGGGAATGTTCACCTCTGTGACTTGAATGCAATCGTCACAAAGTAGTTTCTGAGAATGCATCTATCTAGTTCTTACGGGAAGATAATTCCTTTTCCACCTCAGGCCTCAAAGCCCTCCAAATATCCACTTGCAGATTCTAGAAAAAGAGTGTTTCAAAGCTTCTCTCTCAAAAGGAAAGTTCAACTCTGTGAGTTGAAAGCAAACATCACAAAGAAGTTTCTGAGAATGCTTCTGTTTAGCTTTTCTGTGAAGATTATCCCGTTTCCAACGAAATCTTCAAAGAGGCCCAAACATCCACTTGCAGATGCCACAGAAAGAGTGTTTGGAAACTGCTGTTTGAAAAGGGACCTTCAACTCTGTGAGTTGAATGCAGTCATCACAAACAAGTTTCTGACAATGCTTCTCTCTAGTTTTTACGTGACGATAATTCGTTTTCCACCACAGGCCTGAAAGCTCTCCAAATGTCCACTTGCAGACCCTACGAAAAGCATGTTTCTCATCTGCTCTATGAAAAGCAACGTGAAACTCTGTGAGTTGAACACAAACATCACAGAGAAGTTTCTGAGAATGCTTCTGTTTAGTTTTAATGTGAAGATATTCCCGTTTCCAAAGACATCTTCAAAGAGGACCACATATCCACTTGCAGATTCCACAAAAAGAGAGATTCAAAACTGCTCTATCCATAGGAGGGTTCAACGCTTTGAGTTGAATTCAATCGTCACAGAGAAGTTTCTGAGAAGGCTTCTGTCTAGATTTTATTTGAAGATGTACCCATTTCGAACGAAGGCCAAAGAGTGGTCCAAATATCCACCTGCAGATCCTACAAAAAGAGTGTTTCAAAGCTGAACTATCAAAGGAAGGTTCAACTCTGGGATTTGAATGCAAACATCACAAAGAATTTTGTGAGAATGCTTCCGTTTAGTTAGGTGCAGTTATCCCGTTTCCAACGAAATCCTCAGAGAGGTCCAAATATCCACTCGCAGATTCTACAGAAAGTGTGTTTCAAACCTTCTCCATCCAAAGGAATGTTCAGCTCTGTGTGTTAAACTCAATCATCACAAAGTATTTTCTGAGAATGCTTCTGTCTAGATTTTATGTGAAGCTCTTCCCTTTACTACCATAGGCCTCAAAGCGCTCCAAATCTCCACTAGCAGATTCTACAACAAGAGTGTTTCCAAACTGCTCTGTCAATAGGAATGCTCCACTCCGTGAGGTGAATGCAATCATCACAAAGTAGTTTCTGAGAAGGCTTCTAACTAGTATTTATGTGGAGATATTTCCTTTTCCACCACAAACCTCACAGCCCTCCCAATGTCCACTTGCAGATTCTAGAAAAAGAGTGTTTCATAGCTGCTCTTTCCGAAGGAAAGTTCAACTCTGGAAGTTGAATACAAACATCACCAAGGAGTTCCTGAGGATGCTTCTGTGTAATTTTTATGTGAAGATGATTCCGTTTCCAACGAAACCTTCAAAGAGGTCTGCATGTCCCCTTGCAGATTCCAGAGAAAGAGAGTTTCAAAACTGCGCTCTCAAAAGGAGTGTTCAACTCTGTGAGTTGAATGCAGTCATCACAGAAAAGTTTCTGAGAATGCTTCTGTCTAGATGTTATGTGAAGATATACCCGTTTCGAACGAAGTCCACAGAGTGGTCCGAATATCCACTTGTAGATCCTGCAAAAAGAGTGTTTCCAACCTGAACTTTCAAAGGAAGGTTCAATTCTGGGATTTCAATGCAACCATCACAAGAAGATTCTGAGACTGCTTCTGTTTACTTAGCTGAAATTATCCCGTTTGCAACGAATTCCTCAGACAGGTCCAAATATCCACTTGCAGATTCTACAGAAAGTGTGTTTCGAAACTACTCCATCCCAAGGAAAGTACTGCTCTGTGAGTTCAACTCAATCATCCCAGAGAATTTTCTGAGAAAGCTTCTGTCTTGTTTTTATAGGAAGTTATTTCCTTTACTACGATAGGCCTCAAAGAAGTGCAGTTATCCACTTGCAGTTTCTACAAAAAGAGTGTTTCAAACCTGAACTATCAAAGAAAGGTTCAACACTGTGGGTTGAATGCAAACATCACGAAGAAGGTTCTGAGAATGCTTCTGTTTAGTTCTGTGCGGTTTATCCCGTTTCCAACGAAATCCTCAGGGAGGCCCAAGTATCCGCTTGCAGATCCTACAGATAGTGTGTTTCCAAACTGCTCCATCCAAAGGAATGTTCAGCCCTGTGAGTTAAACTCAGTCGTCACAAAGAGTTTTCTGAGAATGCTGCTGTCTAGTTTTTATATGAAGCTGTTTCCTTTACTACCATAGGCCTCAAAGCGGTCCATATCTCCACTTGCAGATTCTACACAACGAGAGTTTCCAAAGTGCTCTCTGAAAGGGAATGTTCACCTCTGTGACTTGAATGCAATCGTCACAAAGTAGTTTCTGAGAATGCATCTATCTAGTTCTTACGGGAAGATAATTCCTGTTCCACCTCAGGCCTCAAAGCCCTCCAAATATCCACTTGCAGATTCTAGAAAAAGAGTGTTTCAAAGCTTCTCTCTCAAAAGGAAAGTTCAACTCTGTGAGTTGAAAGCAAACATCACAAAGAAGTTTCTGAGCATGCTTCTGTTTAGCTTTTCTGTGAAGATTATCCCGTTTCCAACGAAATCTTCAAAGAGGCCCAAACATCCACTTGCAGATCCCACAGAAAGAGTGTTTGGAAACTGCTGTTTGAAAAGGAACCTTCAACTCTGTGAGTTGAATGCAGTCATCACAAACAAGTTTCTGACAATGCTTCTCTCTAGTTTTTACGTGACGATAATTCGTTTTCCACCACAGGCCTGAAATCTCTCCAAATGTCCACTTGCAGACCCTACGAAAAACATGTTTCTCATCTGCTCTATGAAAAGCAACGTGAAACTCTGTGAGTTGAACACAAACATCACAGAGAAGTTTCTGAGAATGCTTCTGTTTAGTTTTTATGTGAAGATATTCCCGTTTCCAAAGACATCTTCAAAGAGGACCACATATCCACTTGCAGATTCCACAAAAAGAGAGATTCAAAACTGCCCTATCCATAGGAGGGTTCAACGCATTGAGTTGAATGCAATCATCACAGAGAAGTTTCTGAGAAGGCTTCTGTCGAGATTTTATTTGAAGATGTACCCGTTTCGAAGGAAGGCCAAAGAGTGGTCCAAATATCCACTTGCAGATCCTACAAAAAGAGTGTTTCAAAGCTGAACTATCAAAGGAAGGTTCAACTCTGGGATTTGAATGCAAACATCACAAATAATTTTGTGAGAATGCTTCCGTTTAGTTAGGTGCAGTTATCCCGTTTCCAACGAAATCCTCAGAGAGGTCCAAATATCCACTCGCAGATTCTACAGAAAGTGTGTTTCAAACCTTCTCCATCCAAAGGAATGTTCAGCTCTGTGTGTTAAACTCAATCATCACAAAGTATTTTCTGAGAATGCTTCTGTCTAGATTTTATGTGAAGCTCTTCCCTTTACTACCATAGGCCTCAAAGCGCTCCAAATCTCCACTAGCAGATTCTACAACAAGAGTGTTTCCAAACTGCTCTGTCAATAGGAATGCTCCACTCCGTGAGGTGAATGCAATCATCACAAAGGAGTTTCTGAGAAGGCTTCTATCTAGTATTTATGTGGAGATATTTCCTTTTCCACCACAAACCTCACAGCCCTCCCAATGTCCACTTGCAAATTCTAGAAAAAGAGTGTTTCATAGCTGTTCTTTCCGAAGGAAAGTTCAACTCTGGAAGTTGAATACAAACATCACCAAGGAGTTCCTGAGGATGCTTCTGTGTAATTTTTATGTGAAGATGATTCCGTTTCCAACGAAACCTTCAAAGAGTTCTGCATGTCCCCTTGCAGATTCCAGAGAAAGAGAGTTTCAAAACTGCGCTCTCAAAAGGAGTGTTCAACTCTGTGAGTTGAATGCAGTCATCACAGAAAAGTTTCTGAGAATGCTTCTGTCTAGATGTTATGTGAAGATATACCCGTTTCGAACGAAGTCCACAGTGTGGTCCGAATATCCACTTGTAGATCCTGCAAAAAGAGTGTTTCCAACCTGAACTTTCAAAGGAAGGTTCAATTCTGGGATTTGAATGCAAACATCACAAGAAGATTCTGAGACTGCTTCTGTTTACTTAGCTGAAATTATCCCGTTTGCAACGAATTCCTCAGACAGGTCCAAATATCCACTTGCAGATTCTACAGAAAGTGTGTTTCGAAACTACTCCATCCCAAGGAAAGTACTGCTCTGTGAGTTCAACTCAATCATCCCAGAGAATTTTCTGAGAAAGCTTCTGTCTTGTTTTTATAGGAAGTTATTTCCTTTACTACGATAGGCCTCAAAGAAGTGCAGTTATCCACTTGCAGTTTCTACTAAAAGAGTGTTTCAAACCTGAACTATCAAAGAAAGGTTCAACACTGTGGGTTGAATGTAAACATCACGAAGAAGGTTCTGAGAATGCTTCTGTTTCGTTCTGTGCGGTTTATCCCGTTTCCAACGCAATCCTCAGAGAGGCCCAAGTATCCGCTTGCAGATCCTACAGATAGTGTGTTTCCAAACTGCTCCATGCAAAGGAATGTTCAGCCCTGTGAGTTAAACTCAGTCGTCACAAAGAGTTTTCTGAGAATGCTGCTGTCTAGTTTTTATATGAAGCTGTTTCCTTTACTACCATAGGCCTCAAAGCGGTCCATATCTCCACTTGCAGATTCTACACAACGAGAGTTTCCAAAGTGCTCTCTGAAAGGGAATGTTCACCTCTGTGACTTGAATGCAATCGTCACAAAGTAGTTTCTGAGAATGCATCTATCTAGTTCTTACGGGAAGATAATTCCTTTTCCACCTCAGGCCTCAAAGCCCTCCAAATATCCACTTGCAGATTCTAGAAAAAGAGTGTTTCAAAGCTTCTCTCTCAAAAGGAAAGTTCAACTCTGTGAGTAGAAAGCAAACATCACAAAGAAGTTTCTGAGAATGCTTCTGTTTAGCTTTTCTGTGAAGAGTATCCCGTTTCCAACGAAATCTTCAAAGAGGCCCAAACATCCACTTGCAGATGCCACAGAAAGAGTGTTTGGAAACTGCTGTTTGAAAAGGAACCTTCAACTCTGTGAGTTGAATGCAGTCATCACAAACAAGTTTCTGACAATGCTTCTCTCTAGTTTTTACGTGACGATAATTCGTTTTCCACCACAGGCCTGAAATCTCTCCAAATGTCCACTTGCAGACCCTACGAAAAGCATGTTTCTCATCTGCTCTATGAAAAGCAACGTGAAACTCTGTGAGTTGAACACAAACATCACAGAGAAGTTTCTGAGAATGCTTCTGTTTAGTTTTTATGTGAAGATATTCCCGTTTCCAAAGACATCTTCGGAGAGGTCCACATATCCACTTGCAGATTCCACAAAAAGAGAGTTTCAACACTGCTCTATCCGTAGGAGGGTTCAACTCTGTGAGTTGAATGCAATCATCACAGAGAAGTTTCTGAGAAGGCTTCTGTCTAGATTTTATTTGAAGATGTACCCGTTTCGAATGAAGGCCAAAGAGTTGTCCAAATATCCACCTGCAGATCCTACAAAAAGAGTGTTTCAAAGCTGAACTATCAAAGGAAGGTTCAACTCTGGGATTTGAATGCAAACATCACAAAGAATTTTGTGAGAATGCTTCCGTTTAGTTAGGTGCAGTTATCCCGTTTCCAACGAAATCCTCAGAGAGGTCCAAATATCCACTCGCAGATTCTATAGAAAGTGTGTTTCAAACCTTCTCCATCCAAAGGAATGTTCAGCTCTGTGTGTTAAACTCAATCATCACAAAGTATTTTCTGAGAATGCTTCTGTCTAGATTTTATGTGAAGCTCTTCCCTTTACTACCATAGGCCTCAAAGCGCTCCAACTCTCCACTAGCCGATTCTACAAGAAGAGTGTTTCCAAACTGCTCTGTCAATAGGAATGCTCCACTCCGTGAGGTGAATGCAGTCATCACAAAGTAGTTTCTGAGAAGGCTTCTATCTAGTATTTATGTGGAGATATTTCCTTTTCCACCACAAACCTCACAGCCCTCCCAATGTCAACTTGCAGATTCTAGAAAAAGAGTGTTTCATAGCTGCTCTTTCTGAAGGAAAGCTCAAATCTGGAAGTTGAATACAAATATCACCAAGGAGTTCCTGAGGATGCTTCTGTGTAATTTTTATGTGAAGATGATTCCGTTTCCAACGAAACCTTCAAAGAGGTCTGCATGTCCCCTTGCAGATTCCAGAGAAAGAGAGTTTCAAAACTGCACTCTCAAAAGGAGTGTTCAACTCTGTGAGTTGAATGCAGTCATCACAGAAAAGTTTCTGAGAATGCTTCTGTCTAGATGTTATGTGAAGATATACCCGTTTCGAACGAAGTCCACAGAGTGGTCCGAATATCCACTTGTAGATCCTGCAAAAAGAGTGTTTCAAACCTGAACTTTCAAAGGAAGGTTCAATTCTGGGATTTGAATGCAAACATCACAAGAAGATTCTGAGACTGCTTCTGTTTACTTAGCTGAAATTATCCCGTTTGCAACGAATTCCTCAGACAGGTCCAAATATCCACTTGCAGATTCTACAGAAAGTGTGTTTCGAAACTACTCCATCCCAAGGAAAGTTCTGCT
This sequence comes from Homo sapiens, assembly GCF_000001405.40. Lineage (NCBI taxonomy): Eukaryota > Metazoa > Chordata > Mammalia > Primates > Hominidae > Homo > Homo sapiens. Next base: position 22,976,388 of record NC_000017.11, on the reverse strand, counting down.
CTGTGAGTTCAACTCAATCATCCCAGAGAATTTTCTGAGAAAGCTTCTGTCTTGTTTTTATAGGAAGTTACTTCCTTTACTACGATAGGCCTCAAAGAAGTGCAGTTATCCACTTGCAGTTTCTACTAAAAGAGTGTTTCAAACCTGAACTATCAAAGAAAGGTTCAACACTGTGGGTTGAATGCAAACATCACGAAGAAGGTTCTGAGAATGCTTCTGTTTAGTTCTGTGCGGTTCATCCCGTTTCCCACGAAATCCTCAGGGAGGCCCAAGTATCCGCTTGCAGATCCTACAGATAGTGTGTTTCCAAACTGCTCCATCCAAAGGAATGTTCAGCCCTGTGAGTTAAACTCAGTCGTCACAAAGAGTTTTCTGAGAATGCTGCTGTCTAGTTTTTATATGAAGCTGTTTCCTTTACTACCATAGGCCTCAAAGCGGTCCATATCTCCACTTGCAGATTCTACACAACGAGAGTTTCCAAAGTGCTCTCTGAAAGGGAATGTTCACCTCTGTGACTTGAATGCAATCGTCACAAAGAAGTTTCTGAGAATGCATCTATCTAGTTCTTACGGGAAGATAATTCCTTTTCCACCACAGGCCTCAAAGCCCTCCAAATATCCACTTGCAGATTCTAGAAAAAGAGTGTTTCAAAGCTTCTCTCTCAAATGGAAAGTTCAACTCTGTGAGTTGAAAGCAAACATCACAAAGAAGTTTCTGAGAATGCTTCTGTTTAGCTTTTCTGTGAAGATTATCCCGTTTCCAACGAAATCTTCAAAGAGGCCCAAACATCCACTTGCAGATGCCACAGAAAGAGTGTTTGGAAACTGCTGTTTGAAAAGGAACCTTCAACTCTGTGAGTTGAATGCAGTCATCACAAACAAGTTTCTGACAATGCTTTCTCTCTAGTTTTTACGTGACGATAATTCGTTTTCCACCACAGGCCTGAAATCTCTCCAAATGTCCACTTGCAGACCCTACGAAAAGCATGTTTCTCATCTGCTCTATGAAAAGCAACGTGAAACTCTGTGAGTTGAACACAAACATCACAGAGAAGTTTCTGAGAATGCTTCTGTTTAGTTTTTATGTGAAGATATTCCCGTTTCCAAAGACATCTTCAAAGAGGACCACATATCCACTTGCAGATTCCACAAAAAGAGAGATTCAAAACTGCTCTATCCATAGGAGGGTTCAACGCTGTGAGTTGAATGCAATCGTCACAGAGAAGTTTCTGAGAAGGCTTCTGTCTAGATTTTATTTGAAGATGTACCCGTTTCGCACGAAGGCCAAAGTGTGGTCCAAATATCCACTTGCAGATCCTACAAAAAGAGTGTTTCAAACCTGAACTATCAAAGGAAGGTTCAACTCTGGGATTTGAATGCAAACCTCACGAAGAATTTTGTGAGAATGCTTCCGTTTAGTTAGGTGCAGTTATCCCGTTTCCAACGAAATCCTCAGAGAGGTCCAAATATCCACTCGCAGATTCTACAGAAAGTGTGTTTCAAACCTTCTCCATCCAAAGGAATGTTCAGCTCTGTGTGTTAAACTCAATCATCACAAAGTATTTTCTGAGAATGCTTCTGTCTAGATTTTATGTGAAGCTCTTCCCTTTACTACCATAGGCCTCAAAGCGCTCCAAATCTCCACTAGCAGATTCTACAACAAGAGTGTTTCCAAACTGCTCTGTCAATAGGAATGCTCCATTCCGTGAGGTGAATGCAATCATCACAAAGTAGTTTCTGAGAAGGCTTCTATCTAGTATTTATGTGGAGATATTTCCTTTTCCACCACAAACCTCACAGCCCTCCCAATGTCCACTTGCAGATTCTAGAAAGAGAGTGTTTCATAGCTGCTCTTTCCGAAGGAAAGTTCAACTCTGGAAGTTGAATACAAACATCACCAAGGAGTTCCTGAGGATGCCTCTGTGTAATTTTTATGTGAAGATGATTCCGTTTCCAACGAAACCTTCAAAGAGGTCTGCATGTCCCCTTGCAGATTCCAGAGAAAGAGAGTTTCAAAACTGCGCTCTCAAAAGGAGTGTTCAACTCTGTGAGTTGAATGCAGTCATCACAGAAAAGTTTCTGAGAATGCTTCTGTCTAGATGTTATGTGAAGATATACCCGTTTCGAACGAAGTCCACAGAGTGGTCCGAATATCCACTTGTAGATCCTGCATAAAGAGTGTTTCCAACCTGAACTTTCAAAGGAAGGTTCAATTCTGGGATTTGAATGCAAACATCACAAGAAGTTTCTGAGACTGCTTCTGTTTACTTAGCTGAAATTATCCCGTTTGCAACGAATTCCTCAGACAGGTCCAAATATCCACTTGCAGATTGTACAGAACGTGTGTTTCGAAACTACTCCATCCCAAAGAAAGTACTGCTCTGTGAGTTCAACTCAATCATCCCAGAGAATTTTCTGAGAAAGCTTCTGTCTTGTTTTTATAGGAAGTTATTTCCTTTACTACGATAGGCCTCAAAGAAGTGCAGTTATCCACTTGCAGTTTCTACAAAAAGAGTGTTTCAAACCTGAACTATCAAAGAAAGGTTCAACACTGTGGGTTGAATGCAAACATCACGAAGAAGGTTCTGAGAATGCTTCTGTTTAGTTCTGTGCGGTTTATCCCTTTTCCAACGAAATCCTCAGGGAGGCCCAAGTATCCGCTTGCAGATCCTACAGATAGTGTGTTTCCAAACTGCTCCATCCAAAGGAATGTTCAGCCCTGTGAGTTAAACTCAGTCGTCACAAAGAGTTTTCTGAGAATGCTGCTGTCTAGTTTTTATATGAAGCTGTTTCCTTTACTACCATAGGCCTCAAAGCGGTCCATATCTCCACTTGCAGATTCTACACAACGAGAGTTTCCAAAGTGCTCTGTGAAAGGGAATGTTCACCTCTGTGACTTGAATGCAATCGTCACAAAGTAGTTTCTGAGAATGCATCTATCTAGTTCTTACGGGAATATAATTCCTTTTCCACCTCAGGCCTCAAAGCCCTCCAAATATCCACTTGCAGGTTCTAGAAAAAGAGTGTTTCAAAGCTTCTCCCTCAAAAGGAAAGTTCAACTCTGTGAGTTGAAAGCAAACATCACAAGGAAGTTTCTGAGAATGCTTCTGTTTAGCTTTTCTGTGAAGATTATCCCGTTTCCAACGAAATCTTCAAAGAGGCCCAAACATCCACTTGCAGATGCCACAGAAAGAGTGTTTGGAAACTGCTGTTTGAAAAGGAACCTTCAACTCTGTGAGTTGAATGCAGTCATCACAAACAAGTTTCTGACAATGCTTCTCTCTAGTTTTTACGTGACGATAATTCGTTTTCCACGACAGGCCTGAAATCTCTCCAAATGTCCACTTGCAGACCCTACGAAAAGCATGTTTCTCATCTGCTCTATGAAAAGCAACGTGAAACTCTGTGAGTTGAACACAAACATCACAGAGAAGTTTCTGAGAATGCTTCTGTTTAGTTTTTATGTGAAGATATTCCCGTTTCCAAAGACATCTTCAAAGAGGACCACATATCCACTTGCAGATTCCACAAAAAGAGAGATTCAAAACTGCTCTATCCATAGGAGGGTTCAACGCTTTGAGTTGAATGCAATCGTCACAGAGCAGTTTCTGAGAAGGCTTCTGTCTAGATTTTATTTGAAGATGTACCCGTTTCGAACGAAGGCCAAAGAGTGGTCCAAATATCCACTTGCAGATCCTACAAAAAGAGTGTTTCAAAGCTGAACTATCAAAGGAAGGTTCAACTCTGGGATTTGAATGCAAACATCACAAAGAATTTTGTGAGAATGCTTCCGTTTAGTTAGGTGCTGTTATCCCGTTTCCAACGAAATCCTCAGAGAGGTCCAAATATCCACTCGCAGATTCTACAGAAAGTGTGTTTCAAACCTTCTCCATCCAAAGGAATGTTCAGCTCTGTGTGTTAAACTCAATCATCACAAAGTATTTTCTGAGAATGCTTCTGTCTAGATTTTATGTGAAGCTCTTCCCTTTACTACCATAGGCCTCAAAGCGCTCCAAATCTCCACTAGCCGATTCTACAAGAAGAGTGTTTCCAAACTGCTCTGTCAATAGGAATGCTCCACTCCGTGAGGTGAATGCAATCATCACAAAGTAGTTTCTGAGAAGGCTTCTATCTAGTATTTATGTGGAGATATTTCCTTTTCCACCACAAACCTCACAGCCCTCCCAATGTCCACTTGCAGATTCTAGAAAAAGAGTGTTTCATAGCTGCTCTTTCCGAAGGAAAGTTCAACTCTGGAAGTTGAATACAAACATCACCAAGGAGTTCCTGAGAATGCTTCTGTGTAATTTTTATGTGAAGATGATTCCGTTTCCAACGAAACCTTCAAAGAGGTCTGCATGTCCCCTTGCAGATTCCAGAGAAAGAGAGTTTCAAAACTGCGCTCTCAAAAGGAGTGTTCAACTCTGTGAGTTGAATGCAGTCATCACAGAAAAGTTTCTGAGAATGCTTCTGTCTAGATGTTATGTGAAGATATACCCGTTTCGAACGAAGTCCACAGAGTGGTCCGAATATCCACTTGTAGATCCTGCAAAAAGAGTGTTTCCAACCTGAACTTTCAAAGGAATGTTCAATTCTGGGATTTGAATGCAAACATCACAAGAAGATTCTGAGACTGCTTCTGTTTACTTAGCTGAAATTATCCCGTTTGCAACGAATTCCTCAGACAGGTCCAAATATCCACTTGCAGATTCTACAGAAAGTGTGTTTCGAAACTACTCCATCCCAAGGAAAAGTACTGCTCTGTGAGTTCAACTCAATCATCCCAGAGAATTTTCTGAGAAAGCTTCTGTCTTGTTTTTATAGGAAGTTATTTCCTTTACTACGATAGGCCTCAAAGAAGTGCAGTTATCCACTTGCAGTTTCTACAAAAAGAGTGTTTCAAACCTGAACTATCAAAGAAAGGTTCAACACTGTGGGTTGAATGCAAACGTCACGAAGAAGGTTCTGAGAATGCTTCTGTTTAGTTCTGTGCGGTTTATCCCGTTTCCAACGAAATCCTCAGAGAGGCCCAAGTATCCGCTTGCAGATCCTAGAGATAGTGTGTTTCCAAACTGCTCCATCGAAAGGAATGTTCAGCCTCTTTGAGTTAAACTCAGTCGTCACAAAGAGTTTTCTGAGAATGCTGCTGTCTAGTTTTTATATGAAGCTGTTTCCTTTACTACCAGAGGCCTCAAAGCGGTCCATATCTCCACTTGCAGATTCTACACAACGAGAGTTTCCAAAGTGCTCTCTGAAAGGGAATGTTCACCTCTGTGACTTGAATGCAATCGTCACAAAGTAGTTTCTGAGAATGCATCTATCTAGTTCTTACGGGAAGATAATTCCTTTTCCACCACAGGCCTCAAAGCCCTCCAAATATCCACTTGCAGATTCTAGAAAAAGAGTGTTTCAAAGCTTCTCTCTCAAAAGGAAAGTTCAACTCTGTGAGTTGAAAGCAAACATCACAAAGAAGTTTCTGAGAATGCTTCTGTTTAGCTTTTCTGTGAAGATTATCCCCTTTCCAACGAAATCTTCAAAGAGGCCCAAACATCCACTTGCAGATGCCACAGAAAGAGTGTTTGGAAACTGCTGTTTGAAAAGGAACCTTCAACTCTGTGAGTTGAATGCAGTCATCACAAACAAGTTTCTGACAATGCTTCCCTCTAGTTTTTACTTGACGATTATTCGTTTTCCACCACAGGCCTGAAATCTCTCCAAATGTCCACTTGCAGACCCTACGAAAAGAATGTTTCTCATCTGCTCTATGAAAAGCATCGTGAAACTCTGTGATTTGGACACAAACATCACAGAGAAGTTTCTGAGAATGCTTCTGTTTAGTTTTTATGTGAAGATATTCCCGTTTCCAAAGACATCTTCAAAGAGGACCACATATCCACTTGCAGATTCCACAAAAAGGGAGATTCAAAACTGCTCTATCCATAGGAGGGTTCAACGCTTTGAGTTGAATGCAATCATCCCAGAGAAGTTTCTGAGAAGGCTTCTGTCTAGATTTTATTTGAAGATGTACCCGTTTCGAACGAAGGCCAAAGAGTGGTCCAAATATCCACCTGCAGACCCTACAAAAAGAGTGTTTCAAAGCTGAACTATCAAAGGAAGGTTCAACTCTGGGATTTGAATGCAAACATCACAAAGAATTTTGTGAGAATGCTTCCGTTTAGTTAGGTGCAGTTATCCGGTTTCCAACGAAATCCTCAGAGAGGTCCAAATATCCACTCGCAGATTCTACAGAAAGTGTGTTTCAAACCTTCTCCATCCAAAGGAATGTTCAGCTCTGTGTGTTAAACTCAATCATCACAAAGTATTTTCTGAGAATGCTTCTGTCTAGATTTTATGTGAAGCTCTTCCCTTTACTACCATAGGCCTCAAAGCGCTCCAAATCTCCACTAGCCGATTCTACAAGAAGAGTGTTTCCAAACTGCTCTGTCAATAGGAATGCTCCACTCCGTGAGGTGAATGCAATCATCACAAAGTAGTTTCTGAGAAGGCTTCTATCTAGTATTTACGTGGAGATATTTCCTTTTCCACCACAAACCTCACAGCCCTCCCAATGTCCACTTGCAGATTCTAGAAAAAGAGTGTTTCATAGCTGCTCTTTCCGAAGGAAAGTTCAACTCTGGAAGTTGAATACAAACATCACCAAGGAGTTCCTGAGAATGCTTCTGTGTAATTTTTATGTGAAGATGATTCCGTTTCCAACGAAACCTTCAAAGAGGTCTGCATGTCCCCTTGCAGATTCCAGAGAAAGAGAGTTTCAAAACTGCGCTCTCAAAAGGAGTGTTCAACTCTGTGAGTTGAATGCAGTCATCACAGAAAAGTTTCTGAGAATGCTTCTGTCTAGATGTTATGTGAAGGTATACCCGTTTCGAACGAAGTCCACAGAGTGGTCCGAATATCCACTTGTAGATCCAGCAAAAAGAGTGTTTCCAACCTGAACTTTCAAAGGAAGGTTCCATTCTGGGATTTGAATGCAAACATCACAAGAAGATTCTGAGACTGCTTCTGTTTACTTAGCTGAAATTATCCCGTTTGCAACGAATTCCTCAGACAGGTCCAAATATCCACTTGCAGATTCTACAGAAAGTGTGTTTCGAAACTACTCCATCCCAAGGAAAGTACTGCTCTGTGAGTTCAACTCAATCATCCCAGAGAATTTTCTGAGAAAGCTTCTGTCTTGTTTTTATAGGAAGTTATTTCCTTTACTACGATAGGCCTCAAAGAAGTGCAGTTATCCACTTGCAGTTTCTACAAAAAGAGTGTTTCAAACCTGAACTATCAAAGAAAGGTTCAACACTGTGGGTTGAATGCAAACATCACGAAGAAGGTTCTGAGAATGCTTCTGTTTAGTTCTGTGCGGTTTATCCCGTTTCCCACGAAATCCTCAGGGAGGCCCAAGTATCCGCTTGCAGATCCTACAGATACTGTGTTTCCAAACTGCTCCATCCAAAGGAATGTTCAGCCCTGTGAGTTTAACTCAGTCGTCACAAAGAGTTTTCTGAGAATGCTGCTGTCTAGTTTTTATATGAAGCTGTTTCCTTTACTACCATAGGCCTCAAAGCGGTCCATATCTCCACTTGCAGATTCTACACAACGAGAGTTTCCAAAGTGCTCTCTGAAAGGGAATGTTCACCTCTGTGACTTGAATGCAATCGTCACAAAGTAGTTTCTGAGAATGCATCTATCTAGTTCTTACGGGAAGATAATTCCTGTTCCACCTCAGGCCTCAAAGCCCTACAAATATCCACTTGCAGATTCTAGAAAAAGAGTGTTTCAAAGCTTCTCTCTCAAAAGGAAAGTTCAACTCTGTGAGTTGAAAGCAAACATCACAAAGAAGTTTCTGAGCATGCTTCTGTTTAGCTTTTCTGTGAAGATTATCCCGTTTCCAACGAAATCTTCAAAGAGGCCCAAACATCCACTTGCAGATGCCACAGAAAGAATGTTTGGAAACTGCTGCTTGAAAAGGAACCTTCAACTCTGTGGGTTGAATGCAGTCATCACAAACAAGTTTCTGACAATGCTTCTCTCTAGTTTTTACGTGACGATAATTCGTTTTCCACCACAGGCCTGAAAGCTCTCCAAATGTCCACTTGCAGACCCTACGAAAAGCATGTTTCTCATCTGCTCTATGAAAAGCAACGTGAAACTCTGTGAGTTGAACACAAACATCACAGAGAAGTTTCTGAGAATGCTTCTGTTTAGTTTTTATGTGAAGATATTCCCGTTTCCAAAGACATCTTCAAAGAGGACCACATATCCACTTGCAGATTCCACAAAAAGAGAGATTCAAAACTGCTCTATCCATAGGAGGGTTCAACTCTCTGAGTTGAATGCAATTGTCACAGAGAAGTTTCTGAGAAGGCTTCTGTCTAGATTTTATTTGAAGATGTACCCGTTTCGAACGAAGGCCAAAGAGTGGTCCAAATATCCACCTGCAGATCCTACAAAAAGAGTGTTTCAAAGCTGAACTATCAAAGGAAGGTTCAACTCTGGGATTTGAATGCAAACATCACAAAGAATTTTGTGAGAATGCTTCCGTTTAGTTAGGTGCAGTTATCCCGTTTCCAACGAAATCCTCAGAGAGGTCCAAATATCCACTCGCAGATTCTACAGAAAGTGTGTTTCAAACCTTCTCCATCCAAAGGAATGTTCAGCTCTGTGTGTTAAACTCAATCATCACAAAGTATTTTCTGAGAATGCTTCTGTCTAGATTTTATGTGAAGCTCTTCCCTTTACTACCATAGGCCTCAAAGCGCTCCAAATCTCCACTAGCCGATTCTACAACAAGAGTGTTTCCAAACTGCTCTGTCAATAGGAATGCTCCACTCCGTGAGGTGAATGCAATCATCACAAAGTAGTTTCTGAGAAGGCTTCTATCTAGTATTTATGTGGAGATATTTCCTTTTCCACCACAAACCTCACAGCCCTCCCAATGTCCACTTGCAGATTCTAGAAAGAGAGTGTTTCATAGCTGCTCTTTCCGAAGGAAAGTTCAACTCTGGAAGTTGAATACAAACATCACCAAGGAGTTCCTGAGGATGCCTCTGTGTAATTTTTATGTGAAGATGATTCCGTTTCCAACGAAACCTTCAAAGAGGTCTGCATGTCCCCTTGCAGATTCCAGAGAAAGAGAGTTTCAAAACTGCGCTCTCAAAAGGAGTGTTCAACTCTGTGAGTTGAATGCAGTCATCACAGAAAAGTTTCTGAGAATGCTTCTGTCTAGATGTTATGTGAAGATATACCCGTTTCGAACGAAGTCCACAGAGTGGTCCGAATATCCACTTGTAGATCCTGCATAAAGAGTGTTTCCAACCTGAACTTTCAAAGGAAGGTTCAATTCTGGGATTTGAATGCAAACATCACAAGAAGTTTCTGAGACTGCTTCTGTTTACTTAGCTGAAATTATCCCGTTTGCAAAGTATTCCTCAGACAGGTCCAAATATCCACTTGCAGATTCTACAGAAAGTGTGCTTCGAAACTACTCCATCCCAAGGAAAGTACTGCTCTGTGAGTTCAACACAATCATCCCAGATAATTTTCTGAGAAAGCTTCTGTCTTGTTTTCATAGGAAGGTATTTCCTTTACTACGATAGGCCTCAAAGAAGTGCAGTTATCCACTTGCAGTTTCTACAAAAAGAGTGTTTCAAACCTGAACTATCGAAGAAAGGTTCAACACTGTGGGTTGAATGCAAACATCACGAAGAAGGTTCTGAGAATGCTTCTGTTTAGTTCTGTGCGGTTTATCCCGTTTCCAACGAAATCCTCAGAGAGGCCCAAGTATCCGCTTGCAGATCCTACAGATAGTGTGTTTCCAAACTGCTCCATCCAAAGGAATGTTCAGCCCTGTGAGTTAAACTCAGTCGTCACAAAGAGTTTTCTGAGAATGCTTGCTGTCTAGTTTTTATATGAAGCTGTTTCCTTTACTACCATAGGCCTCAAAGCGGTCCATATCTCCACTTGCAGATTCTACACAACGAGAGTTTCCAAAGTGCTCTCTGAAAGGGAATGTTCACCTCTGTGACTTGAATGCAATCGTCACAAAGTAGTTTCTGAGAATGCATCTATCTAGTTCTTACGGGAAGATAATTCCTTTTCCACCACAGGCCTCAAAGCCCTCCAAATATCCACTTGCAGATTCTAGAAAAAGAGTGTTTCAAAGCTTCTCTCTCAAAAGGAAAGTTCAACTGCTGTGAGTTGAAAGCAAACATCACAAAGAAGTTTCTGAGAATGCTTCTGTTTAGCTTTTCTGTGAAGATTATCCCGTTTCCAATGAAATCTTCAAAGAGGCCCAAACATCCACTTGCAGATGCCACAGAAAGAGTGTTTGGAAACGACTGTTTGAAAAGGAACCTTCAACTCTGTGAGTTGAATGCAGTCATCACAAACAAGTTTCTGACAATGCTTCTCTCTAGTTTTTACGTGACGATAATTCGTTTTCCACCACAGGCCTGAAAGCTCTCCAAATGTCCACTTGCAGACCCTACGAAAAGCATGTTTCTCATCTGCTCTATGAAAAGCAACGTGAAACTCTGTGAGTTGAACACAAACATCACAGAGAAGTTTCTGAGAATGCTTCTGTTTAGTTTTTATGTGAAGATATTCCCGTTTCCAAAGACATCTTCAAAGAGGACCACATATCCACTTGCAGATTCCACAAAAAGAGAGATTCAAAACTGCTCTATCCATAGGGAGGGTTCAACGCTTTGAGTTGAATGCAATCGTCACAGAGAAGTTTCTGAGAAGGCTTCTGTCTAGATTTTATTTGAAGATGTACCCGTTTCGAACGAAGGCCAAAGACTGGTCCAAATATCCACTTGCAGATCCTACAAAAAGGGTGTTTCAAAGCTGAACTATCAAAGGAAGGTTCAACTCTGGGATTTGAATGCAAACATCACAAAGAATTTTGTGAGAATGCTTCCGTTTAGTTAGGTGCAGTTATCCCGTTTCCAACGAAATCCTCAGAGAGGTCCAAATATCCACTCGCAGATTCTACAGAAAGTGTGTTTCAAAACTTCTCCATCCAAAGGAATGTTCAGCTCTGTGTGTTAAACTCAATCATCACAAAGTATTTTCTGAGAATGCTTGTGTCTAGATTTTATGTGAAGCTCTTCCCTTTACTACCATAGGCCTCAAAGCGCTCCAAATCTCCACTAGCAGATTCTACAACAAGAGTGTTTCCAAACTGCTCTGTCAATAGAAATGCTCCACTCCGTGAGGTGAATGCAATCATCACAAAGTAGTTTCTGAGAAGGCTTCTATCTAGTATTTATGTGGAGATATTTCCTTTTCCACCACAAACCTCACAGCCCTCCCAATGTCCACTTGCAGATTCTAGAAAAAGAGTGTTTCATAGCTGCTCTTTCCGAAGGAAAGTTCAACTCTGGAAGTTGAATACAAACATCACCAAGGAGTTCCTGAGAATGCTTCTGTGTAATTTTTATGTGAAGATGATTCCGTTTCCAACGAAACCTTCAAAGAGGTCTGCATGTCCCCTTGCAGATGCCACAGAAAGAGAGTTTCCAAACTGCGCTCTCAAAAGGAGTGTTGAACTCTGTGAGTTGAATGCAGTCATCACAGAAAAGTTTCTGAGAATGCTTCTGTCTAGATGTTATGTGAAGATATACCCGTTTCGAACGAAGTCCACAGAGTGGTCCGAATATCCACTTGTAGATCCTGCAAAAAGAGTGTTTCCAACCTGAACTTTCAAAGGAAGGTTCAATTCTGGGATTTGAATGCAAACATCACAGGAAGATTCTGAGACTGCTTCTGTTTACTTAGCTGAAATTATCCCGTTTGCAACGAATTCCTCAGACAGGTCCAAATATCCACTTGCAGATTCTACAGAAAGTGTGTTTCGAAACTACTCCATCCCAAGGAAAGTACTGCTCTGTGAGTTCAACTCAATCATCCCAGAGAATTTTCTGAGAAAGCTTCTGTCTTGTTTTTATAGGAAGTTATTTCCTTTACTACGATAGGCCTCAAAGAAGTGCAGTTATCCACTTGCAGTTTCTACGAAAAGAGTGTTTCAAACCTGAACTATCAAAGAAAGGTTCAACACTGTGGGTTGAATGCAAACATCACGAAGAAGGTTCTGAGAATGCTTCTGTTTAGTTCTGTGCGGTTTATCCCGTTTCCAACGAAATCCTCAGAGAGGCCCAAGTATCCGCTTGCAGATCCTACAGATAGTGTGTTTCCAAACTGCTCCATCCAAAGGAATGTTCAGCCCTGTGAGTTAAACTCAGTCGTCACAAAGAGTTTTCTGAGAATTCTGCTGTCTAGTTTTTATATGAAGCTGTTTCCTTTACTACCATAGGCCTCAAAGCGGTCCATATCTCCACTTGCAGATTCTACACAACGAGAGTTTCCAAAGTGCTCTCTGAAAGGGAATGTTCACCTCTGTGACTTGAATGCAATCGTCACAAAGTAGTTTCTGAGAATGCATCTATCTAGTTCTTACGGGAAGATAATTCCTTTTCCACCTCAGGCCTCAAAGCCCTCCAAATATCCACTTGCAGATTCTAGAAAAAGAGTGTTTCAAAGCTTCTCTCTCAAAAGGAAAGTTCAACTCTGTGAGTTGAAAGCAAACATCACAAAGAAGTTTCTGAGAATGCTTCTGTTTAGCTTTTCTGTGAAGATTATCCCGTTTCCAACGAAATCTTCAAAGAGGCCCAAACATCCACTTGCAGATGCCACAGAAAGAGTGTTTGGAAACTGCTGTTTGAAAAGGAACCTTCAACTCTGTGAGTTGAATGCAGTCATCACAAACAAGTTTCTGACAATGCTTCTCTCTAGTTTTTACGTGACGATAATTCGTTTTCCACCACAGGCCTGAAATCTCTCCAAATGTCCACTTGCAGACCCTACGAAAAGCATGTTTCTCATCTGCTCTATGAAAAGCAACGTGAAACTCTGTGAGTTGAACACAAACATCACAGAGAAGTTTCTGAGAATGCTTCTGTTTAGTTTTTATGTGAAGATATTCCCGTTTCCAAAGACATCTTCAAAGAGGACCACATATCCACTTGCAGATTCCACAAAAAGAGAGATTCAAAACTGCTCTATCCATAGGAGGGTTCAACGCTTTGAGTTGAATGCAATCATCACGGAGAAGTTTCTGAGAAGGCTTCTGTCTAGATTTTATTTGAAGATGTACCCGTTTCGAAGGAAGGCCAAAGAGTGGTCCAAATATCCACTTGCAGATCCTACAAAAAGAGTGTTTCAAACCTGAACTATCAAAGGAAGGTTCAACTCTGGGATTTGAAAGCAAACATCACGAAGAATTTTGTGAGAATGCTTCCGTTTAGTTAGGTGCAGTTATCCCGTTTCCAACGAAATCCTCAGAGAGGTCCAAATATCCACTCGCAGATTCTACAGAAAGTGTGTTTCAAACCTTCTCCATCCAAAGGAATGTTCAGCTCTGTGTGTTAAACTCAATCATCACAAAGTATTTTCTGAGAATGCTTCTGTCTAGATTTTATGTGAAGCTCTTCCCTTTACTACCATAGGCCTCAAAGCGCTCCAAATCTCCACTAGCAGATTCTACAACAAGAGTGTTTCCAAACTGCTCTGTCAATAGGAATGCTCCACTCCGTGAGGTGAATGCAATCATCACAAAGTAGTTTCTGAGAAGGCTTCTATCTAGTATTTATGTGGAGATATTTCCTTTTCCACCACAAACCTCACAGCCCTCCCAATGTCCACTTGCAGATTCTAGAAAGAGAGTGTTTCATAGCTGCTCTTTCCGAAGGAAAGTTCAACTCTGGAAGTTGAATACAAACATCACCAAGGAGTTCCTGAGGATGCCTCTGTGTAATTTTTATGTGAAGATGATTCCGTTTCCAACGAAACCTTCAAAGAGGTCTGCATGTCCCCTTGCAGATTCCAGAGAAAGAGAGTTTCAAAACTGCGCTCTCAAAAGGAGTGTTCAACTCTGTGAGTTGAATGCAGTCATCACAGAAAAGTTTCTGAGAATGCTTCCTGTCTAGATGTTATGTGAAGATATACCCGTTTCGAACGAAGTCCACAGAGTGGTCCGAATATCCACTTGTAGATCCTGCATAAAGAGTGTTTCCAACCTGAACTTTCAAAGGAAGGTTCAATTCTGGGATTTGAATGCAAACATCACAAGAAGTTTCTGAGACTGCTTCTCTTTACTTAGCTGAAATTATCCCGTTTGCAACGAATTCCTCAGACAGGTCCAAATATCCACTTGCAGATTGTACAGAAAGTGTGTTTCGAAACTACTCCATCCCAAAGAAAGTACTGCTCTGTGAGTTCAACTCAATCATCCCAGAGAATTTTCTGAGAAAGCTTCTGTCTTGTTTTTATAGGAAGTTATTTCCTTTACTACGACAGGCCTCAAAGAAGTGCAGTTATCCACTTGCAGTTTCTACAAAAAGAGTGTTTCAAACCTGAACTATCAAAGAAAGGTTCAACACTGTGGGTTGAATGCAAACATCACGAAGAAGGTTCTGAGAATGCTTCTGTTTAGTTCTGTGCGGTTTATCCCGTTTCCAACGAAATCCTCAGGGAGGCCCAAGTATCCGCTTGCAGATCCTACAGATAGTGTGTTTCCAAACTGCTCCATCCAAAGGAATGTTCAGCCCTGTGAGTTAAACTCAGTCGTCACAAAGAGTTTTCTGAGAATGCTGCTGTCTAGTTTTTATATGAAGCTGTTTCCTTTACTACCATAGGCCTCAAAGCGGTCCATATCTCCACTTGCAGATTCTACACAACGAGAGTTTCCAAAGTGCTCTGTGAAAGGGAATGTTCACCTCTGTGACTTGAATGCAATCGTCACAAAGTAGTTTCTGAGAATGCATCTATCTAGTTCTTACGGGAATATAATTCCTTTTCCACCTCAGGCCTCAAAGCCCTCCAAATATCCACTTGCAGGTTCTAGAAAAAGAGTGTTTCAAAGCTTCTCTCTCAAAAGGAAAGTTCAACTCTGTGAGTTGAAAGCAAACATCACAAGGAAGTTTCTGAGAATGCTTCTGTTTAGCTTTTCTGTGAAGATTATCCCGTTTCCAACGAAATCTTCAAAGAGGCCCAAACATCCACTTGCAGATGCCACAGAAAGAGTGTTTGGAAACTGCTGTTTGAAAAGGAACCTTCAACTCTGTGAGTTGAATGCAGTCATCACAAACAAGTTTCTGACAATGCTTCTCTCTAGTTTTTACGTGACGATAATTCGTTTTCCACCACAGGCCTGAAATCTCTCCAAATGTCCACTTGCAGACCCTACGAAAAGCATGTTTCTCATCTGCTCTATGAAAAGCAACGTGAAACTCTGTGAGTTGAACACAAACATCACAGAGAAGTTTCTGAGAATGCTTCTGTTTAGTTTTTATGTGAAGATATTCCCGTTTCCAAAGACAACTTCTAAGAGGACCACATATCCACTTGCAGATTCCACAAAAAGAGAGATTCAAAACTGCTCTATCCATAGGAGGGTTCAACGCTTTGAGTTGAATGCAAGCATCCCAGAGAAGTTTCTGAGAAGGCTTCTGTCTAGATTTTATTTGAAGATGTACCCGTTTTGAACGAAGGCCAAAGAGTGGTCCAAATATCCACCTGCAGATCCTACAAAAAGAGTGTTCCAAAGCTGAACTATCAAAGGAAGGTTCAACTCTGGGATTTGAATGCAAACATCACAAAGAATTTTGTGAGAATGCTTCCGTTTAGTTAGGTGCAGTTATCCGGTTTCCAAAGAAATCCTCAGAGAGGTCCCAATATCCACTCGCAGATTCTACAGAAAGTGTGTTTCAAACCTTCTCCATCCAAAGGAATGTTCAGCTCTGTGTGTTAAACTCAATCATCACAAAGTATTTTCTGAGAATGCTTCTGTCTAGATTTTATGTGAAGCTCTTCCCTTTACTACCATAGGCCTCAAAGCGCTCCAAATCTCCACTAGGAGATTCTACAACAAGAGTGTTTCCAAACTGCTCTGTCAATACGAATGCTCCACTCCGTGAGGTGAATGAAATCATCACAAAGTAGTTTCTGAGAAGGCTTCTATCTAGTATTTATGTGGAGATATTTCCTTTTCCACCACAAACCTCACAGCCCTCCCAATGTCCACTTGCAGATTCTAGAAAAAGAGTGTTTCATAGCTGCTCTTTCCGAAGGAAAGTTCAACTCTGGAAGTTGAATACAAACATCACCAAGGAGTTCCTGAGGATGCTTCTGTGTAATTTTTATGTGAAGATGATTCCGTTTCCAACGAAACCTTCAAAGAGGTCTGCATGTCCCCTTGCAGATTCCAGAGAAAGAGAGTTTCAAAACTGCGCTCTCTAAAGGAGTGTTCAACTCTCTGAGTTGAATGCAGTCATCACAGAAAAGTTTCTGAGAATGCTTCTGTCTAGATGTTATGTGAAGATATACCCGTTTCGAACGAAGTCCACAGAGTGGTCCGAATATCCACTTGTAGATCCTGCAAAAAGAGTGTTTCCAACCTGAACTTTCAAAGGAAGGTTCAATTCTGGGATTTGAATGCAACCATCACAAGAAGATTCTGAGACTGCTTCTGTTTACTTAGCTGAAATTATCCCGTTTGCAACGAATTCCTCAGACAGGTCCAAATATCCACTTGCAGATTCTACAGAAAGTGTGTTTCGAAACTACTCCATCCCAAGGAAAGTACTGCTCTGTGAGTTCAACTCAATCATCCCAGAGAATTTTCTGAGAAAGCTTCTGTCTTGTTTTTATAGGAAGTTATTTCCTTTACTACGATAGGCCTCAAAGAAGTGCAGTTATCCACTTGCAGTTTCTACAAAAAGAGTGTTTCAAACCTGAACTATCAAAGAAAGGTTCAACACTGTGGGTTGAATGCAAACGTCACGAAGAAGGTTCTGAGAATGCTTCTGTTTAGTTCTGTGCGGTTTATCCCGTTTCCAACGAAATCCTCAGGGTAGGCCCAAGTATCCGCTTGCAGATCCTACAGATAGTGTGTTTCCAAACTGCTCCATCCAAAGGAATGTTCAGCCCTGTGAGTTAAACTCAGTCGTCACAAAGAGTTTTCTGAGAATGCTGCTGTCTAGTTTTTATATGAAGCTTTTTCCTTTACTACCATAGGCCTCAAAGCGGTCCATATCTCCACTTGCAGATTCTACACAACGAGAGTTTCCAAAGTGCTCTGTGAAAGGGAATGTTCACCTCTGTGACTTGAATGCAATCGTCACAAAGTAGTTTCTGAGAATGCATCTATCTAGTTCTTACGGGAAGATAATTCCTGTTCCACCTCAGGCCTCAAAGCCCTACAAATATCCACTTGCAGATTCTAGAAAAAGAGTGTTTCAAAGCTTCTCTCTCAAAAGGAAAGTTCAACTCTGTGAGTTGAAAGCAAACATCACAAAGAAGTTTCTGAGCATGCTTCTGTTTAGCTTTTCTGTGAAGATTATCCCGTTTCCAACGAAATCTTCAAAGAGGCCCAAACATCCACTTGCAGATGCCACAGAAAGAGTGTTTGGAAACTGCTGTTTGAAAAGGAACCTTCAACTCTGTGAGTTGAATGCAGTCATCACAAACAAGTTTCTGACAATGCTTCTCTCTAGTTTTTACGTGACAATAATTCGTTTTCCACCACAGGCCTGAAAGCTCTCCAAATGTCCACTTGCAGACCCTACGAAAAGCATGTTTCTCATCTGCTCTATGAAAAGCAACGTGAAACTCTGTGAGTTGAACACAAACATCACAGAGAAGTTTCTGAGAATGCTTCTGTTTAGTTTTTATGTGAAGATATTCCCGTTTCCAAAGACATCTTCAAAGAGGACCACACATCCACTTGCAGATTCCACAAAAAGAGAGATTCAAAACTGCTCTATCCATAGGAGGGTTCAACGCTGTGAGTTGAATTCAATCGTCACAGAGAAGTTTCTGAGAAGGCTTCTGTCTAGATTTTATTTGAAGATGTACCCGTTTCGAACGAAGGCCAAAGAGTTGTCCAAATATCCACCTGCAGATCCTACAAAAAGAGTGTTTCAAACCTGAACTATCAAAGGAAGGTTCAACTCTGAGATTTGAATGCAAACATCACAAAGAATTTTGTGAGAATGCTTCCGTTTAGTTAGGTGCAGTTATCCCGTTTCCAACGAAATCCTCAGAGAGGTCCAAATATCCACTCGCAGATTCTACAGAAAGTGTGTTTCAAACCTTCTCCATCCAAAGGAATGTTCAGCTCTGTGTGTTAAACTGAATCATCACAAAGTATTTTCTGAGAATGCTTCCGTCTAGATTTTATGTGAAGCTCTTCCCTTTACTACCATAGGCCTCAAAGCGCTCCAAATCTCCAGTAGCCGATTCTACAAGAAGAGTGTTTCCAAACTGCTCTGTCAATAGGAATGCTCCACTCCGTGAGGTGAATGCAATCATCACAAAGTAGTTTCTGAGAAGGCTTCTATCTAGTATTTACGTGGAGATATTTCCTTTTCCACCACAAACCTCACAGCCCTCCCAATGTCCACTTGCAGATTCTAGAAAAAGGGTGTTTCACAGCTGCTCCTTCCGAAGGAAAGTTCAACTCTGGATGTTGAATACAAACATCACCAAGGAGTTCCTGAGGATGCTTCTGTGTAATTTTTATGTGAAGATGATTCCGTTTCCAACGAAATCTTCAAAGAGGTCTGCATGTCCCCTTGCAGATTCCAGAGAAAGAGAGTTTCAAAACTGCGCTCTCAAAAGGAGTGTTCAACTCTGTGAGTTGAATGCAGTCATCACAGAAAAGTTTCTGAGAATGCTTCTGTCTAGATGTTATGTGAAGATATACCCGTTTCGAACGAAGTCCACAGAGTGGTCCGAATATCCACTTGTAGATCCTGCAAAAAGAGTGTTTCCAACCTGAACTTTCAAAGGAAGGTTCCATTCTGGGATTTGAATGCAAACATCACAAGAAGATTCTGAGACTGCTTCTGTTTACTTAGCTGAAATTATCCCGTTTGCAACGAATTCCTCAGACAGGTCCAAATATCCACTTGCAGATTCTACAGAAAGTGTGTTTCGAAACTACTCCATCCCAAGGAAAGTACTGCTCTGTGAGTTCAACTCAATCATCCCAGAGAATTTTCTGAGAAAGCTTCTGTCTTGTTTTTATAGGAAGTTATTTCCTTTACTACGATAGGCCTCAAAGAAGTGCAGTTATCCACCTGCAGTTTCTACAAAAAGAGTGTTTCAAACCTGAACTATCAAAGAAAGGTTCAACACTGTGGGTTGAATGCAAACATCACGAAGAAGGTTCTGAGAATGCTTCTGTTTAGTTCTGTGCGGTGTATCCCGTTTCCAACGAAATCCTCAGGGAGGCCCAAGTATCCGCTTGCAGATCCTACAGATAGTGTGTTTCCAAACTGCTCCATCCAAAGGAATGTTCAGCCCTGTGAGTTAAACTCAGTCGTCACAAAGGGTTTTCTGAGAATGCTGCTGTCTAGTTTTTATATGAAGCCGTTTCCTTTACTACCATAGGCCTCAAAGCGGTCCATATCTCCACTTGCAGATTCTACACAACGAGAGTTTCCAAAGTGCTCTCTGAAAGGGAATGTTCACCTCTGTGACTTGAATGCAATCGTCACAAAGTAGTTTCTGAGAATGCATCTATCTAGTTCTTACGGGAAGATAATTCCTTTTCCACCTCAGGCCTCAAAGCCCTCCAAATATCCACTTGCAGATTCTAGAAAAAGAGTGTTTCAAAGCTTCTCTCTCAAAAGGAAAGTTCAACTCTGTGAGTTGAAAGCAAACATCACAAAGAAGTTTCTGAGAATGCTTCTGTTTAGCTTTTCTGTGAAGAGTATCCCGTTTCCAACGAAATCTTCAAAGAGGCCCAAACATCCACTTGCAGATGCCACAGAAAGAGTGTTTGGAAACTGCTGTTTGAAAAGGAACCTTCAACTCTGTGAGTTGAATGCAGTCATCACAAACAAGTTTCTGACAATGCTTCTCTCTAGTTTTTACGTGACGATAATTCGTTTTCCACCACAGGCCTGAAATCTCTCCAAATGTCCACTTGCAGACCCTACGAAAAGCATGTTTCTCATCTGCTGTATGAAAAGCAACGTGAAACTCTGTGAGTTGAACACAAACATCACAGAGAAGTTTCTGAGAATGCTTCTGTTTAGTTTTAATGTGAAGATATTCCCGTTTCCAAAGACATCTTCAAAGAGGAACACATATCCACTTGCAGATTCCACAAAAAGAGAGATTCAAAACTGCTCTATCCATAGGAGGGTTCAACTCTTTGAGTTGAATGCAATCGTCACAGAGAAGTTTCTGAGAAGGCTTCTGTCTAGATTTCATTTGAAGATGTACCCGTTTCGAACGAAGGCCAAAGAGTCGTCCAAATATCCACTTGCAGAACCTACAAAAAGAATGTTTCAAAGCTGAACTATCAAAGGAAGGTTCAACTCTGGGATTTGAATGCAAACATCACAAAGAATTTTGTGAGAATGCTTCCGTTTAGTTAGGTGCAGTTATCCCATTTCCAACGAAATCCTCAGAGAGGTCCAAATATCCACTCGCAGATTCTACAGAAAGTGTGTTTCAAACCTTCTCCATCCAAAGGAATGTTCAGCTCTGTGTGTTAAACTCAATCATCACAAAGTATTTTCTGAGAATGCGTCTGTCTAGATTTTATGTGAAGCTCTTCCCTTTACTACCATAGGCCTCAAAGCGCTCCAAATCTCCACTAGCCGATTCTACGAGAAGAGTGTTTCCAAACTGCTCTGTCAATAGGAATGCTCCACTCCGTGAGGTGAATGCAATCATCACAAAGTAGTTTCTGAGAAGGCTTCTATCTAGTATTTATGTGGAGATATTTCCTTTTCCACCACAAACCTCACAGCCCTCCCAATGTCCACTTGCAGATTCTAGAAAAAGAGTGTTTCATAGCTGCTCTTTCCGAAGGAAAGTTCAACTCTGGAAGTTGAATACAAACATCACCAAGGAGTTCCTGAGAATGCTTCTGTGTAATTTTTATGTGAAGATGATTCCGTTTCCAACGAAACCTTCAAAGAGGTCTGCATGTCCCCTTGCAGATTCCAGAGAAAGAGAGTTTCAAAACTGCGCTCTCAAAAGGAGTGTTCAACTCTGTGAGTTGAATGCAGTCATCACAGAAAAGTTTCTGAGAATGCTTCTGTCTAGATGTTATGTGAAGATATAGCCGTTTCGAACGAAGTCCACAGAGTGGTCCGAATATCCACTTGTAGATCCTGCAAAAAGAGTGTTTCCAACCTGAACTTTCAAAGGAAGGTTCAATTCTGGGATTTGAATGCAAACATCACAAGAAGATTCTGAGACTGCTTCTGTTAATTAGCTGAAATTATCCCGTTTGCAACGAATTCCTCAGACAGGTCCAAATATCCACTTGCAGATTGTACAGAAAGTGTGTTTCGAAACTACTCCATCCCAAAGAAAGTACTGCTCTGTGAGTTCAACTCAATCATCCCAGAGAATTTTCTGAGAAAGCTTCTGTCTTGTTTTTATAGGAAGTTATTTCCTTTACTACGATAGGCCTCAAAGAAGTGCAGTTATCCACTTGCAGTTTCTATAAAAACAGTGTTTCAAACCTGAACTATCAAAGAAAGGTTCAACACTGTGGGTTGAATGCAAACATCACGAAGAAGGTTCTGAGAATGCTTCTGTTTAGTTCTGTGCGGTTTATCCCGTTTCCAACGAAATCCTCAGGGAGGCCCAAGTATCCGCTTGCAGATCCTACAGATAGTGTGTTTCCATACTGCTCCATCCAAAGGAATGTTCAGCCCTGTGAGTTAAACTCAGTCGTCACAAAGAGTTTTCTGAGAATGCTGCTGTCTAGTTTTTATATGAAGCTGTTTCCTTTACTACCATAGGCCTCAAAGCGGTCCATATCTCCACTTGCAGATTCTACACAACGAGAGTTTCCAAAGTGCTCTCTGAAAGGGAATGTTCACCTCTGTGACTTGAATGCAATCGTCACAAAGTAGTTTCTGAGAATGCATCTATCTAGTTCTTACGGGAAGATAATTCCTTTTCCACCTCAGGCCTCAAAGCCCTCCAAATATCCACTTGCAGATTCTAGAAAAAGAGTGGTTCAAAGCTTCTCTCTCAAAAGGAAAGTTCAACTCTGTGAGTTGAAAGCAAACATCACAAAGAAGTTTCTGAGAATGCTTCTGTTTAGCTTTTCTGTGAAGATTATCCCGTTTCCAACGAAATCTTCAAAGAGGCCCAAACATCCACTTGCAGATGCCACAGAAAGAGTGTTTGGAAACTGCTGTTTGAAAAGGAACCTTCAACTCTGTGAGTTGAATGCAGTCATCACAAACAAGTTTCTGACAATGCTTCTCTCTAGTTTTTACGTGACGATAATTCGTTTTCCACCACAGGCCTGAAATCTCTCCAAATGTCCACTTGCAGACCCTACGAAAAGCATGTTTCTCATCTGCTCTATGAAAAGCAACGTGAAACTCTGTGAGTTGAACACAAACATCACAGAGAAGTTTCTGAGAATGCTTCTGTTTAGTTTTTATGTGAACATATTCCCGTTTCCAAAGACATCTTCAAAGAGGACCACATATCCACTTGCAGATTCCACAAAAAGAGAGATTCAAAACTGCTCTATCCATAGGAGGGTTCAACGCTTTGAGTTGAATGCAATCATCACAGAGAAGTTTCTGAGAAGGCTTCTGTCTAGATTTTCTTTGAAGATGTAACCGTTTCGAACGAAGGCCAAAGAGTGGTCCAAATATCCACCAGCAGATCCTACAAAAAGAGTGTTTCAAAGCTGAACTATCAAAGGAAGGTTCAACTCTGGGATTTGAATGCAAACATCACAAAGAATTTTGTGAGAATGCTTCCGTTTAGTTAGGTGCAGTTATCCCGTTTCCAACGAAATCCTCAGAGAGGTCCAAATATCCACTCGCAGATTCTACAGAAAGTGTGTTTCAAACCTTCTCCATCCAAAGGAATGTGCAGCTCTGTGTGTTAAACTCAATCATCACAAAGTATTTTCTGAGAATGCTTCTGTCTAGATTTTATGTGAAGCTCTTCCCTTTACTACCATAGGCCTCAAAGCGCTCCAAATCTCCACTCGCCGATTCTACAACAAGAGTGTTTCCAAACTGCTCTGTCAATAGGAATGCTCCACTCCGTGAGGTGAATGCAATCATCACAAAGTAGTTTGTGAGAAGGCTTCTATGTAGTATTTATGTGGAGATATTTCCTTTTCCACCACAAACCTCACAGCCCTCCCAATGTCCACTTGCAGATTCTAGAAAAAGAGTGTTTCATAGCTGCTCTTTCCGAAGGAAAGTTCAACTCTGGAAGTTGAATACAAACATCACCAAGGAGTTCCTGAGAATGCTTCTGTGTAATTTTTATGTGAAGATGATTCCGTTTCCAACGAAACCTTCAAAGGGGTCTGCATGTCCCCTTGCAGATTCCAGAGAAAGAGAGTTTCAAAACTGCGCTCTCAAAAGGAGTGTTCAACTCTGTGAGTTGAATGCAGTCATCACAGAAAAGTTTCTGAGAATGCTTCTGTCTAGATGTTATGTGAAGGTATACCCGTTTCGAACGAAGTCCACAGAGTGGTCCGAATATCCACTTGTAGATCCTGCAAAAAGAGTGTTTCAAACCTGAACTTTCAAAGGAAGGTTCAATTCTGGGATTTGAATGCAAACATCACAAGAAGATTCTGAGACTGCTTCTGTTTACTTAGCTGAAATTATCCCGTTTGCAACGAATTCCTCAGACAGGTCCAAATATCCACTTGCAGATTCTACAGAAAGTGTGTTTCGAAACTACTCCATCCCAAGGAAAGTACTGCTCTGTGAGTTCAACTCAATCATCCCAGAGAATTTTCTGAGAAAGCTTCTGTCTTGTTTTTATGGGAAGTTATTTCCTTTACTACGATAGGCCTCAAAGAAGTGCAGTTATCCACTTGCAGTTTCTACAAAAAGAGTGTTTCAAACCTGAACTATCAAAGAAAGGTTCAACACTGTGGGTTGAATGCAAACGTCACGAAGAAGGTTCTGAGAATGCTTCTGTTTAGTTCTGTGCGGTTTATCCCGTTTCCAACGAAATCCTCAGAGAGGCCCAAGTATCCGCTTGCAGATCCTAGAGATAGTGTGTTTCCAAACTGCTCCATCGAAAGGAATGTTCAGCCCTTTGAGTTAAACTCAGTCGTCACAAAGAGTTTTCTGAGAATGCTGCTGTCTAGTTTTTATATGAAGCTGTTTCCTTTACTACCATAGGCCTCAAAGCGGTCCATATCTCCACTTGCAGATTCTACACAACGAGAGTTTCCAAAGTGCTCTGTGAAAGGGAATGTTCACCTCTGTGACTTGAATGCAATCGTCACAAAGTAGTTTCTGAGAATGCATCTATCTAGTTCTTACGGGAAGATAATTCCTTTTCCACCACAGGCCTCAAAGCCCTCCAAATATCCACTTGCAGATTCTAGAAAAAGAGTGTTTCAAAGCTTCTCTCTCAAAAGGAAAGTTCAACTCTGTGAGTTGAAAGCAAACATCACAAAGAAGTTTCTGAGAATGCTTCTGTTTAGCTTTTCTGTGAAGATTATCCCGTTTCCAACGAAATCTTCAAAGAGGCCCAAACATCCACTTGCAGATGCCACAGAAAGAGTGTTTGGAAACTGCTGTTTGAAAAGGAACCTTCAACTCTGTGAGTTGAATGCAGTCATCACAAACAAGTTTCTGACAATGCTTCCCTCTAGTTTTTACTTGACGATAATTCGTTTTCCACCACAGGCCTGAAATCTCTCCAAATGTCCACTTGCAGACCCTACGAAAAGAATGTTTCTCATCTGCTCTATGAAAAGCAACGTGAAACTCTGTGATTTGGACACAAACATCACAGAGAAGTTTCTGAGAATGCTTCTGTTTAGTTTTTATGTGAAGATATTCCCGTTTCCAAAGTCATCTCCAAAGAGGACCACATATCCACTTGCAGATTCCACAAAAAGAGAGATTCAAAACTGCCCTATCCATAGGAGGGTTCAACGCATTGAGTTGAATGCAATCATCACAGAGAAGTTTCTGAGAAGGCTTCTGTCTAGATTTTATTTGAAGATGTACTCGTTTTGAACGAAGGCCAAAGAGTGGTCCAAATATCCACCTGCAGATCCTACAAAAAGAGTGTTTCAAAGCTGAACTATCAAAGGAAGGTTCAACTCTGGGATTTGAATGCAAACATCACAAAGAATTTTGTGAGAATGCTTCCGTTTAGTTAGGTGCAGTTATCCCGTTTCCAACGAAATCCTCAGAGAGGTCCAAATATCCACTCGCAGATTCTATAGAAAGTGTGTTTCAAACCTTCTCCATCCAAAGGAATGTTCAGCTCTGTGTGTTAAACTCAATCATCACAAAGTATTTTCTGAGAATGCTTCTGTCTAGATTTTATGTGAAGCTCTTCCCTTTACTACCATAGGCCTCAAAGCGCTCCAAATCTCCACTAGCAGATTCTACAACAAGAGTGTTTCCAAACTGCTCTGTCAATAGGAATGCTCCACTCCGTGAGGTGAATGCAATCATCACAAAGTAGTTTCTGAGAAGGCTTCTATCTAGTATTTATGTGGAGATATTTCCTTTTCCACCACAAACCTCACAGCCCTCCCAATGTCCACTTGCAGATTCTAGAAAAAGGGTGTTTCATAGCTGCTCTTTCCGAAGGAAAGTTCAACTCTGGAAGTTGAATACAAACATCACCAAGGAGTTCCTAAGAATGCTTCTGTGTAATTTTTATGTGAAGATGATTCCGTTTCCAACGAAACCTTCAAAGAGGTCTGCATGTCCCCTTGCAGATTCCAGAGAAAGAGAGTTTCAAAACTGCGCTCTCAAAAGGAGTGTTCAACTCTGTGTGTTGAATGCAGTCATCACAGAAAAGTTTCTGAGAATGCTTCTGTCTAGATGTTATGTGAAGATATAGCCGTTTCGAACGAAGTCCACAGAGTGGTCCGAATATCCACTTGTAGATCCTGCAAAAAGAGTGTTTCCAACCTGAACTTTCAAAGGAAGGTTCAATTCTGGTATTTGAATGCAAACATCACAAGAAGATTCTGAGACTGCTTCTGTTAATTAGCTGAAATTATCCCGTTTGCAACGAATTCCTCAGACAGGTCCAAATATCCACTTGCAGATTGTACAGAAAGTGTGTTTCGAAACTACTCCATCCCAAAGAAAGTACTGCTCTGTGAGTTCAACTCAATCATCCCAGAGAATTTTCTGAGAAAGCTTCTGTCTTGTTTTTATAGGAAGTTATTTCCTTTACTACGATAGGCCTCAAAGAAGTGCAGTTATCCACTTGCAGTTTCTACAAAAAGAGTGTTTCAAACGTGAACTATCAAAGAAAGGTTCAACACTGTGGGTTGAATGCAAACATCGCGAAGAAGGTTCTGAGAATGCTTCTGTTTAGTTCTGTGCGGTTTATCCCGTTTCCCACGAAATCCTCAGGGAGGCCCAAGTATCCGCTTGCAGATCCTACAGATAGTGTGTTTCCAAACTGCTCCATCCAAAGGAATGTTCAGCCCTGTGAGTTAAACTCAGTCGTCACAAAGTGTTTTCTGAGAATGCTGCTGTCTAGTTTTTATATGAAGCTGTTTCCTTTACTACCATAGGCCTCAAAGCGGTCCATATCTCCACTTGCAGATTCTACACAACGAGAGTTTCCAAAGTGCTCTCTGAAAGGGAATGTTCACCTCTGTGACTTGAATGCAATCGTCACAAAGTAGTTTCTGAGAATGCATCTATCTAGTTCTTACGGGAAGATAATTCCTTTTCCACCACAGGATTCAAAGCCCTCCAAATATCCACTTGCAGATTCTAGAAAAAGAGTGTTTCAAAGCTTCTCTCTCAAAAGGAAAGTTCAACTCTGTGAGTTGAAAGCAAACGTCACAAAGAAGTTTCTGAGAATGCTTCTGTTTAGCTTTTCTGTGAAGATTATCCCGTTTCCAACGAAATCTTCAAAGAGGCCCAAACATCCACTTGCAGATGCCACAGAAAGAGTGTTTGGAAACTGCTGTTTGAAAAGGAACCTTCAACTCTGTGAGTTGAATGCAGTCATCACAAACAAGTTTCTGACAATGCTTCTCTCTAGTTTTTACGTGACGATAATTCGTTTTCCACCGCAGGCGGGAAATCTCTCCAAATGTCCACTTGCAGACCCTACGAAAAGCATGTTTCTCATCTGCTCTATGAAAAGCAACGTGAAACTCTGTGATTTGGACACAAACATCACAGAGAAGTTTCTGAGAATGCTTCTGTTTAGTTTTTATGTGAAGATATTCCCGTTTCCAAAGACATCTTCAAAGAGGACCACATATCCACTTGCAGATTCCACAAAAAGAGAGATTCAAAACTGCTCTATCCATAGGAGGGTTCAACGCTTTGAGTTGAATGCAATCGTCACAGAGAAGTTTCTGAGAAGGCTTCTGTCTAGATTTTATTTGAAGATGTACCCTTTTCGAACGAAGGCCAAAGAGTGGTCCAAATATCCACCTGCAGATCCTACAAAAAGAGTGTTTCAAAGCTGAACTATCAAAGGAAGGTTCAACTCTGGGATTTGAATGCAAACATCACAAAGAATTTTGTGAGAATGCTTCCGTTTAGTTAGGTGCAGTTATCCCGTTTCCAACGAAATCCTCAGAGAGGTCCAAATATCCACTCGCAGATTCTACAGAAAGTGTGTTTCAAACCTTCTCCATCCAAAGGAATGTTCAGCTCTGTGTGTTAAACTCAATCATCACAAAGTATTTTCTGAGAATGCTTCTGTCTAGATTTTATGTGAAGCTCTTCCCTTTACTACCATAGGCCTCAAAGCGCTCCAAATCTCCACTAGGAGATTCTACAACAAGAGTGTTTCCAAACTGCTCTGTCAATAGGAATGCTCCACTCCGTGAGGTGAATGCAATCATCACAAAGGAGTTTCTGAGAAGGCTTCTATCTAGTATTTATGTGGAGATATTTCCTTTTCCACCACAAACCTCACAGCCCTCCCAATGTCCACTTGCAGATTCTAGAAAAAGAGTGTTTCATAGCTGCTCTTTCCGAAGGAAAGTTCAACTCTGGAAGTTGAATACAAACATCACCAAGGAGTTCCTGAGGATGCTTCCGTGTAATTTTTATGTGAAGATGATTCCGTTTCCAACGAAACCTTCAAAGAGGTCTGCATGTCCCCTTGCAGATTCCAGAGAAAGAGAGTTTCAAAACTGCGCTCTCAAAAGGAGTGTTCAACTCTGTGAGTTGAATGCAGTCATCACAGAAAAGTTTCTGAGAATGCTTCTGTCTAGATGTTATGTGAAGATATACCCGTTTCAAACGAAGTCCACAGAGTGGTCCGAATATCCACTTGTAGATCCTGCAAAAAGAGTGTTTCCAACCTGAACTTTCAAAGGAAGGTTCCATTCTGGGATTTGAATGCAAACATCACAAGAAGATTCTGAGACTGCTTCTGTTTACTTAGCTGAAATTATCCCGTTTGCAACGAATTCCTCAGACAGGTCCAAATATCCACTTGCAGATTCTACAGAAAGTGTGTTTCGAAACTACTCCATCCCAAGGAAAGTACTGCTCTGTGAGTTCAACTCAATCATCGCAGAGAATTTTCTGAGAAAGCTTCTGTCTTGTTTTTATAGGAAGTTATTTCCTTTACTACGATAGGCCTCAAAGAAGTGCAGTTATCCACTTGCAGTTTCTACAGAAAGAGTGTTTCAAACCTGAACTATCAAAGAAATGTTCAACACTGTGGGTTGAATGCAAACATCACGAAGAAGGTTCTGAGAATGCTTCTGTTTCGTTCTGTGCGGTTTATCCCGTTTCCAACGCAATCCTCAGAGAGGCCCAAGTATCCGCTTGCAGATCCTACAGATAGTGTGTTTCCAAACTGCTCCATCCAAAGGAATGTTCAGCCCTGTGAGTTAAACTCAGTCGACACAAAGAGTTTTCTGAGAATGCTGCTGTCTAGTTTTTATATGAAGCTGTTTCCTTTACTACCATAGGCCTCAAAGCGGTCCATATCTCCACTTGCAGATTCTACACAACGAGAGTTTCCAAAGTGCTCTCTGAAAGGGAATGTTCACCTCTGTGACTTGAATGCAATCGTCACAAAGTAGTTTCTGAGAATGCATCTATCTAGTTCTTACGGGAAGATAATTCCTTTTCCACCTCAGGCCTCAAAGCCCTCCAAATATCCACTTGCAGATTCTAGAAAAAGAGTGTTTCAAAGCTTCTCTCTCAAAAGGAAAGTTCAACTCTGTGAGTTGAAAGCAAACATCACAAAGAAGTTTCTGAGAATGCTTCTGTTTAGCTTTTCTGTGAAGATTATCCCGTTTCCAACGAAATCTTCAAAGAGGCCCAAACATCCACTTGCAGATGCCACAGAAAGAGTGTTTGGAAACTGCTGTTTGAAAAGGAACCTTCAACTCTGTGAGTTGAATGCAGTCATCACAAACAAGTTTCTGACAATGCTTCTCTCTAGTTTTTACGTGACGATAATTCGCTTTCCACCACAGGCCTGAAATCTCTCCAAATGTCCACTTGCAGACCCTACGAAAAGCATGTTTCTCATCTGCTCTATGAAAAGCAACGTGAAACTCTGTGAGTTGAACACAAACATCACAGAGAAGTTTCTGAGAATGCTTCTGTTTAGTTTTTATGTGAAGATATTCCCGTTTCCAAAGACATCTTCAAAGAGGACCACATATCCACTTGCAGATTCCACAAAAAGAGAGATTCAAAACTGCTCTATCGATAGGAGGGTTCAACGCTTTGAGTTGAATGCAATCGTCACAGAGAAGTTTCTGAGAAGGCTTCTGTCTAGATTTTATATGAAGATGCAGCCGTTTCGAAGGAAGGCCAAAGAGTGGTCCAAATATCCACTTGCAGATCCTACAAAAAGAGTGTTTCAAAGCTGAACTATCAAAGGAAGGTTCAACTCTGGGATTTGAATGCAAACATCACGAAGAATTTTGTGAGAATGCTTCCGTTTAGTTAGGTGCAGTTATCCCGTTTCCAACGAAATCCTCAGAGAGGTCCAAATATCCACTCGCAGATTCTACAGAAAGTGTGTTTCAAACCTTCTCCATCCAAAGGAATGTTCAGCTCTGTGTGCTAAACTCAATCATCACAAAGTATTTTCTGAGAATGCTTCTGTCTTGATTTTATGTGAAGCTCTTCCCTTTACTACCATAGGCCTCAAAGCGCTCCAAATCTCCACTAGCAGATTCTACAACAAGAGTGTTTCCAAACTGCTCTGTCAATAGGAATGCTCCACTCCGTGAGGTGAATCCAATCATCACAAAGTAGTTTCTGAGAAGGCTTCTATCTAGTATTTATGTGGAGATATTTCCTTTTCCACCACAAACCTCACAGCCCTCCCAATGTCCACTTGCAGATTCTAGAAAAAGAGTGTTTCATAGCTGCTCTTTCCGAAGGAAAGTTCAACTCTGGAAGTTGAATACAAACATCACCAAGGAGTTCCTGAGGATGCTTCTGTGTAATTTTTATGTGAAGATGATTCCGTTTCCAACGAAACCTTTAAAGAGGTCTGCATGTCCCCTTGCAGATTCCAGAGAAAGAGAGTTTCAAAACTGCGCTCTCAAAAGGAGTGTTCAACTCTGTGAGTTGAATGCAGTCATCACAGAAAAGTTTCTGAGAATGCTTCTGTCTAGATGTTATGTGAAGATATACCCGTTTCGAACGAAGTCCACAGAGTGGTCCGAATATCCACTTGTAGATCCTGCAAAAAGAGTGTTTCCAACCTGAACTTTCAAAGGAAGGTTCCATTCTGGGATTTGAATGCAAACATCACAAGAAGATTCTGAGACTGCTTCTGTTTACTTAGCTGAAATTATCCCGTTTGCAACGAATTCCTCAGACAGGTCCAAATATCCACTTGCAGATTCTACAGAAAGTGTGTTTCGAAACTACTCCATCCCAAGGAAAGTACTGCTCTGTGAGTTCAACTCAATCATCCCAGAGAATTTTCTGAGAAAGCTTCTGTCTTGTTTTTATAGGAAGTTATTTCCTTTACTACGATAGGCCTCAAAGAAGTGCAGTTATCCACTTGCAGTTTCTACAAAAAGAGTGTTTCAAACCTGAACTATCAAAGAAAGGTTCAACACTGTGGGTTGAATGCAAACATCACGAAGAAGGTTCTGAGAATGCTTCTGTTTAGTTCTGTGCGGTTTATCCCGTTTCCCACGAAATCCTCAGGGAGGCCAAAGTATCCGCTTGCAGATCCTACAGATAGTGTGTTTCCAAACTGCTCCATCCAAAGGAATGTTCAGCCCTGTGAGTTTAACTCAGTCGTCACAAAGAGTTTTCTGAGAATGCTGCTGTCTAGTTTTTATATGAAGCTGTTTCCTTTACTACCATAGGCCTCAAAGCGGTCCATATCTCCACTTGCAGATTCTACACAACGAGAGTTTCCAAAGTGCTCTCTGAAAGGGAATGTTCACCTCTGTGACTTGAATGCAATCGTCACAAAGTAGTTTCTGAGAATGCATCTATCTAGTTCTTACGGGAAGATAATTCCTTTTCCACCACAGGCCTCAAAGCCCTCCAAATATCCACTTGCAGATTCTAGAAAAAGAGTGTTTCAAAGCTTCTCTCTCAAAAGGAAAGTTCAACTCTGTGAGTTGAAAGCAAACATCACAAAGAAGTTTCTGAGAATGCTTCTGTTTAGCTTTTCTGTGAAGATTATCCCGTTTCCAACGAAATCTTCAAAGAGGCCCAAACATCCACTTGCAGATGCCACAGAAAGAGTGTTTGGAAACTGCTGTTTGAAAAGGAACCTCCAACTCTGTGAGTTGAATGCAGTCATCACAAACAAGTTTCTGACAATGCTTCTCTCTAGTTTTTACGTGACGATAATTCGTTTTCCACCACAGGCCTGAAATCTCTCCAAATGTCCACTTGCAGACCCTACGAAAAGCATGTTTCTCATCTGCTCTATGAAAAGCAACGTGAAACTCTGTGAGTTGGACACAAACATCACAGAGAAGTTTCTGAGAATGCTTCTGTTTAGTTTTTATGTGAAGATATTCCCGTTTCCAAAGACATCTTCAAAGAGGACCACATATCCACTTGCAGATTCCACAAAAAGAGAGATTCAAAACTGCTCTATCCATAGGAGGGTTCAACGCTTTGAGTTGAATGCAATCGTCACAGAGAAGTTTCTGAGAAGGCTTCTGTCTAGTTTTCATTTGAAGATGTACCCGTTTCGAACGAAGGCCAAAGAGTCGTCCAAATATCCACTTGCAGAACCTACAAAAAGAATGTTTCAAAGCTGAACTATCAAAGGAAGGTTCAACTCTGGGATTTGAATGCAAACATCACAAAGAATTTTGTGAGAATGCTTCCGTTTAGTTAGGTGCAGTTATCCCGTTTCCAACGAAATCCTCAGAGAGGTCCAAATATCCACTCGCAGATTCTACAGAAAGTGTGTTTCAAACCTTCTCCATCCAAAGGAATGTTCAGCTCTGTGTGTTAAACTCAATCATCACAAAGTATTTTCTGAGAATGCGTCTGTCTAGATTTTATGTGAAGCTCTTCCCTTTACTACCATAGGCCTCAAAGCGCTCCAACTCTCCACTAGCCGATTCTACAAGAAGAGTGTTTCCAAACTGCTCTGTCAATAGGAATGCTCCACTCCGTGAGGTGAATGCAGTCATCACAAAGTAGTTTCTGAGAAGGCTTCTATCTAGTATTTATGTGGAGATATTTCCTTTTCCACCACAAACCTCACAGCCCTCCCAATGTCCACTTGCAGATTCTAGAAAAAGAGTGTTTCATAGCTGCTCTTTCCGAAGGAAAGTTCAACTCTGGAAGTTGAATACAAACATCACCAAGGAGTTCCTGAGGATGCTTCCGTGTAATTTTTATGTGAAGATGATTCCGTTTCCAACGAAACCTTCAAAGAGGTCTGCATGTCCCCTTGCAGATTCCAGAGAAGGAGAGTTGCAAAACTGCGCTCTCAAAAGGAGTGTTCAACTCTGTGAGTTGAATGCAGTCATCACAGAAAAGTTTCTGAGAATGCTTCTGTCTAGATGTTATGTGAAGATATACCCGTTTCGAACGAAGTCCACAGAGTGGTCCGAATATCCACTTGTAGATCCTGCAAAAAGAGTGTTTCCAACCTGAACTTTCAAAGGAAGGTTCCATTCTGGGATTTGAATGCAAACATCACAAGAAGATTCTGAGACTGCTTCTGTTTACTTAGCTGAAATTATCCCGTTTGCAACGAATTCCTCAGACAGGTCCAAATATCCACTTGCAGATTCTACAGAAAGTGTGTTTCGAAACTACTCCATCCCAAGGAAAGTACTGCTCTGTGAGTTCAACTCAATCATCCCAGAGAATTTTCTGAGAAAGCTTCTGTCTTGTTTTTATAGGAAGTTATTTCCTTTACTACGATAGGCCTCAAAGAAGTGCAGTTATCCACCTGCAGTTTCTACAAAAAGAGTGTT
Organism: Homo sapiens; assembly: GCF_000001405.40. Taxonomy (NCBI): domain Eukaryota; kingdom Metazoa; phylum Chordata; class Mammalia; order Primates; family Hominidae; genus Homo; species Homo sapiens. The sequence goes on along the minus strand of NC_000017.11, from coordinate 22,942,938 downwards.
TCAAACCTGAACTATCAAAGAAAGGTTCAACACTGTGGGTTGAATGCAAACATCACGAAGAAGGTTCTGAGAATGCTTCTGTTTAGTTCTGTGCAGTGTATCCCGTTTCCAACGAAATCCTCAGGGAGGCCCAAGTATCCGCTTGCAGATCCTACAGATAGTGTGTTTCCAAACTGCTCCATCCAAAGGAATGTTCAGCCCTGTGAGTTAAACTCAGTCGTCACAAAGAGTTTTCTGAGAATGCTGCTGTCTAGTTTTTATATGAAGCTGTTTCCTTTACTACCATAGGCCTCAAAGCGGTCCATATCTCCACTTGCAGATTCTACACAACGAGGGTTTCCAAAGTGCTCTCTGAAAGGAAATGTTCACCTCTGTGACTTGAATGCAATCGTCACAAAGTAGTTTCTGAGAATGCATCTATCTAGTTCTTACGGGAAGATAATTCCTTTTCCACCACAGGCCTCAAAGCCCTCCAAATATCCACTTGCAGATTCTAGAAAAAGAGTGTTTCAAAGCTTCTCTCTCAAAAGGAAAGTTCAACTCTGTGAGTTGAAAGCGAACATCACAAAGAAGTTTCTGAGAATGCTTCTGTTTAGCTTTTCTGTGAAGATTATCCCGTTTCCAACGAAATCTTCAAAGAGGCCCAAACATCCACTTGCAGATGCCACAGAAAGAGTGTTTGGAAACTGCTGTTTGAAAAGGAATCTTCAACTCTTTGAGTGGAATGCAGTCATCACAAACAAGTTTCTGACAATGCTTCTCTCTAGTTTTTACGTGACGATAATTCGTTTTCCACCACAGGTCTGAAATCTCTCCAAATGTCCACTTGCAGACCCTACGAAAAGCATGTTTCTCATCTGCTCTATGAAAAGCAACGTGAAACTCTGTGAGTTGAACACAAACATCACAGAGAAGTTTCTGAGAATGCTTCTGTTTAGTTTTTATGTGAAGATATTCCCGTTTCCAAAGACATCTTCAATGAGGACCACATATCCACTTGCAGATTCCACAAAAAGAGAGATTCAAAACTGCTCTATCCATAGGAGGGTTCAACTCTTTGAGTTGAATGCAATCGTCACAGAGAAGTTTCTGAGAAGGCTTCTGTCTAGATTTTATTTGAAGATGTACCCGTTTCGAATGAAGGCCAAAGAGTTGTCCAAATATCCACCTGCAGATCCTACAAAAAGAGTGTTTCAAAGCTGAACTATCAAAGGAAGGTTCAACTCTGGGATTTGAATGCAAACATCACAAAGAATTTTGTGAGAATGCTTCCGTTTAGTTAGGTGCAGTTATCCCGTTTCCAACGAAATCCTCAGAGAGGTCCAAATATCCACTCGCAGATTCTACAGAAAGTGTGTTTCAAACCTTCTCCATCCAAAGGAATGTTCAGCTCTGTGTGTTAAACTCAATCATCACAAAGTATTTTCTGAGAATGCTTCTGTCTAGATTTTATGTGAAGCTCTTCCCTTTACTACCATAGGCCTCAAAGCGCTCCAAATCTCCACTAGCCGATTCTACAAGAAGAGTGTTTCCAAACTGCTCTGTCAATAGGAATGCTCCACTCCGTGAGGTGAATGCAATCATCACAAAGTAGTTTCTGAGAAGGCTTCTATCTAGTATTTATGTGGAGATATTTCCTTTTCCACCACAAACCTCACAGCCTTCCCAATGTCCACTTGCAGATTCTAGAAAAAGTGTGTTTCATAGCTGCTCTTTCCGAAGGAAAGTTCAACTCTGGAAGTTGAATACAAACATCACCAAGGAGTTCCTGAGGATGCTTCTGTGTAATTTTTATGTGAAGATGATTCCGTTTCCAACGAAACCTTCAAAGAGGTCTGCATGTCCCCTTGCAGATTCCAGAGAAAGAGAGTTTCAAAACTGCGCTCTCAAAAGGAGTGTTCAACTCTGTGAGTTGAATGCAGTCATCACAGAAAAGTTTCTGAGAATGCTTCTGTCTAGATGTTATGTGAAGATATACCCATTTCGAACGAAGTCCACAGAGTGGTCCGAATATCCACTTGTAGATCCTGCAAAAAGAGTGTTTCCAACCTGAACTTTCAAAGGAAGGTTCAATTCTGGGATTTGAATGCAAACATCACAAGAAGATTCTGAGACTGCTTCTGTTTACTTAGCTGAAATTATCCCGTTTGCAACGAATTCCTCAGACAGGTCCAAATATCCACTTGCAGATTCTACAGAAAGTGTGTTTCGAAACTACTCCATCCCAAGGAAAGTACTGCTCTGTGAGTTCAACTCAATCATCCCAGAGAATTTTCTGAGAAAGCTTCTGTCTTGTTTTTATAGGAAGTTATTTCCTTTACTACGATAGGCCTCAAAGAAGTGCAGTTATCCACTTGCAGTTTCTACAAAAAGAGTGTTTCAAACCTGAACTATCAAAGAAAGGTTCAACACTGTGGGTTGAATGCAAACATCACGAAGAAGGTTTTGAGAATGCTTCTGTTTAGTTCTGTGCAGTGTATCCCGTTTCCAACGAAATCCTCAGGGAGGCCCAAGTATCCGCTTGCAGATCCTACAGATAGTGTGTTTCCAAACTGCTCCATCCAAAGGAATGTTCAGCCCTGTGAGTTAAACTCAGTCGTCACAAAGAGTTTTCTGGGAATGCTGCTGTCTAGTATTTATATGAAGCTGTTTCCTTTACTACCATAGGCCTCAAAGCGGTCCATATCTCCACTTGCAGATTCTACACAACGAGAGTTTCCAAAGTGCTCTCTGAAAGGGAATGTTCACCTCTGTGACTTGAATGCAATCGTCACAAAGTAGTTTCTGAGAATGCATCTTTCTAGTTCTTACGGGAAGATAATTCCTTTTCCACCTCAGGCCTCAAAGCCCTCCAAATATCCACTTGCAGATTCTAGAAAAAGAGTGTTTCAAAGCTTCTCTCTCAAAAGGAAAGTTCAACTCTGTGAGTTGAAAGCAAACATCACAAAGAAGTTTCTGAGAATGCTTCTGTTTAGCTTTTCTGTGAAGAGTATCCCGTTTCCAACGAAATCTTCAAAGAGGCCCAAACATCCACTTGCAGATGCCACAGAAAGAGTGTTTGGAAACTGCTGTTTGAAAAGGAACCTTCAACTCTGTGAGTTGAATGCAGTCATCACAAACAAGTTTCTGACAATGCTTCTCTCTAGTTTTTACGTGACGATAATTCTTTTTCCACCACAGGCCTGAAATCTCTCCAAATGTCCACTTGCAGACCCTACGAAAAGCATGTTTCTCATCTGCTCTATGAAAAGCAACGTGAAACTCTGTGAGTTGAACACAAACATCACAGACAAGTTTCTGAGAATGCTTCTGTTTAGTTTTTATGTGAAGATATTCCCGTTTCCAAAGACATCTTCAAAGAGGACCACATATCCACTTGCAGATTCCACAAAAAGAGAGATTCAAAACTGCTCTATCCATAGGAGGGTTCAACGCTTTGAGTTGAATGCAATCATCACGGAGAAGTTTCTGAGAAGGCTTCTGTCTAGATTTTATTTGAAGATGTACCCGTTTCGAAGGAAGGCCAAAGAGTGGTCCAAATATCCACTTGCAGATCCTACAAAAAGAGTGTTTCAAACCTGAACTATCAAAGGAAGGTTCAACTCTGGGATTTGAAAGCAAACATCACGAAGAATTTTGTGAGAATGCTTCCGATTAGTTAGGTGCAGTTATCCCGTTTCCAACGAAATCCTCAGAGAGGTCCAAATATCCACTCGCAGATTCTACAGAAAGTGTGTTTCAAACCTGCTCCATCCAAAGGAATGTTCAGCTCTGTGTGTTAAACTCAATCATCACAAAGTATTTTCTCAGAATGCTTCTGTCTAGATTTTATGTGAAGCTCTTCCCTTTACTACCATAGGCCTCAAAGCGCTCCAAATCTCCACTAGCAGATTCTACAACAAGAGTGTTTCCAAACTGCTCTGTCAATAGGAATGCTCCACTCCGTGAGGTGAATGCAATCATCACAAAGTAGTTTCTGAGAAGGCTTCTATCTAGTATTTATGTGGAGATATTTCCTTTTCCACCACAAACCTCACAGCCCTCCCAATGTCCACTTGCAGATTCTAGAAAAAGAGTGTTTCATAGCTGCTCTTTCCGAAGGAAAGTTCAACTCTGGAAGTTGAATACAAACATCACCAAGGAGTTCCTGAGAATGCTTCTGTGTAATTTTTATGTGAAGATGATTCCGTTTCCAACGAAACCTTCAAAGAAGGTCTGCATGTCCCCTTGCAGATTCCAGAGAAAGAGAGTTTCAAAACTGCGCTCTCAAAAGGAGTGTTCAACTCTGTGAGTTGAATGCAGTCATCACAGAAAAGTTTCTGAGAATGCTTCTGTCTAGATGTTATGTGAAGATATACCCGTTTCGAACGAAGTCCACAGAGTGGTCCGAATATCCACTTGTAGATCCTGCAAAAAGAGTGTTTCCAACCTGAACTTTCAAAGGAAGGTTCAATTCTGGGATTTGAATGCAAACATCACAGGAAGATTCTGAGACTGCTTCTGTTTACTTAGCTGAAATTATCCCGTTTGCAACGAATTCCTCAGACAGGTCCAAATATCCACTTGCAGATTCTACAGAAAGTGTGTTTCGAAACTACTCCATCCCAAGGAAAGTACTGCTCTGTGAGTTCAACTCAATCATCCCAGAGAATTTTCTGAGAAAGCTTCTGTCTTGTTTTTATAGGAAGTTATTTCCTTTACTACGATAGGCCTCAAAGAAGTGCAGTTATCCACTTGCAGTTTCTACAAAAAGAGTGTTTCAAACCTGAACTATCAAAGAAAGGTTCAACACTGTGGGTTGAATGCAAACGTCACGAAGAAGGTTCTGAGAATGCTTCTGTTTAGTTCTGTGCGGTTTATCCCGTTTCCAACGAAATCCTCAGGGAGGCCCAAGTATCCGCTTGCAGATCCTACAGATAGTGTGTTTCCAAACTGCTCCATCCAAAGGAATGTTCAGCCCTGTGAGTTAAACTCAGTCGTCACAAAGAGTTTTCTGAGAATGCTGCTGTCTAGTTTTTATATGAAGCTGTTTCCTTTACTACCATAGGCCTCAAAGCGGTCCATATCTCCACTTGCAGATTCTACACAACGAGAGTTTCCAAAGTGCTCTGTGAAAGGGAATGTTCACCTCTGTGACTTGAATGCAATCGTCACAAAGTACTTTCTGAGAATGCATCTATCTAGTTCTTACGGGAAGATAATTCCTTTTCCACCTCAGGCCTCAAAGCCCTCCAAATATCCACTTGCAGATTCTAGAAAAAGAGTGTTTCAAAGCTTCTCTCTCAAAAGGAAAGTTCAACTCTGTGAGTTGAAAGCAAACATCACAAAGAAGTTTCTGAGAATGCTTCTGTTTAGCTTTTCTGTGAAGATTATCCCGTTTCCAACGAAATCTTCAAAGAGGCCCAAACATCCACTTGCAGATGCCACAGAAAGAGTGTTTGGAAACTGCTGTTTGAAAAGGAACCTTCAACTCTGTGAGTTGAATGCAGTCATCACAAACAAGTTTCTGACAATGCTTCTCTCTAGTTTTTACGTGACGATAATTCGTTTTCCACCACAGGCCTGAAAGCTCTCCAAATGTCCACTTGCAGACCCTACGAAAAGCATGTTTCTCATCTGCTCTATGAAAAGCAACGTGAAACTCTGTGAGTTGAACACAAACATCACAGAGAAGTTTCTGAGAATGCTTCTGTTTAGTTTTTATGTGAAGATATTCCCGTTTCCAAAGACATCTTCAAAGAGGACCACATATCCACTTGCAGATTCCACAAAAAGAGAGATTCAAAACTGCTCTATCCATAGGAGGGTTCAACGCTTTGAGTTGAATGCAATCGTCACAGAGAAGTTTCTGAGAAGGCTTCTGTCTAGATTTTATTTGAAGATGTACCCGTTTTGAACGAAGGCCAAAGAGTGGTCCAAATATCCACCTGCAGAGCCTACAAAAAGAGTGTTTCAAAGCTGAACTATCAAAGGAAGGTTCAACTCTGGGATTTGAATGCAAACATCACAAAGAATTTTGTGAGAATGCTTCCGTTTAGTTAGGTGCAGTTATCCCGTTTCCAACGAAATCCTCAGAGAGTTCCAAATATCCACTCGCAGATTCTACAGAAAGTGTGTTTCAAACCTTCTCCATCCAAAGGAATGTGCAGCTCTGTGTGTTAAACTCAATCATCACAAAGTATTTTCTGAGAATGCTTGTGTCTAGATTTTATGTGAAGCTCTTCCCTTTACTACCATAGGCCTCAAAGCGCTCCAAATCTCCACTAGCAGATTCTACAACAAGAGTGTTTCCAAACTGCTCTTTCAATAGGAATGCTCCACTCCGTGAGGTGAATGCAATCATCACAAAGTAGTTTCTGAGAAGGCTTCTATGTAGTATTTATGTGGAGATATTTCCTTTTCCACCACAAACCTCACAGCCCTCCCAATGTCCACTTGCAGATTCTAGAAAAAGAGTGTTTCATAGCTGCTCTTTCCGAAGGAAAGTTCAACTCTGGAAGTTGAATACAAACATCACCAAGGAGTTCCTGAGAATGCTTCTGTGTAATTTTTATGTGAAGATGATTCCCGTTTCCAACGAAACCTTCAAAGAGGTCTGCATGTCCCCTTGCAGATTCCAGAGAAAGAGAGTTTCAAAACTGCGCTCTCAAAAGGAGTGTTCAACTCTGTGAGTTGAATGCAGTCATCACAGAAAAGTTTCTGAGAATGCTTCTGTCTAGATGTTATGTGAAGATATACCCGTTTCGAACGAAGTCCACAGAGTGGTCCGAATATCCACTTGTAGATCCTGCAAAAAGAGTGTTTCCAACCTGAACTTTCAAAGGAAGGTTCAATTCTGGGATTGGAATGCAAACATCACAAGAAGATTCTGAGACTGCTTCTGTTTACTTAGCTGAAATTATCCCGTTTGCAACGAATTCCTCAGACAGGTCCAAATATCCACTTGCAGATTCTACAGAAAGTGTGTTTCGATACTACTCCATCCCAAGGAAAGTACTGCTCTGTGAGTTCAACTCAATCATCCCAGAGAATTTTCTGAGAAAGCTTCTGTCTTGTTTTTATAGGAAGTTATTTCCTTTACTACGATAGGCCTCAAAGAAGTGCAGTTATCCACTTGCAGTTTCTACAAAAAGAGTGTTTCAAACCTGAACTATCAAAGAAAGGTTCAACACTGTGGGTTGAATGCAAACATCACGAAGAAGGTTCTGAGAATGCTTCTGTTTAGTTCTGTGCGGTTTATCCCGTTTCCAACGCAATCCTCAGAGAGGCCCAAGTATCCGCTTGCAGATCCTACAGATAGTGTGTTTCCAAACTGCTCCATCCAAAGGAATGTTCAGCCCTGTGAGTTAAACTCAGTCGTCACAAAGAGTTTTCTGAGAATGCTGCTGTCTAGTTTTTATATGAAGCTGTTTCCTTTACTACCATAGGCCTCAAAGCGGTCCATATCTCCACTTGCAGATTCTACACAACGAGAGTTTCCAAAGTGCTCTCTGAAAGGGAATGTTCACCTCTGTGACTTGAATGCAATCGTCACAAAGTAGTTTCTGAGAATGCATCTATCTAGTTCTTACGGGAAGATAATTCCTTTTCCACCTCAGGCCTCAAAGCCCTCCAAATATCCACTTGCAGATTCTAGAAAAAGAGTGTTTCAAAGCTTCTCTCTCAAAAGGAAAGTTCAACTCTGTGAGTTGAAAGCAAACATCACAAAGAAGTTTCTGAGAATGCTTCTGTTTAGCTTTTCTGTGAAGATTATCCCGTTTCCAACGAAATCTTCAAAGAGGCCCAAACATCCACTTGCAGATGCCACAGAAAGAGTGTTTGGAAACTGCTGTTTGAAAAGGAACCTTCAACTCTGTGAGTTGAATGCAGTCATCACAAACAAGTTTCTGACAATGCTTCTCTCTAGTTTTTACGTGACGATAATTCGTTTTCCACCACAGGCCTGAAATCTCTCCAAATGTCCACTTGCAGACCTTACGAAAAGCATGTTTCTCATCTGCTCTATGAAAAGCAACGTGAAACTCTGTGAGTTGAACACAAACATCACAGAGAAGTTTCTGAGAATGCTTCTGTTTAGTTTTTATGTGAAGATATTCCCGTTTCCAAAGACATCTTCAAAGAGGACCACATATCCACTTGCAGATTCCACAAAAAGAGAGATTCAAAACTGCTCTATCCATAGGAGGGTTCAACGCTTTGAGTTGAATGCAATCGTCACAGAGAAGTTTCTGAGAAGGCTTCTGTCTAGATTTTATTTGAAGATGTACCCGTTTTGAACGAAGGCCAAAGAGTGGTCCAAATATCCACCTGCAGATCCTACAAAAAGAGTGTTCCAAAGCTGAACTATCAAAGGAAGGTTCAACTCTGGGATTTGAATGCAAATATCACAAAGAATTTTGTGAGAATGCTTCCGTTTAGTTAGGTGCAGTTATCCCGTTTCCAACGAAATCCTCAGAGAGGTCCAAATATCCACTCGCAGATTCTACAGAAAGTGTGTTTCAAACCTTCTCCATCCAAAGGAATGTTCAGCTCTGTGTGTTAATCTCAATCATCACAAAGTATTTTCTGAGAATGCTTCTGTCTAGATTTTATGTGAAGCTCTTCCCTTTACTACCATAGGCCTCAAAGCGCTCCAAATCTCCACTAGCCGATTCTACAAGAAGAGTGTTTCCAAACTGCTCTGTCAATAGGAATGCTCCACTCCGTGAGGTGAATGCAGTCATCACAAAGTAGTTTCTGAGAAGGCTTCTATCTAGTATTTATGTGGAGATATTTCCTTTTCCACCACAAACCTCACAGCCCTCCTAATGTCCACTTGCAGATTCTAGAAAAAGAGTGTTTCATAGCTGCTCTTTCCGAAGGAAAGTTCAACTCTGGAAGTTGAATACAAACATCACCAAGGAGTTCCTGAGGATGCTTCTGTGTAATTTTTATGTGAAGATGATTCCGTTTCCAACGAAACCTTCAAAGAGGTCTGCATGTCCCCTTGCAGATTCCAGAGAAAGAGAGTTTCAAAACTGCGCTCTCAAAAGGAGTGTTCAACTCTGTGAGTTGAATGCAGTCATCACAGAAAAGTTTCTGAGAATGCTTCTGTCTAGATGTTATGTGAAGATATACCCGTTTCGAACGAAGTCCACAGAGTGGTCCGAATATCCACTTGTAGATCCTGCAAAAAGAGTGTTTCCAACCTGAACTTTCAAAGGAAGGTTCAATTCTGGGATTTGAATGCAAACATCACAAGAAGATTCTGAGACTGCTTCTTTTTACTTTGCTGAAATTATCCCGTTTGCAACGAATTCCTCAGACAGGTCCAAATACCCACTTGCAGATTCTACAGAAAGTGTGTTTCGAAACTACTCAATCCCAAGGAAAGTACTGCTCTGTGAGTTCAACTCAATCATCCCAGATAATTTTCTGAGAAAGCTTCTGTCTTGTTTTTATAGGAAGTTATTTCCTTTACTACGATAGGCCTCAAAGAAGTGCAGTTATCCACTTGCAGTTTCTACAAAAAGAGTGTTTCAAACCTGAACTATCAAAGAAAGGTTCAACACTGTGGGTTGAATGCAAACATCACGAAGAAGGTTCTGAGAATGCTTCTGTTTAGTTCTGTGCGGTTTATCCCGTTTCCAACGAAATCCTCAGGGTAGGCCCAAGTATCCGCTTGCAGATCCTACAGATAGTGTGTTTCCAAACTGCTCCATCCAAAGGAATGTTCAGCCCTGTGAGTTAAACTCAGTCGTCACAAAGAGTTTTCTGAGAATGCTGCTGTCTAGTTTTTATATGAAGCTGTTTCCTTTACTACCATAGGCCTCAAAGCGGTCCATATCTCCACTTGCAGATTCTACACAACGAGAGTTTCCAAAGTGCTCTCTGAAAGGGAATGTTCACCTCTGTGACTTGAATGCAATCGTCACAAAGTAGTTTCTGAGAATGCATCTATCTAGCTCTTACGGGAAGATAATTCCTTTTCCACCTCAGGCCTCAAAGCCCTCCAAATATCCACTTGCAGATTCTAGAAAAAGAGTGTTTCAAAGCTTCTCTCTCAAAAGGAAAGTTCAACTCTGTGAGTTGAAAGCAAACATCACAAAGAAGTTTCTGAGAATGCTTCTGTTTAGCTTTTCTGTGAAGATTATCCCGTTTCCAACGAAATCTTCAAAGAGGCCCAAACATCCACTTGCAGATGCCACAGAAAGAGTGTTTGGAAACTGCTGTTTGAAAAGGAACCTTCAACTCTGTGAGTTGAATGCAGTCATCACAAACAAGTTTCTGACAATGCTTCTCTCTAGTTTTTACGTGACGATAATTCGTTTTCCACCACAGGCCTGAAATCTCTCCAAATGTCCACTTGCAGACCCTACGAAAAGCATGTTTCTCATCTGCTCTATGAAAAGCAACGTGAAACTCTGTGAGTTGAACACAAACATCACAGAGAAGTTTCTGAGAATGCTTCTGTTTAGTTTTTATGTGTACATATTCCCGTTTCCAAAGATATCTTCAAAGAGGACCACATATCCACTTGCCGATTCCACGAAAAGAGAGATTCAAAACTGCTCTATCCATAGGAGGGTTCAACGCTTGGAGTTGAATGCAATCGTCACAGAGAAGTTTCGGAGAAGGCTTCTGTCTAAATTTTATTTGAAGATGTACCCGTTTAGAACGAAGGCCAAAGAGTGGTCCAAATATCCACTTGCAGATCCTACAAAAAGGGTGTTTCAAAGCTGAACTATCAAAGGAACGTTCAACTCTGGGATTTGAATGCAAACATCACGAAGAATTTTGTGAGAATGCTTCCGTTTAGTTAGGTGCAGTTATCCCGTTTCCAACGAAATCCTCAGAGAGGTCCAAATATAAACTCGCAGATTCTACAGAAAGTGTGTTTCAAACCTTCTCCATCCAAAGGAATGTTCAGCTCTGTGTGTTAAACTCAATCATCACAAAGTATTTTCTGAGAATGCTTCTGTCTAGATTTCATGTGAAGCTCTTCCCTTTACTACCATAGGCCTCAAAGCGCTCCAAACCTCCACTAGCCGATTCTACAAGAAGAGTGTTTCCAAACTGCTCTGTCAATAGGAATGCTCCACTCCGTGAGGTGAATGCAATCATCACAAAGTAGTTTCTGAGAAGGCTTCTATCTAGTATTTATGTGGAGATATTTCCTTTTCCACCACAAACCTCACAGCCCTCCCAATGTCCACTTGCAGATTCTAGAAAAAGAGTGTTTCATAGCTGCTCTTTCCGAAGGAAAGTTCAACTCTGGAAGTTGAATACAAACATCACCAAGGAGTTCCTGAAGATGCTTCTGTGTAATTTTTATGTGAAGATGATTCCGTTTCCAACGAAACCTTCAAAGAGGTCTGCATGTCCCCTTGCAGATTCCAGAGAAAGAGAGTTTCAAAACTGCGCTTTCAAAAGGAGAGTTCAACTCTGTGAGTGGAATGCAGTCATCACAGAAAAGTTTCTGAGAATGCTTCTGTCTAGATGTTATGTGAAGATTTACCCGTTTCGAACGAAGTCCACAGAGTGGTCCGAATATCCACTTGTAGATCCTGCAAAAAGAGTGTTTCCAACCTGAACTTTCAAAGGAAGGTTCAATTCTGGGATTTGAATGCAAACATCACAAGAAGATTCTGAGACTGCTTCTGTTTACTTAGCTGAAATTATCCCGTTTGCAACGAATTCCTCAGACAGGTCCAAATATCCACTTGCAGATTCTACAGAAAGTGTGTTTCGAAACTACTCCATTCCAAGGAAAGTACTGCTCTGTGTGTTCAACTCAATCATCCCAGAGAATTTTCTGAGAAAGCTTCTGTCTTGTTTTTATAGGAAGTTATTTCCTTTACTACGATAGGCCTCAAAGAAGTGCAGTTATCCACTTGCAGTTTCTACAAAAAGAGTGTTTCAAACCTGAACTATCAAAGAAAGGTTCAACACTGTGGGTTGAATGCAAACATCACGAAGAAGGTTCTGAGAATGCTTCTGTTTAGTTCGGTGCGGTTTATCCCGTTTCCAACGAAATCCTCAGGGAGGCCCAAATATCCGCTTGCAGATCCTACAGATAGTGTGTTTCCAAACTGCTCCATCCAAAGGAATGTTCAGCCCTGTGAGTTAAACTCAGTCGTCACAAAGAGTTTTCTGAGAATGCTGCTGTCTAGTTTTTATATGAAGTTGTTTCCTTTACTACCATAGGCCTCAAAGCGGTCCATATCTCCACTTGCAGATTCTACACAACGAGAGTTTCCAAAGTGCTCTCTGAAAGGGAATGTTCACCTCCGTGACTTGAATGCAATCGTCACAAAGTAGTTTCTGAGAATGCATCTATCTAGTTCTTACGGGAAGATAATTCCTTTTCCACCACAGGCCTCAAAGCCCTGCAAATATCCACTTGCAGATTCTAGAAAAAGAGTGTTTCAAAGCTTCTCTCTCAAAAGGAAAGTTCAACTCTGTGAGTTGAAAGCAAACATCACAAAGAAGTTTCTGAGAATGCTTCTGTTTAGCTTTTCTGTGAAGAGTATCCCGTTTCCAACGAAATCTTCAAAGAGGCCCAAACATCCACTTGCAGATGCCACAGAAAGAGTGTTTGGAAACTGCTGTTTGAAAAGGAACCTTCAACTCTGTGAGTTGAATGCAGTCATCACAAACAAGTTTCTGACAATGCTTCTCTCTAGTTTTTACGTGACGATAATTCGTTTTCCACCACAGGCCGGAAATCTCTCCAAATGTCCACTTGCAGACCCTACGAAAAGCATGTTTCTCATCTGCTCTATGAAAAGCAACGTGAAACTCTGTGAGTTGAACACAAACATCACAGAGAAGTTTCTGAGAATGCTTCTGTTTAGTTTTTATGTGAAGATATTCCCGTTTCCAAAGACATCTTCAAAGAGGACCACATATCCACTTGCAGATTCCACAAAAAGAGAGATTCAAAACTGCTCGATCCATAGGAGGTTTCAACGCTTTGAGTTGAATGCAATCGTCACAGAGAAGTTTCTGAGAAGGCTTCTGTCTAGATTTTATTTGAAGATGTACCCGTTTTGAACGAAGGCCAAAGAGTGGTCCAAATATCCACCTGCAGAGCCTACAAAAAGAGTGTTTCAAAGCTGAACTATCAAAGGAAGGTTCAACTCTGGGATTTGAATGCAAACATCACAAAGAATTTTGTGAGAATGCTTCCGTTTAGTTAGGTGCAGTTATCCCGTTTCCAACGAAATCCTCAGAGAGGTCCAAATATCCACTCGCAGATTCTACAGAAAGTGTGTTTCAAACCTTCTCCATCCAAAGGAATGTTCAGCTCTGTGTGTTAAACTCAATCATCACAAAGTATTTTCTGAGAATGCTTCTGTCTAGATTTTATGTGAAGCTCTTCCCTTTACTACCGTAGGCCTCAAAGCGCTCCAAATCTCCACTAGGAGATTCTACAACAAGAGTTTTTCCAAACTGCTCTGTCAATAGGAATGCTCCACTCCGTGAGGTGAATGCAATCATCACAAAGTAGTTTCTGAGAAGGCTTCTATCTAGTATTTATGTGGAGATATTTCCTTTTCCACCACAAACCTCACAGCCCTCCCAATGTCCACTTGCAGATTCTAGAAAAAGAGTGTTTCATAGCTGCTCTTTCCGAAGGAAAGTTCAACTCTGGAAGTTGAATACAAACATCACCAAGGAGTTCCTGAGGATGCCTCTGTGTAATTTTTATGTGAAGATGATTCTGTTTCCAACGAAACCTTCAAAGAGGTCTGCATGTCCCCTTGCAGATTCCAGAGAAAGAGACTTTCAAAACTGCGCTCTCAAAAGGAGTGTTCAACTCTGTGAGTTGAATGCAGTCATCACAGAAAAGTTTCTGAGAATGCTTCTGTCTAGATGTTATGTGAAGATATACCCGTATCGAACGAAGTCCACAGAGTGGTCCGAATATCCACTTGTAGATCCTGCAAAAAGAGTGTTTCCAACCTGAACTTTCAAAGGAAGGTTCAATTCTGGGATTTGAATGCAAACATCACAAGAAGTTTCTGAGACTGCTTCTGTTTACTTAGCTGAAATTATCCCGTTTGCAACGAATTCCTCAGACAGGTCCAAATATCCACTTGCAGATTGTACAGAAAGTGTGTTTCGAAACTACTCCATCCCAAAGAAAGTACTGCTCTGTGAGTTCAACTCAATCATCCCAGAGAATTTTCTGAGAAAGCTTCTGTCTTGTTTTTATAGGAAGTTATTTCCTTTACTACGATAGGCCTCAAAGAAGTGCAGTTATCCACTTGCAGTTTCTACAAAAAGAGTGTTTCAAACCTGAACTATCAAAGAAAGGTTCAACACTGTGGGTTGAATGCAAACATCACGAAGAAGGTTCTGAGAATGCTTCTGTTTAGTTCTGTGCGGTTTATCCCGTTTCCAACGAAATCCTCAGGGAGGCCCAAGTATCCGCTTGCAGATCCTACAGATAGTGTGTTTCCATACTGCTCCATCCAAAGGAATGTTCAGCCCTGTGAGTTAAACTCAGTCGTCACAAAGAGTTTTCTGAGAATGCTGCTGTCTAGTTTTTATATGAAGCTGTTTCCTTTACTACCATAGGCCTCAAAGCGGTCCATATCTCCACTTGCAGATTCTACACAACGAGAGTTTCCAAAGTGCTCTGTGAAAGGGAATGTTCACCTCTGTGACTTGAATGCAATCGTCACAAAGTAGTTTCTGAGAATGCATCTATCTAGTTCTTACGGGAAGATAATTCCTTTTCCACCTCAGGCCTCAAAGCCCTCCAAATATCCACTTGCAGATTCTAGAAAAAGAGTGTTTCAAAGCTTCTCTCTCAAAAGGAAAGTTCAACTCTGTGAGTTGAAAGCAAACATCACAAAGAAGTTTCTGAGAATGCTTCTGTTTAGCTTTTCTGTGAAGATTATCCCGTTTCCAACGAAATCTTCAAAGAGGCCCAAACATCCACTTGCAGATGCCACAGAAAGAGTGTTTGGAAACTGCTGTTTGAAAAGGAACCTTCAACTCTGTGAGTTGAATGCAGTCATCACAAACAAGTTTCTGACAATGCTTCTCTCTAGTTTTTACGTGACGATAATTCGTTTTCCACCGCAGGCCGGAAATCTCTTGAAATGTCCACTTGCAGACCCTACGAAAAGCATGTTTCTCATCTGCTCTATGAATAGCAACGTGAAACTCTGTGAGTTGAACACAAACATCACAGAGAAGTTTCTGAGAATGCTTCTGTTTAGTTTTTATGTGAAGATGTTCCCGTTTCCAATGACATCTTTAAAGAGGACCACATATCCACTTGCAGATTCCACAAAAAGAGAGATTCAAAACTGCTCTATCCATAGGAGGGTTCAACGCTTTGAGTTGAATGCAATCGTCACAGAGAAGTTTCTGAGAAGGCTTCTGTCTAGATTTTATTTGAAGATGTACCCGTTTCGAACGAAGGCCAAAGAGTGGTCCAAATATCCACTTGCAGATCCTACAAAAAGAGTGTTTCAAAGCTGAACTATCAAAGGAAGGGTCAACTCTGGGATTTGAATGCAAACATCACAAAGAATTTTGTGAGAATGCTTCCGTTTAGTTAGGTGCAGTTATCCCGTTTCCAACGAAATCCTCAGAGAGGTCCAAATATCCACTCGCAGATTCTACAGAAAGTGTGTTTCAAACCTTCTCCATCCAAAGGAATGTTCAGCTCTGTGTGTTAAACTCAATCATCACAAAGTATTTTCTGAGAATGCTTCTGTCTAGATTTTATGTGAAGCTCTTCCCTTTACTACCATAGGCCTCAAAGCGCTCCAAATCTCCACTAGCAGATTCTACAACAAGAGTGTTTCCAAACTGCTCTGTCAATAGGAATGCTCCACTCCGTGAGGTGAATGCAATCATCACAAAGTAGTTTCTGAGAAGGCTTCTATCTAGTATTTATGTGGAGATATTTCCTTTTCCACCACAAACCTCACAGCCCTCCCAATGTCCACTTGCAGATTCTAGAAAAAGAGTGTTTCATAGCTGCTCTTTCCGAAGGAAAGTTCAACTCTGGAAGTTGAATACAAACATCACCAAGGAGTTCCTGAGGATGATTCTGTGTAATTTTTATGTGAAGATGATTCCGTTTCCAACGAAACCTTCAAAGAGGTCTGCATGTCCCCTTGCAGATTCCAGAGAAAGAGAGTTTCCAAACTGCGCTCTCAAAAGGAGTGTTGAACTCTGTGAGTTGAATGCAGTCATCACAGAAAAGTTTCTGAGAATGCTTCTGTCTAGATGTTATGTGAAGATATACCCGTTTCGAACGAAGTCCACAGAGTGGTCCGAATATCCACTTGTAGATCCTGCAAAAAGAGTGTTTCCAACCTGAACTTTCAAAGGAAGGTTCAATTCTGGGATTTGAATGCAAACATCACAGGAAGATTCTGAGACTGCTTCTGTTTACTTAGCTGAAATTATCCCGTTTGCAACGAATTCCTCAGACAGGTCCAAATATCCACTTGCAGATTCTACAGAAAGTGTGTTTCGAAACTACTCCATCCCAAGGAAAGTACTGCTCTGTGAGTTCAACTCAATCATCCCAGAGAATTTTCTGAGAAAGCTTCTGTCTTGTTTTTATAGGAAGTTATTTCCTTTACTACGATAGGCCTCAAAGAAGTGCAGTTATCCACTTGCAGTTTCTACAAAAAGAGTGTTTCAAACCTGAACTATCAAAGAAAGGTTCAACACTGTGGGTTGAATGCAAACATCACGAAGAAGGTTCTGAGAATGCTTCTGTTTAGTTCTGTGCGGTTTATTCCGTTTCCAACGAAATCCTCAGAGAGGCCCAAGTATCCGCTTGCAGATCCTACAGATAGTGTGTTTCCAAACTGCTCCATCCAAAGGAATGTTCAGCCCTGTGAGTTAAACTCAGTCGTCACAAAGAGTTTTCTGAGAATGCTGCTGTCTAGTTTTTATATGAAGTTGTTTCCTTTACTACCATAGGCCTCAAAGCGGTCCATATCTCCACTTGCAGATTCTACACAACGAGAGTTTCCAAAGTGCTCTCTGAAAGGGAATGTTCACCTCCGTGACTTGAATGCAATCGTCACAAAGTAGTTTCTGAGAATGCATCTATCTAGTTCTTACGGGAAGATAATTCCTTTTCCACCACAGGCCTCAAAGACCTCCAAATATCCACTTGCAGATTCTAGAAAAAGAGTGTTTCAAAGCTTCTCTCTCAAAAGGAAAGTTCAACTCTGTGAGTTGAAAGCAAACATCACAAAGAAGTTTCTGAGAATGCTTCTGTTTAGCTTTTCTGTGAAGAGTATCCCGTTTCCAACGAAATCTTCAAAGAGGCCCAAACATCCACTTGCAGATGCCACAGAAAGAGTGTTTGGAAACTGCTGTTTGAAAAGGAACCTTCAACTCTGTGAGTTGAATGCAGTCATCACAAACAAGTTTCTGACAATGCCTCTCTCTAGTTTTTACGTGACGATAATTCGTTTTCCACCACAGGCCTGAAATCTCTCCAAATGTCCACTTGCAGACCCTACGAAAAGCATGTTTCTCATCTGCTCTATGAAAAGCAACGTGAAACTCTGTGAGTTGAACACAAACATCACAGAGAAGTTTCTGAGAATGCTTCTGTTTAGTTTTTATGTGAAGATATTCCCGTTTCCAAAGACATCTTCAAAGAGGACCACATATCCACTTGCAGATTCCACAAAAAGAGAGATTAAAAACTGCTCTATCCATAGGAGGGTTCAACTCTTTGAGTTGAATGCAATCGTCACAGAGAAGTTTCTGAGAAGGCTTCTGTCTAGATTTTATTTGAAGATGTACCCGTTTCGAACGAAGGCCAAAGAGTGGTCCAAATATCCACCAGCAGATCCTACAAAAAGAGTGTTTCAAAGCTGAACTATCAAAGGAAGGTTCAACTCTGGGATTTGAATGCAAACATCACAAGGAATTTTGTGAGAATGCTTCCGTTTTGTTAGGTGCAGTTATCCCGTTTCCAACGAAATCCTCAGAGAGGTCCAAATATCCACTCGCAGATTCTACAGAAAGTGTGTTTCAAACCTTCTCCATCCAAAGGAATGTTCAGCTCTGTGTGTTAAACTCAATCATCACAAAGTATTTTCTGAGAATGCTTCTGTCTAGATTTTATGTGAAGCTCTTCCCTTTACTACCATAGGCCTCAAAGCGCTCCAAATCTCCACTAGCAGATTCTAAAACAAGAGTGTTTCCAAACTGCTCTGTCAATAGGAATGCTCCACTCCGTGAGGTGAATGCAATCATCACAAAGGAGTTTCTGAGAAGGCTTCTATCTAGTATTTATGTGGAGATATTTCCTTTTCCACCACAAACCTCACAGCCCTCCCAATGTCCACTTGCAGATTCTAGAAAAAGAGTGTTTCATAGCTGCTCTTTCCGAAGGAAAGTTCAACTCTGGAAGTTGAATACAAACATCACCAAGGAGTTCCTGAAGATGCTTCTGTGTAATTTTTATGTGAAGATGATTCCGTTTCCAACGAAACCTTCAAAGAGGTCTGCATGTCCCCTTGCAGATTCCAGAGAAAGAGAGTTTCAAAACTGCGCTCTCAAAAGGAGTGTTCAACTCTGTGAGTTGAATGCAGTCATCACAGAAAAGTTTCTGAGAATGCTTCTGTCTAGATGTTATGTGAAGATATACCCGTTTCGAACGAAGTCCACAGAGTGGTCCGAATATCCACTTGTAGATCCTGCAAAAAGAGTGTTTCCAACCTGAACTTTCAAAGGAAGGTTCAATTCTGGGATTTGAATGCAAACATCACAAGAAGATTCTGAGACTGCTTCTGTTTACTTAGCTGAAATTATCCCGTTTGCAACGAATTCCTCAGACAGGTCCAAATATCCACTTGCAGATTCTACAGAAAGTGTGTTTCGAAACTACTCCATCCCAAGGAAAGTACTGCTCTGTGAGTTCAACTCAATCATCGCAGAGAATTTTCTGAGAAAACTTCTGTCTTGTTTTTATAGGAAGTTATTTCCTTTACTACGATAGGCCTCAAAGAAGTGCAGTTATCCACTTGCAGTTTCTACAAAAAGAGTGTTTCAAACCTGAACTATCAAAGAAAGGTTCAACACTGTGGGTTGAATGCAAACATCACGAAGAAGGTTCTGAGAATGCTTCTGTTTAGTTCTGTGCAGTTTATCCCGTTTCCAACGAAATCCTCAGGGAGGCCCAAGTATCCGCTTGCAGATCCTACAGATAGTGTGTTTCCAAACTGCTCCATCCAAAGGAATGTTCAGCCCTGTGAGTTAAACTCAGTCGTCACAAAGAGTTTTCTGAGAATGCTGCTGTCTAGTTTTTATATGAAGCTGTTTCCTTTACTACCATAGGCCTCAAAGCGGTCCATATCTCCACTTGCAGATTCTACACAACGAGAGTTTCCAAAGTGCTCTCTGAAAGGGAATGTTCACCTCTGTGACTTGAATGCAATCGTCACAAAGTAGTTTCTGAGAATGCATCTATCTAGTTCTGACGGGAAGATAATTCCTTTTCCACCTCAGGCCTCAAAGCCCTCCAAATATCCACTTGCAGATTCTAGAAAAAGAGTGTTTCAAAGCTTCTCTCTCAAAAGGAAAGTTCAACTCTGTGAGTTGAAAGCAAACATCACAAAGAAGTTTCTGAGAATGCTTCTGTTTAGCTTTTCTGTGAAGATTATCCCGTTTCCAACGAAATCTTCAAAGAGGCCCAAACATCCACTTGCAGATGCCACAGAAAGAGTGTTTGGAAACTGCTGTTTGAAAAGGAACCTTCAACTCTGTGAGTTGAATGCAGTCATCACAAACAAGTTTCTGACAATGCTTCTCTCTGTTTTTACGTGACGATAATTCGTTTTCCACCACAGGCCTGAAATCTCTCCAAATGTCCACTTGCAGACCCTACGAAAAGCATGTTTCTCATCTGCTCTATGAAAAGCAACGTGAAACTCTGTGAGTTGAACACAAACATCACAGAGAAGTTTCTGAGAATGCTTCTGTTTAGTTTTTATGTGAAGATATTCCCGTTTCCAAAGACATCTTCAAAGAGGACCACATATCCACTTGCAGATTCCACAAAAAGAGAGATTCAAAACTGCTCTATCCATAGGAGGGTTCAACGCTTTCAGTTGAATGCAATCGTCACAGAGAAGTTTCTGAGAAGGCTTCTGTCTAGATTTTATTTGAAGATGTACCCGTTTCGAATGAAGGCCAAAGAGTGGTCCAAATATCCACCTGCAGATCCTACAAAAAGACTGTTTCAAAGCTGAACTATCAAAGGAAGGTTCAACTCTGGGATTTGAATGCAAACATCACAAAGAATTTTGTGAGAATGATTCCGTTTATTTAGGTGCAGTTATCCCGTTTCCAACGAAATCCTCAGAGAGGTCCAAATATCCACTCGCAGATTCTACAGAAAGTGTGGTTCCAACCTTCTCCATCCAAAGGAATGTTCAGCTCTGTGTGTTAAACTCAATCATCACAAAGTATTTTCTGAGAATGCTTCTGTCTAGATTTTATGTGAAGCTCTTCCCTTTACTACCATAGGCCTCAAAGCGCTCCAAATCTCCACTAGCCGATTCTACAAGAAGAGTGTTTCCAAACTGCTCTGTCAATAGGAATGCTCCACTCCGTGAGGTGAATGCAATCATCACAAAGTAGTTTCTGAGAAGGCTTCTATCTAGTATTTATGTGGAGATATTTCCTTTTCCATCACAAACCTCACAGCCCTCCCAATGTCCACTTGCAGATTCTAGAAAAAGTGTGTTTTATAGCTGCTCTTTCCGAAGGAAAGTTCAACTCTGGAAGTTGAATACAAACATCACCAAGGAGTTCCTGAGGATGCTTCCGTGTAATTTTTATGTGAAGATGATTCCGTTTCCAACGAAACCTTCAAAGAGGTCTGCATGTCCCCTTGCAGATTCCAGAGAAAGAGAGTTTCAAAACTGCGCTCTCAAAAGGAGTGTTCAACTCTGTGAGTTGAATGCAGTCATCACAGAAAAGTTTCTGAGAATGCTTCTGTCTAGATGTTATGTGAAGATATACCCGTTTCGAACGAAGTCCACAGAGTGGTCCGAATATCCACTTGTAGATCCTGCAAAAAGAGTGTTTCCAACCTGAACTTTCAAAGGAAGGTTCCATTCTGGGATTTGAATGCAAACATCACAAGAAGATTCTGAGACTGCTTCTGTTTACTTAGCTGAAATTATCCCGTTTGCAACGAATTCCTCAGACAGGTCCAAATATCCACTTGCAGATTCTACAGAAAGTGTGTTTCGAAACTACTCCATCCCAAGGAAAGTACTGCTCTGTGAGTTCAACTCAATCATCCCAGAGAATTTTTCTGAGAAAGCTTCTGTCTTGTTTTTATAGGAAGTTATTTCCTTTACTACGATAGGCCTCAAAGAAGTGCAGTTATCCACTTGCAGTTTCTACAAAAAGAGTGTTTCAAACCTGAACTATCAAAGAAAGGTTCAACACTGTGGGTTGAATGCAAACATCACGAAGAAGGTTCTGAGAATGCTTCTGTTTAGTTCTGTGCGGTTTATTCCGTTTCCAACGAAATCCTCAGAGAGGCCCAAGTATCCGCTTGCAGATCCTACAGATAGTGTGTTTCCAAACTGCTCCATCCAAAGGAATGTTCAGCCCTGTGAGTTAAACTCAGTCGTCACAAAGAGTTTTCTGAGAATGCTGCTGTCTAGTTTTTATATGAAGCTGTTTCCTTTACTACCATAGGCCTCAAAGCGGTCCATATCTCCACTTGAAGATTCTACACAACGAGAGTTTCCAAAGTGCTCTGTGAAAGGGAATGTTCACCTCTGTGACTTGAATGCAATCGTCACAAAGAAGTTTCTGAGAATGCATCTATCTAGTTCTTACGGGAAGATAATTCCTGTTCCACCTCAGGCCTCAAAGCCCTCCAAATATCCACTTGCAGATTCTAGAAAAAGAGTGTTTCAAAGCTTCTCTCTCAAAAGGAAAGTTCAACTCTGTGAGTTGAAAGCAAACATCACAAAGAAGTTTCTGAGAATGCTTCTGTTTAGCTTTTCTGTGAAGATTATCCCGTTTCCAACGAAATCTTCAAAGAGGCCCAAACATCCACTTGCAGATGCCACAGAAAGAGTGTTTGGAAACTGCTGTTTGAAAAGGAACCTTCAACTCTGTGAGTTGAATGCAGTCATCACAAACAAGTTTCTGACAATGCTTCTCTCTAGTTTTTACGTGACGATAATTCGTTTTCCACCACAGGCCTGAAAGCTCTCCAAATGTCCACTTGCAGACCCTACGAAAAGCATGTTTCTCATCTGCTCTATGAAAAGCAACGTGAAACTCTGTGAGTTGAACACAAACATCACAGAGAAGTTTCTGAGAATGCTTCTGTTTAGTTTTTATGTGAAGATATTCCCGTTTCCAAAGACATCTTCAAAGAGGACCACATATCCACTTGCAGATTCCACAAAAAGAGAGATTCAAAACTGCTCTATCCATAGGAGGGTTCAACTCTTTGGGTTGAATGCAATCGTCACAGAGAAGTTTCTGAGAAGGCTTCTGTCTAGATTTTATTTGAAGATGTACCCGTTTCGAACGAAGGCCAAAGAGTGGTCCAAATATCCACCTGCAGAACCTACAAAAAGAGTGTTTCAAAGCTGAACTATCAAAGGAAGGTTCAACTCTGGGATTTGAATGCAAACATCACAAAGAATTTTGTGAGAATGCTTCCGTTTAGTTAGGTGCAGTTATCCCGTTTCCAACGAAATCCTCAGAGAGGTCCAAATATCCACTCGCAGATTCTACAGAAAGTGTGTTTCAAACCTTCTCCATCCAAAGGAATGTTCAGCTCTGTGTGTTAAACTCAATCATCACAAAGTATTTTCTGAGAATGCTTCTGTCTAGATTTTATGTGAAGCTCTTCCCTTTACCACCATAGGCCTCAAAGCGCTCCAAATCTCCACTAGCCGATTCTACAAGAAGAGTGTTTCCAAACTGATCTGTCAATAGGAATGCTCAACTCCGTGAGGTGAATGCAATCATCACAAAGTAGTTTCTGAGAAGGCTTCTATCTAGTATTTATGTGGAGATATTTCCTTTTCCACCACAAACCTCACAGCCCTCCCAATGTCCACTTGCAGATTCTAGAAAAAGAGTGTTTCATAGCTGCTCTTTCCAAAGGAAAGTTCAACTCTGGAAGTTGAATACAAACATCACCAAGGAGTTCCTGAGGATGCTTCCGTGTAATTTTTATGTGAAGATGATTCCGTTTCCAACGAAACCTTCAAAGAGGTCTGCATGTCCCCTTGCAGATTCCAGAGAAAGAGAGTTTCAAAACTGCGCTCTCAAAAGGAGTGTTCAACTCTGTGAGTTGAATGCAGTCATCACAGAAAAGTTTCTGAGAATGCTTCTGTCTAGATGTTATGTGAAGATATACCCGTTTCAAACGAAGTCCACAGAGTGGTCCGAATATCCACTTGTAGATCCTGCAAAAAGAGTGTTTCCAACCTGAACTTTCAAAGGAAGGTTCCATTCTGGGATTTGAATGCAAACATCACAAGAAGATTCTGAGACTGCTTCTGTTTACTTAGCTGAAATTATCCCGTTTGCAACGAATTCCTCAGACAGGTCCAAATATCCACTTGCAGATTCTACAGAAAGTGTGTTTCGAAACTACTCCATCCCAAGGAAAGTACTGCTCTGTGAGTTCAACTCAATCATCCCAGAGAATTTTCTGAGAAAGCTTCTGTCTTGTTTTTATAGGAAGTTATTTCCTTTATTACGATAGGCCTCAAAGAAGTGCAGTTATCCACTTGCAGTTTCTACAAAAAGAGTGTTTCAAACCTGAACTATCAAAGAAAGGTTCAACACTGTGGGTTGAATGCAAACATCACGAAGAAGGTTCTGAGAATGCTTCTGTTTAGTTCTGTGCGGTTTATCCCGTTTCCCACGAAATCCTCAGGGAGGCCCAAGTATCCGCTTGCAGATCCTACAGATAGTGTGTTTCCAAACTGCTCCATCCAAAGGAATGTTCAGCCCTGTGAGTTTAACTCAGTCGTCACAAAGAGTTTTCTGAGAATGCTGCTGTCTAGTTTTTATATGAAGTTGTTTCCTTTACTACCATAGGCCTCAAAGCGGTCCATATCTCCACTTGCAGATTCTACACAACGAGAGTTTCCAAAGTGCTCTCTGAAAGGGAATGTTCACCTCCGTGACTTGAATGCAATCGTCACAAAGTAGTTTCTGAGAATGCATCTATCTAGTTCTTACGGGAAGATAATTCCTTTTCCACCACAGGCCTCAAAGCCCTCCAAATATCCACTTGCAGATTCTAGAAAAAGAGTGTTTCAAAGCTTCTCTCTCAAAAGGAAAGTTCAACTCTGTGAGTTGAAAGCAAACATCACAAAGAAGTTTCTGAGAATGCATCTGTTTAGCTTTTCTGTGAAGAGTATCCCGTTTCCAACGAAATCTTCAAAGAGGCCCAAACATCCACTTGCAGATGCCACAGAAAGAGTGTTTGGAAACTGCTGTTTGAAAAGGAACCTTCAACTCTGTGAGTTGAATGCAGTCATCACAAACAAGTTTCTGACAATGCTTCTCTCTAGTTTTTACGTGACGATAATTCGTTTTCCACCACAGGCCTGTAAGCTCTCCAAATGTCCACTTGCAGACCCTACGAAAAGCATGTTTCTCATCTGCTCTATGAAAAGCAACGTGAAACTCTGTGAGTTGAACACAAACATCACAGAGAAGTTTCTGAGAATGCTTCAGTTTAGTTTTTATGTGAAGATATTCCCGTTTCCAAAGACATCTTCAAAGAGGACCACATATCCACTTGCAGATTCCACAAAAAGAGAGATTCAAAACTGCTCTATCCA
Source organism: Homo sapiens (assembly GCF_000001405.40). Taxonomy (NCBI): domain Eukaryota; kingdom Metazoa; phylum Chordata; class Mammalia; order Primates; family Hominidae; genus Homo; species Homo sapiens. The sequence continues at coordinate 22,918,105 of NC_000017.11, read as the reverse complement.
TAGGAGGGTTCATCGCTTTGAGTTGAATGCAATCATCACAGAGAAGTTTCTGAGAAGGCTTCTGTCTAGATTTTATTTGAAGATGTACCCGTTTCGAAGGAAGGCCAAAGAGTGGTCCAAATATCCACTTGCAGATCCTACAAAAAGAGTGTTTCAAACCTGAACTATCAAAGGAAGTTTCAACTCTGGGATTTGAATGCAAACCTCACGAAGAATTTTGTGAGAATGCTTCCGTTTAGTTAGGTGCAGTTATCCCGTTTCCAACGAAATCCTCAGAGAGGTCCAAATATCCACTCGCAGATTCTATAGAAAGTGTGTTTCAAACCTGCTCCATCCAAAGTAATGTTCAGCTCTGTGTGTTAAACTCAATCATCACAAAGTATTTTCTGAGAATGCTTCTGTCTTGATTTTATGTGAAGCTCTTCCCTTTACTACCATAGTCCTCAAAGCGCTCCAAATCTCCACTAGCAGATTCTACAACAAGAGTGTTTCCAAACTGCTCTGTCAATAGGAATGCTCCACTCCGTGAGGTGAATGCAATCATCACAAAGTAGTTTCTGAGAAGGCTTCTATCTAGTATTTATGTGGAGATATTTCCTTTTCCACCACAAACCTCACAGCCCTCCCAATGTCCACTTGCAGATTCTAGAAAAAGAGTGTTTCATAGCTGCTCTTTCCGAAGGAAAGTTCAACTCTGGAAGTTGAATACAAACATCACCAAGGAGTTCCTGAGAATGCTTCTGTGTAATTTTTATGTGAAGATGATTCCGTTTCCAACGAAACCTTCAAAGAGGTCTGCATGTCCCCTTGCAGATTCCAGAGAAAGAGAGTTTCAAAACTGCGCTCTCAAAAGGAGTGTTCAACTCTGTGAGTTGAATGCAGTCATCACAGAAAAGTTTCTGAGAATGCTTCTGTCTAGATGTTATGTGAAGATATACCCGTTTCGAACGAAGTCCACAGAGTGGTCCGAATATCCACTTGTAGATCCTGCAAAAAGAGTGTTTCCAACCTGAACTTTCAAAGGAAGGTTCAATTCTGGGATTTGAATGCAAACATCACAAGAAGATTCTGAGACTGCTTCTGTTTACTTAGCTGAAATTATCCCGTTTGCAACGAATTCCTCAGACAGGTCCAAATATCCACTTGCAGATTCTACAGAAAGTGTGTTTCGAAACTACTCCATCCCAAGGAAAGTACTGCTCTGTGAGATCAACTCAATCATCCCAGAGAATTTTCTGAGAAAGCTTCTGTCTTGTTTTTATAGGAAGTTATTTCCTTTACTACGATAGGCCTCAAAGAAGTGCAGTTATCCACTTGCAGTTTCTACAAAAAGAGTGTTTCTAACCTGAACTATCAAAGAAAGGTTCAACACTGTGGGTTGAATGCAAACGTCACGAAGAAGGTTCTGAGAATGCTTCTGTTTAGTTCTGTGCGGTGTATCCCGTTTCCAATGAAATCCTCAGGGAGGCCCAAGTATCCGCTTGCAGATCCTACAGATAGTGTGTTTCCAAACTGCTCCATCCAAAGGAATGTTCAGCCCTGTGAGTTAAACTCAGTCGTCACAAAGAGTTTTCTGAGAATGCTGCTGTCTAGTTTTTATATGAAGCTGTTTCCTTTACTACCATAGGCCTCAAAGCGGTCCATATCTCCACTTGCAGATTCTACACAACGAGAGTTTCCAAAGTGCTCTCTGAAAGGGAATGTTCACCTCTGTGACTTGAATGCAATCGTCACAAAGTAGTTTCTGAGAATGCATCTATCTAGTTCTTACGGGAAGATAATTCCTTTTCCACCTCAGGCCTCAAAGCCCTCCAAATATCCACTTGCAGATTCTAGAAAAAGAGTGTTTCAAAGCTTCTCTCTCAAAAGGAAAGTTCAACTCTGTGAGTTGAAAGCAAACATCACAAAGAAGTTTCTGAGAATGCTTCTGTTTAGCTTTTCTGTGAAGATTATCCCGTTTCCAACGAAATCTTCAAAGAGGCCCAAACATCCACTTGCAGATGCCACAGAAAGAGTGTTTGGAAACTGCTGTTTGAAAAGGAACCTTCAACTCTGTGAGTTGAATGCAGTCATCACAAACAAGTTTCTGACAATGCTACTCTCTAGTTTTTATGTGACGATAATTCGTTTTCCACCACAGGCCTGAAAGCTCTCCAAATGTCCACTTGCAGATATTCCGAAAAGCATGTTTCAGAACTGCTCTATGAAAAGCAATGTGAAACTCTGTGAGTTGAACGCAAACATCACAGAGAAGTTTCTGAGAATGCTTCTGTTTAGTTTTTATGTGAAGATATTCCCGTTTCCAAAGACATCTTCAAAGAGGTTCACATATCCACTTGCAGATTCCACAAAAAGAGAGATTCAAAACTGCTTTATCCATAGGAGCGTTCAACTCTGTGAGTTGAACGCAATCACCACAGAGAAGTTTCTGAGAAGGCTTCTGTCTAGATTTTATATGAAGATGTACCCGTTTCGAAGGAAGGCCAAAGAGTGGTCCAAATATCCACTTGCAGATCCTACAAAAAGAGTGTTTCAAACCTGAACTATCAAAGGAAGGTTCAACTCTGGGATTTGAAAGCAAACATCACGAAGAATTTTGTGAGAATGCTTCCGTTTAGTTAGGTGCAGTTATCCCGTTTCCAACGAAATCCTCAGAGAGGTCCAAATATCCACTCGCAGATTCTACAGAAAGTGTGTTTCAAACCTGCTCCATCCAAAGGAATGTTCAGCTCTGTGTGTTAAACTCAATCATCACAAAGTAGTTTCTGAGAATGCTTCTGTCTTGATTTTATGTGAAGCTCTTCCCTTTACTACCATAGGCCTCAAAGCGCTCCAAATCTCCACTAGCAGATTCTACAACAAGAGTGTTTCCAAACTGCTCTGTCAATAGGAATGCTCCACTCCGTGAGGTGAATGCAATCATCACAAAGTAGTTTCTGAGAAGGCTTCTATCTAGTATTTATGTGGAGATATTTCCTTTTCCACCACAAACCTCACAGCCCTCCCAATGTCCACTTGCAGATTCTAGAAAAAGAGTGTTTCATAGCTGCTCTTTCCGAAGGAAAGTTCAACTCTGGAAGTTGAATACAAACATCACCAAGGAGTTCCTGAAGATGCTTCTGTGTAATTTTTATGTGAAGATGATTCCGTTTCCAACGAAACCTTCAAAGAGGTCTGCAAGTCCCCTTGCAGATTCCAGAGAAAGAGAGTTTCAAAACTGCGCTCTCAAAAGGAGTGTTCAACTCTGTGAGTTGAATGCAGTCATCACAGAAAAGTTTCTGAGAATGCTTCTGTCTAGATGTTATGTGAAGATATACCCGTTTCGAACGAAGTCCACAGAGTGGTCCGAATATCCACTTGTAGATCCTGCAGAAAGAGTGTTTCCAACCTGAACTTTCAAAGGAAGGTTCAATTCTGGGATTTGAAGGCAAACATCACAAGAAGATTCTGAGATTGCTTCTGTTTACTTAGCTGAAATTATCCCGTTTGCAACGAATTCCTCAGACAGGTCCAAATATCCACTTGCAGATTCTACAGAAAGTGTGTTTCGAAACTACTCCATCCCAAGGAAAGTACTGCTCTGTGAGTTCAACTCAATCATCCCAGAGAATTTTCTGAGAAAGCTTCTGTCTTGTTTTTATATGAAGTTATTTCCTTTACTAGGATAGGCCTCAAAGAAGTGCAATTATCCACTTGCAGTTTCTACAAAAAGAGTGTTTCAAACCCGAAGTATCAAGGAAAGGTTCAACGCTGTGAGTTGAACGCAAACATCACGAAGAATGTTCTGAGAATGCTTCTGTTTATTTCTGTGCGGTTTATCCCGTTTCCAGCGAAATCCTCAGAGAGGCCCAAATATCCACTGGCAGATTCTACAAGTAGTGTGTTTCGAAACTGCTCCATCCAAAGGAATGTTCAGCCCTGTGAGTTAAACTCAGTCGTCACAAAGAGTTTTGCTGAGAATGCTAGCTGTCTAGTTTTTATATGAAGCTGTTTCCTTTACTACCATAGGCCTCAAAGCAGTCCATATCTCCACTTGCAGATTCTACACAACGAGAGTTTCCAAAGTGCTCTCTGAAAGGGAATGTTCACCTCTGTGACTTGAATGCAATCGTCACAAAGTAGTTTCTGAGAATGCATCTACCTAGTTCTTACGGGAAGATAATTCCTTTTCCACCTCAGGCCTCAAAGCCCTCCAAATATCCACTTGCAGATTCTAGAAAAAGAGTGTTTCAAAGCTTCTCTCTCAAAAGGAAAGTTCAACTCTGTGAGTTGAAAGCAAACATCACAAAGAAGTTTCTGAGAATGCTTCTGTTTAGCTTTTCTGTGAAGATTATCCCGTTTCCAACGAAATCTTCAAAGAGGCCCAAACATCCACTGCAGATGCCACAGAAAGAGTGTTTGGAAACTGCTGTTTGAAAAGGAACCTTCAACTCTGTGAGTTGAATGCAGTCATCACAAACAAGTTTCTGACAATGCTTCTCTCTAGTTTTTACGTGACGATAATTCGTTTTCCACCACAGGCCTGAAAGCTCTCCAAATGTCCACTTGCAGACCCTACGAAAAGCATGTTTCTCATCTGCTCTATGAAAAGCAACGTAAAACTCTGTGAGTTGAAGACAAACATCACAGAGAAGTTTCTGAGAATGCTTCTGTTTAGTTTTAATGTGAAGATATTCCCGTTTCCAAAGACATCTTCAAAGAGGACCACATATCCACTTGCAGATTCCACAAAAAGAGAGATTCAAAACTGCTCTATCCATAGGAGGGTTCAACTCTTTGAGTTGAATGCAATCGTCACAGAGAAGTTTCTGAGAAGGCTTCTGTCTAGTTTTCATTTGAAGATGTACCCGTTTCGAACGAAGGCCAAAGAGTCGTCCAAATATCCACTTGCAGAACCTACAAAAAGAATGTTTCAAAGCTGAACTATCAAAGGAAGGTTCAACTCTGGGATTTGAATGCAAACATCACAAAGAATTTTGTGAGAATGCTTCCATTTAGTTAGGTGCAGTTATCCCGTTTCCAACGAAATCCTCAGAGAGGTCCAAATATCCACTCGCAGATTCTATAGAAAGTGTGTTTCAAACCTGCTCCATCGCAAAGGTAATGTTCAGCTCTGTGTGTTAAACTCAATCATCACAAAGTATTTTCTGAGAATGCTTCTGTCTAGATTTTATGTGAAGCTCTTCCCTTTACTACCATAGGCCTCAAAGCGCTCCAAACCTCCACTAGGAGATTCTACAAGAAGAGTGTTTCCAAACTGCTCTGTCAATAGGAATGCTCCACTCTGTGAGGTGAATGCAATCATCACAAAGTAGTTTCTGAGAAGGCTTCTATCTAGTATTTATGTGGAGATATTTCCATTTCCACCACAAACCTCACAGCCCTCCCAATGTCCACTTGCAGATTCTAGAAAAAGAGTGTTTCATAGCTGCTCTTTCCGAAGGAAAGTTCAACTCTGGAAGTTGAATACAAACATCACCAAGGAGTTCCTGAGAATGCTTCTGTGTAATTTTTATGTGGAGATGATTCCGTTTCCAACGAAACCTTCAAAGACGTCTGCATGTCCCCTTGCAGATTCCAGAGAAAGAGAGTTTCAAAACTGCGCTCTCAAAAGGAGTGTTCAACTCTGTGAGTTGAATGCAGTCATCACAGAAAAGTTTCTGAGAATGCTTCTGTCTAGATGTTATGTGAAGATATACCCGTTTCGAACGAAGTCCACAGAGTGGACCGAATATCCACTTGTAGACCCTGCAAAAAGAGTGTTTCCAGCCTGAACTTTCAAAGGAAGGTTCAATTCTGGGATTTGAATGCAAACATCACAAGAAGATTCTGAGACTGATTCTGTTTACTTAGCTGAAATTATCCCGTTTGCAACGAATTCCTCAGACAGGTCCAAATATCCACTTGCAGATTCTACAGAAAGTGTGTTTCGAAACTACTCCATCCCAAGGAAAGTACTGCTCTGTGAGTTCAACTCAATCATCCCAGAGAATTTTCTGAGAAAGCTTCTGTCTTGTTTTTATGGGAAGTTATTTCCTTTACTACGATAGGCCTCAAAGAAGTGCAGTTATCCACTTGCAGTTTCTACAAAAAGAGTGTTTCAAACCTGAACTATCAAAGAAAGGTTCAACACTGTGGGTTGAATGCAAACGTCACGAAGAAGGTTCTGAGAATGCTTCTGTTTAGTTCTGTGCGGTTTATCCCGTTTCCAACGAAATCCTCAGAGAGGCCCAAGTATCCGCTTGCAGATCCTAGAGATAGTGTGTTTCCAAACTGCTCCATCGAAAGGAATGTTCAGCCCTTTGAGTTAAACTCAGTCGTCACAAAGAGTTTTCTGAGAATGCTGCTGTCTAGTTTTTATATGAAGCTGTTTCCTTTACTACCATAGGCCTCAAAGCGGTCCATATCTCCACTTGCAGATTCTACACAACGAGAGTTTCCAAAGTGCTCTGTGAAAGGGAATGTTCACCTCTGTGACTTGAATGCAATCGTCACAAAGTAGTTTCTGAGAATGCATCTATCTAGTTCTTACGGGAAGATAATTCCTTTTCCACCTCAGGCCTCAAAGCCCTCCAAATATCCACTTGCAGATTCTAGAAAAAGAGTGTTTCAAAGCTTCTCTCTCAAAAGGAATGTTCAACTCTGTGAGTTGAAAGCAAACATCACAAAGAAGTTTCTGAGAATGCTTCTGTTTAGCTTTTCTGTGAAGATTATCCCGTTTCCAACGAAATCTTCAAAGAGGCCCAAACATCCACTTGCAGATGCCACAGAAAGAGTGTTTGGAAACTGCTGTTTGAAAAGGAACCTTCAACTCTGTGAGTTGAATGCAGTCATCACAAACAAGTTTCTGACAATGCTTCCCTCTAGTTTTTACGTGACGATAATTCGTTTTCCACCACAGGCTTGAAATCTCTCCAAATGTCCACTTGCAGACCCTACGAAAAGCATGTTTCTCATCTGCTCTATGAAAAGCAACGTGAAACTCTGTGATTTGGACACAAACATCACAGAGAAGTTTCTGAGAATGCTTCTGTTTAGTTTTTATGTGAAGATATTCCCGTTTCCAAAGACATCTTCAAAGAGGACCACATATACACTTGCAGATTCCACAAAAAGAGAGATTCAAAACTGCCCTATCCATAGGAGGGTTCAACGCCTTGAGTTGAATGCAATCATCACAGAGAAGTTTCTGAGAAGGCTTCTGTCTAGATTTTATATGAAGATGTACCCGTTTCGAAGGAAGGCCAAAGTGTGGTCCAAATATCCACTTGCAGATCCTACAAAAAGAGTGTTTCAAAGCTGAACTATCAAAGGAAGGTTCAACTCTGGGATTTGAATGCAAACATCACGAAGAATTTTGTGAGAATGCTTCCGTTTAGTTAGGTGCAGTTATCCCGTTTCCAACGAAATCCTCAGAGAGGTCCAAATATCCACTCGCAGATTCTATAGAAAGTGTGTTTCAAACCTGCTCCATCCAAAGTAATGTTCAGCTCTGTGTGTTAAACTCAATCATCACAAAGTATTTTCTGAGAATGCTTCTGTCTAGATTTTATGTGAAGCTCTTCCCTTTACTACCATAGGCCTCAAAGCGCTCCAAATCTCCACTAGCCTATTCTACAACAAGAGTGTTTCCAAACTGCTCTGTCAATAGGAATGCTCAACTCCGTGAGGTGAATGCAATCATCACAAAGTAGTTTCTGAGAAGGCTTCTATCTAGTATTTATGTGGAGATATTTCCTTTTCCACCACAAACCTCACAGCCCTCCCAATGTCCACTTGCAGATTCTAGAAAAAGAGTGTTTCATAGCTGCTCTTTCCGAAGGAAAGTTCAACTCTGGAAGTTGAATACAAACATCACCAAGGAGTTCCTGAGGATGCTTCTGTGTAATTTTTATGTGAAGATGATTCCGTTTCCAACGAAACCTTCAAAGAGGTCTGCATGTCCCCTTGCAGATTCCAGAGAAAGAGAGTTTCAAAACTGCGCTCTCAAAAGCAGTGTTCAACTCTGTGAGTTGAATGCAGTCATCACAGAAAAGTTTCTGAGAATGCTTCTGTCTAGATGTTATGTGAAGATATACCCGTTTCGAACGAAGTCCACAGAGTGGTCCGAATATCCACTTGTAGATCCTGCAAAAAGAGTGTTTCCAACCTGAACTTTCAAAGGAAGGTTCAATTCTGGGATTTGAATGCAAACATCACAAGAAGATTCTGAGACTGCTTCTGTTTACTTAGCTGAAATTATCCCGTTTGCAACGAATTCCTCAGACAGGTCCAAATATCCACTTGCAGATTCTACAGAAAGTGTGTTTCGAAACTACTCCATCCCAAGGAAAGTACTGCTCTGGTGAGTTCAACTCAATCATCCCAGAGAATTTTCTGAGAAAGCTTCTGTCTTGTTTTTATAGGAAGTTATTTCCTTTACTACGATAGGCCTCAAAGAAGTGCAGTTATCCACTTGCAGTTTCTACAAAAAGAGTGTTTCAAACCTGCACTATCAAAGAAAGGTTCAACACTGTGGGTTGAATGCAAACATCACGAAGAAGGTTCTGAGAATGCTTCTGTTTAGTTCTGTGCGTTTTATCCCGTTTCCAACGAAATCCTCAGAGAGGCCCAAGTATCCGCTTGCAGATCCTACAGATAGTGTGTTTCCAAACTGCTCCATCCAAAGGAATGTTCAGCCCTGTCAGTTAAACTCAGTCGTCACAAAGAGTTTTCTGAGAATGCTGCTGTCTAGTTTTTATATGAAGCTGTTTCCTTTACTACCATAGGCCTCAAAGCGGTCCATATCTCCACTTGCAGATTCTACACAACGAGAGTTTCCAAAGTGCTCTGTGAAAGGGAATGTTCACCTCTGTGACTTGAATGCAATCGTCACAAAGTAGTTTCTGAGAATGCATCTATCTAGTTCTTACGGGAAGATAATTCCTTTTCCACCACAGGCCTCAAAGCCCTCCAAATATCCACTTGCAGATTCTAGAAAAAGAGTGTTTCAAAGCTTCTCTCTCAAAAGGAAAGTTCAACTCTGTGAGTTGAAAGCAAACATCACAAAGAAGTTTCTGAGAATGCTTCTGTTTAGCTTTTCTGTGAAGATTATCCCGTTTCCAACGAAATCTTCAAAGAGGCCCAAACATCCACTTGCAGATGCCACAGAAAGAGTGTTTGGAAACTGCTGTTTGAAAAGGAACCTTCAACTCTGTGAGTTGAATGCAGTCATCACAAACAAGTTTCTGAAAATGCTTCTCTCTAGTTTTTACGTGACGATAATTCGTTTTCCACCACAGGCCTGAAAGCTCTCCAAATGTCCACTTGCAGACCCTACGAAAAGCATGTTTCTCATCTGCTCTATGAAAAGCAACGTGAAACTCTGTGAGTTGAACACAAACATCACAGAGAAGTTTCTGAGAATGCTTCTGTTTAGTTTTTATGTGAAGATATTCCCGTTTCCACAGACATCTTCAAAGAGGACCACATATCCACTTGCAGATTCCACAAAAAGAGAGATTCAAAACTGCTCTATCCATAGGAGGGTTCAACTCTCTGAGTTGAATGCAATCGTCACAGAGAAGTTTCTGAGAAGGCTTCTGTCTAGATTTTATTTGAAGATGTACCCTTTTCGAACGAAGGCCAAAGAGTGGTCCAAATATCCACCTGCAGATCCTACAAAAAGAGTGTTTCAAAACTGAACTATCAAAGGAAGGTTCAACTCTGGGATTTGAATGCAAACATCACAAAGAATTTTGTGAGAATGCTTCCGTTTAGTTAGGTGCAGTTATCCCGTTTCCAACGAAATCCTCAGAGAGGTCCAAATATCCACTCGCAGATTCTACAGAAAGTGTGTTTCAAACCTTCTCCATCCAAAGGAATGTTCAGCTCTGTGTGTTAAACTCAATCATCACAAAGTATTTTCTGAGAATGCTTCTGTCTTGATTTTATGTGAAGCTCTTCCCTTTACTACCATAGGCCTCAAAGCGCTCCAAATCTCCACTAGCAGATTCTACAACAAGAGTGTTTCCAAACTGCTCTGTCAATAGGAATGCTCTACACCGTGAGGTGAATGCAATCATCACAAAGTAGTTTCTGAGAAGGCTTCTATCTAGTATTTATGTGGAGATATTTCCTTTTCCACCACAAACCTCACAGCCCTCCCAATGTCCACTTGCAGATTCTAGAAAAAGAGTGTTTCATAGCTGCTCTTTCCGAAGGAAAGTTCAACTCTGGAAGTTGAATACAAACATCACCAAGGAGTTCCTGAGGATGCTTCTGTGTAATTTTTATGTGAAGATGATTCCGTTTCCAACGAAATCTTCAAAGAGGTCTGCATGTCCCCTTGCAGATTCCAGAGAAAGAGAGTTTCAAAACTGCGCTCTCAAAAGGAGTGTTCAACTCTGTGAGTTGAATGCAGTCATCACAGAAAAGTTTCTGAGAATGCTTCTGTCTAGATGTTATGTGAAGATATACCCGTTTCGAACGAAGTCCACAGAGTGGTCTGAATATCCACTTGTAGATCCTGCAAAAAGAGTGTTTCCAACCTGAACTTTCAAAGGAAGGTTCAATTCTGGGATTTGAATGCAAACATCACAAGAAGATTCTGAGACTGCTTCTGTTTACTTAGCTGAAATTATCCTGTTTGCAACGAATTCCTCATACAGGTCCAAATATCCACTTGCAGATTCTACAGAAAGTGTGTTTTGAAACTACTCCATCCCAAGGAAAGTACTGCTCTGTGAGTTCAACTCAATCATCCCAGAGAATTTTCTGAGAAAGCTTCTGTCTTGTTTTTATAGGAAGTTATTTCCTTTACTACGATAGGCCTCAAAGAAGTGCAGTTATCCACTTGCAGTTTCTACAAAAAGAGTGTTTCAAACCTGAACTATCAAAGAAAGGTTCAACACTGTGGGTTGAATGCAAACATCACGAAGAAGGTTCTGAGAATGCTTCTGTTTAGTTCTGTGCGGTTTATCCCGTTTCCAACGAAATCCTCAGGGAGGCCCAAGTATCCGCTTGCAGATCCTACAGATAGTGTGTTTCCAAACTGCTCCATCCAAAGGAATGTTCAGCCCTGTGAGTTAAACTCAGTCGTCACAAACAGTTTTCTGAGAATGCTGCTGTCTAGTTTTTATATGAAGCTGTTTCCTTTACTACCATAGGCCTCAAAGCGGTCCATATCTCCACTTGCAGATTCTACACAACGAGAGTTTCCAAAGTGCTCTCTGAAAGGGAATGTTCACCTCTGTGACTTGAATGCAATCGTCACAAAGTAGTTTCTGAGAATGCATCTATCTAGTTCTTACGGGAAGATAATTCCTTTTCCACCACAGGCCTCAAAGCCCTCCAAATATCCACTTGCAGATTCTAGAAAAAGAGTGTTTCAAAGCTTCTCTCTCAAAAGGAAAGTTCAACTCTGTGAGTTGAAAGCAAACATCACAAAGAAGTTTCTGAGAATGCTTCTGTTTAGCTTTTCTGTGAAGATTATCCCGTTTCCAACGAAATCTTCAAAGAGGCCCAAACATCCACTTGCAGATGCCACAGAAAGAGTGTTTGGAAACTGCTGTTTGAAAAGGAACCTTCAACTCTGTGAGTTGAATGCAGTCATCACAAACAAGTTTCTGACAATGCTTCTCTCTAGTTTTTACGTGACGATAATTCGTTTTCCACCACAGGCCTGAAAGCTCTCCAAATGTCCACTTGCAGACCCTACGAAAAGCATGTTTCTCATCTGCTCTATGAAAAGCAACGTGAAACTCTGTGAGTTGAACACAAACATCACAGAGAAGTTTCTGAGAATGCTTCTGTTTAGTTTTAATATGAAGATATTCCCGTTTCCAAAGACATCTTCAAAGAGGACCACATATCCACTTGCAGATTCCACAAAAAGAGAGATTCAAAACTGCTCTATCCTTAGGAGGGTTCAACGCTTTGAGTTGAATGCAATCGTCACAGAGAAGTTTCTGAGAAGGCTTCTGTCTAGATTTTATTTGAATATGTACCCGTTTCGAACGAAGGCCAAAGAGTGGTCCAAATATCCACTTGCAGATCCTACAAAAAGAGTGTTTCAAAGCTGAACTATCAAAGGAAGGATCAACTCTGGGATTTGAATGCAAACATCACAAAGAATTTTGTGAGAATGCTTCCGTTTAGTTAGGTGCAGTTATCCCGTTTCCAACGAAATCCTCAGAGAGGTCCAAATATCCACTCGCAGATTCTACAGAAAGTGTGTTTCAAACCTTCTCCATCCAAAGGAATGTTCAGCTCTGTGTGTTAAACTCAATCATCACAAAGTATTTTCTGAGAATGCTTCTGTCTAGATTTCATGTGAAGCTCTTCCCTTTACTACCATAGGCCTCAAAGCGCTCCAAACCTCCACTAGCCGATTCTACAAGAAGAGTGTTTCCAAACTGCTCTGTCAATAGGAATGCTCCACTCCGTGAGGTGAATGCAATCATGACAAAGTAGTTTCTGAGAAGGCTTCTATCTAGTATTTATGTGGAGATATTTCCTTTTCCACCACAAACCTCACAGCCCTCCCAATGTCCACTTGCAGATTCTAGAAAAAGAGTGTTTCATAGCTGCTCTTTCCGAAGGAAAGTTCAACTCTGGAAGTTGAATACAAACATCACCAAGGAGTTCCTGAGGATGCTTCTGTGTAATTTTTATGTGAAGATGATTCCGTTTCCAACGAAACCTTCAAAGAGGTCTGCATGTCCCCTTGCAGATTCTAGAGAAAGAGAGTTTCAAAACTGCGCTCTCAAAAGGTGTGTTCAACTCTGTGAGTTGAATGCAGTCATCACAGAAAAGTTTCTGAGAATGCTTCTGTGTAGATGTTATATGAAGATATACCCGTTTCGATCGAAGTCCACAGAGTGGTCCGAATATCCACTTGTAGATCCTGCAAAAAGAGTGTTTCAAACCTGAACTTTCAAAGAAGGTTCAATTCTGGGATTTGAATGCAAACATCACAAGAAGATTCTGAGACTGCTTCTGTTTACTTAGCTGAAATTATCCCTTTTGCAAAGAATTCCTCAGACAGGTCCAAATATCCACTTGCAGATTCTACAGAAAGTGTGTTTCGAAACTACTCCATCCCAAGGAAAGTACTGCTCTGTGAGTTCAACTCAATCATCCCAGAGAATTTTCTGAGAAAGCTTCTGTCTTGTTTTTATAGGAAGTTATTTCCTTTACTACGATAGGCCTCAAAGAAGTGCAGTTATCCACTTGCAGTTTCTACAAAAAGAGTGTTTCAAACCTGAACTATCAAAGAAAGGTTCAACACTGTGGGTTGAATGCAAACGTCACGAAGAAGGTTCTGAGAATGCTTCTCTTTAGTTCTGTGCGGTTTATCCCGTTTCCAACGAAATCCTCAGGGAGGCCCAAGTATCCGCTTGCAGATCCTACAGATAGTGTGTTTCCAAACTGCTCCATCCAAAGGAATGTTCAGCCCTGTGAGTTAAACTCAGTCGTCACAAAGAGTTTTCTGAGAATGCTGCTGTCTAGTTTTTATATGAAGCTGTTTCCTTTACTACCATAGGCCTCAAAGCGGTCCATATCTCCACTTGCAGATTCTACACAACGAGAGTTTCCAAAGTGCTCTGTGAAAGGGAATGTTCACCTCTGTGACTTGAATGCAATCGTCACAAAGTAGTTTCTGAGAATGCATCTATCTAGTTCTTACGGGAAGATAATTCCTTTTCCACCTCAGGCCTCAAAGCCCTCCAAATATCCACTTGCAGATTCTAGAAAAAGAGTGTTTCAAAGCTTCTCTCTCAAAAGGAAAGTTCAACTCTGTGAGTTGAAAGCAAACATCACAAAGAAGTTTCTGAGAATGCTTCTGTTTAGCTTTTCTGTGAAGAGTATCCCGTTTCCAACGAAATCTTCAAAGAGGCCCAAACATCCACTTGCAGATGCCACAGAAAGAGTGTTTGGAAACTGCTGTTTGAAAAGGAACCTTCAACTACTGTGAGTTGAATGCAGTCATCACAAACAAGTTTCTGACAATGCTTCCCTCTAGTTTTTACGTGACGATAATTCGTTTTCCACCACAGGCCTGAAATCTCTCCAAATGTCCACTTGCAGACCCTACGAAAAGCATGTTTCTCATCTGCTCTATGAAAAGCAACGTGAAACTCTGTGAGTTGAACACAAACATCACAGAGAAGTTTCTGAGAATGCTTCTGTTTAGTTTTTATGTGAAGATATTCCCGTTTCCAAAGACATCTTCAAAGAGGACCACATATCCACTTGCAGATTCCACAAAAAGAGAGATTCAAAACTGCTCTATCCATAGGAGGGTTCAACGCTTTGAGTTGAATGCAATCGTCACAGAGAAGTTTCTGAGAAGGCTTCTGTCTAGATTTTATTTGAATATGTACCCGTTTCGAACGAAGGCCAAAGAGTGGTCCAAATATCCACTTGCAGATCCTACAAAAAGAGTGTTTCAAAGCTGAACTATCAAAGGAAGGATCAACTCTGGGATTTGAATGCAAACATCACAAAGAATTTTGTGAGAATGCTTCCGTTTAGTTAGGTGCAGTTATCCCGTTTCCAACGAAATCCTCAGAGACGTCCAAATATCCACTCGCAGATTCTACAGAAAGTGTGTTTCAAACCTTCTCCATCCAAAGGAATGTTCAGCTCTGTGTGTTAAACTCAATCATCACAAAGTATTTTCTGAGAATGCTTCTGTCTAGATTTTACGTGAAGCTCTTCCTTTTACTACCATAGGTCTCAAAGCGCTCCAAATCTCCACTAGCAGATTCTACAACAAGAGTGTTTCCAACTGCTCTGTCAATAGGAATGCTCCACTCCGTGAGGTGAATGCAATCATCACAAAGTAGTTTCTGAGAAGGCTTCTATCTAGTATTTATGTGGAGATATTTCCTTTTCCACCACAAACCTCACACCCTCCCAATGTCCACTTGCAGATTCTAGAAAGAGAGTGTTTCATAGCTGCTCTTTCCGAAGGAAAGTTCAACTCTGGAAGTTGAATACAAACATCACCAAGGAGTTCCTGAGGATGCCTCTGTGTAATTTTTATGTGAAGATGATTCCGTTTCCAACGAAACCTTCAAAGAGGTCTGCATGTCCCCTTGCAGATTCCAGAGAAAGAGAGTTTCAAAACTGCGCTCTCAAAAGGAGTGTTCAACTCTGTGAGTTGAATGCAGTCATCACAGAAAAGTTTCTGAGAATGCTTCTGTCTAGATGTTATGTGAAGATATACCCGTTTCGAACGAAGTCCACAGAGTGGTCCGAATATCCACTTGTAGATCCTGCATAAAGAGTGTTTCCAACCTGAACTTTCAAAGGAAGGTTCAATTCTGGGATTTGAATGCAAACATCACAAGAAGTTTCTGAGACTGCTTCTGTTTACTTAGCTGAAATTATCCCGTTTGCAACGAATTCCTCAGACAGGTCCAAATATCCACTTGCAGATTGTACAGAAAGTGTGTTTCGAAACTACTCCATCCCAAAGAAAGTACTGCTCTGTGAGTTCAACTCAATCATCCCAGAGAATTTTCTGAGAAAGCTTCTGTCTTGTTTTTATAGGAAGTTATTTCCTTTACTACGATAGGCCTCAAAGAAGTGCAGTTATCCACTTGCAGTTTCTACAAAAACAGTGTTTCAAACCTGAACTATCAAAGAAAGGTTCAACACTGTGGGTTGAATGCAAACATCACGAAGAAGGTTCTGAGAATGCTTCTGTTTAGTTCTGTGCGGTTTATCCCGTTTCCAACGAAATCCTCAGGGAGGCCCAAGTATCCGCTTGCAGATCCTACAGATAGTGTGTTTCCAAACTGCTCCATCCAAAGGAATGTTCAGCCCTGTGAGTTAAACTCAGTCGTCACAAAGAGTTTTCTGAGAATGCTGCTGTCTAGTTTTTATATGAAGCTGTTTCCTTTACTACCATAGGCCTCAAAGCGGTCCATATCTCCACTTGCAGATTCTACACAACGAGAGTTTCCAAAGTGCTCTCTGAAAGGGAATGTTCACCTGTGTGACTTTAATGCAATCGTCACAAAGTAGTTTCTGAGAATGCATCTATCTAGTTCTTACGGGAAGATAATTCCTTTTCCACCTCAGGCCTCAAAGCCCTCCAAATATCCACTTGCAGATTCTAGAAAAAGAGTGTTTCAAAGCTTCTCTCTCAAAAGGAAAGTTCAACTCTGTGAGTTGAAAGCAAACATCACAAAGAAGTTTCTGAGAATGCTTCTGTTTAGCTTTTCTGTGAAGATTATCCCGTTTCCAACGAAATCTTCAAAGAGGCCCAAACATCCACTTGCAGATGCCACAGAAAGAGTGTTTGGAAACTGCTGTTTGAAAAGGAACCTTCAACTCTGTGAGTTGAATGCAGTCATCACAAACAAGTTTCTGACAATGCTTCTCTCTAGTTTTTACGTGACGATAATTCGTTTTCCACCACAGGCCTGAAATCTCTCCAAATGTCCACTTGCAGACCCTACGAAAAGCATGTTTCTCATCTGCTCTATGAAAAGCAACGTGAAACTCTTTGAGTTGGACACAAACATCACAGAGAAGTTTCTGAGAATGCTTCTGTTTAGTTTTTATGTGAAGATATTCCCGTTTCCAAAGACATCTTCAAAGAGGACCACATATCCACTTGCAGATTCCACAAAAAGAGAGATTCAAAACTGCCCTATCCATAGGAGGGTTCAACGCCTTCAGTTGAATGCAATCATCACAGAGAAGTTTTCTGAGAAGGCTTCTGTCTAGATTTTATTTGAAGATGTACCCGTTTCGAACGAAGGCCAAAGAGTGGTCCAAATATCCACCTGCAGAACCTACAAAAAGAGTGTTTCAAAGCTGAACTATCAAAGGAAGGTTCAACTCTGGGATTTGAATGCAAACATCACAAAGAATTTTGTGAGAATGCTTCCGTTTAGTTAGGTGCAGTTATCCCGTTTCCAACGAAATCCTCAGAGAGGTCCAAATATCCACTCGCAGATTCTACAGAAAGTGTGTTTCAAACCTTCTCCATCCAAAGGAATGTTCAGCTCTGTGTGTTAAACTCAATCATCACAAAGTATTTTCTGAGAATGCTTCTGTCTAGATTTTATG
Organism: Homo sapiens; assembly: GCF_000001405.40. Taxonomy (NCBI): domain Eukaryota; kingdom Metazoa; phylum Chordata; class Mammalia; order Primates; family Hominidae; genus Homo; species Homo sapiens. The sequence continues at coordinate 22,901,035 of NC_000017.11, read as the reverse complement.
TGAAGCTCTTCCCTTTACTACCATAGGCCTCAAAGCGCTCCAAATCTCCACTAGGAGATTCTACAACAAGAGTGTTTCCAAACTGCTCTGTCAATAGGAGTGCTCAACTCCGTGAGGTGAATGCAATCATCACAAAGGAGTTTCTGAGAAGGCTTCTATCTAGTATTTATGTGGAGATATTTCCTTTTCCACCACAAACCTCACAGCCCTCCCAATGTCCACTTGCAGATTCTAGAAAAAGAGTGTTTCATAGCTGCTCTTTCCGAAGGAAAGTTCAACTCTGGAAGTTGAATACAAACATCACCAAGGAGTTCCTGAAGATGCTTCCGTGTAATTTTTATGTGAAGATGATTCCGTTTCCAACGAAACCTTCAAAGAGGTCTGCATGTCCCCTTGCAGATTCCAGAGAAAGAGAGTTTCAAAACTGCGCTCTCAAAAGGAGTGTTCAACTCTGTGAGTTGAATGCAGTCATCACAGAAAAGTTTCTGAGAATGCTTCTGTCTAGATGTTATGTGAAGATATACCCGTTTCGAACGAAGTCCACAGAGTGGTCCGAATATCCACTTGTAGATCCTGCAAAAAGAGTGTTTCCAACCTGAACTTTCAAAGGAAGGTTCCATTCTGGGATTTGAATGCAAACATCACAAGAAGATTCTGAGACTGCTTCTGTTTACTTAGCTGAAATTATCCCGTTTGCAACGAATTCCTCAGACAGGTCCAAATATCCACTTGCAGATTCTACAGAAAGTGTGTTTCGAAACTACTCCATCCCAAGGAAAGTACTGCTCTGTGAGTTCAACTCAATCATCCCAGAGAATTTTCTGAGAAAGCTTCTGTCTTGTTTTTATAGGAAGTTATTTCCTTTACTACGATAGGCCTCAAAGAAGTGCAGTTATCCACTTGCAGTTTCTACAAAAAGAGTGTTTCAAACCTGAACTATCAAAGAAAGGTTCAACACTGTGCGTTGAATGTAAACGTCACGAAGAAGGTTCTGAGAATGCTTCTGTTTAGTTCTGTGTGGTTTATCCCGTTTCCAACGAAATCCTCATGGAGGCCCAAGTATCCGCTTGCAGATCCTACAGATAGTGTGTTTCCAAACTGCTCCATCCAAAGGAATGTTCAGCCCTGTGAGTTAAACTCAGTCGTCACAAAGAGTTTTCTGAGAATGCTGCTGTCTAGTTTTTATATGAAGCTGTTTCCTTTACTACCATAGGCCTCAAAGCAGTCCATATCTCCACTTGCAGATTCTACACAACGAGAGTTTCCAAAGTGCTCTCTGAAAGGGAATGTTCACCTCTGTGACTTGAATGCAATCGTCACAAAGTAGTTTCTGAGAATGCATCTATCTAGTTCTTATGGGAAGATAATTCCTTTTCCACCACAGGCCTCAAAGCCCTCCAAATATCCACTTGCAGATTCTAGAAAAAGAGTGTTTCAAAGCTTCTCTCTCAAAAGGAAAGTTCAACTCTGTGAGTTGAAAGCAAACATCACAAAGAAGTTTCTGAGAATGCTTCTGTTTAGCTTTTCTGTGAAGATTATCCCGTTTCCAACGAAATCTTCAAAGAGGCCCAAACATCCACTTGCAGATGCCACAGAAAGAGTGTTTGGAAACTGCTGTTTGAAAAGGAACCTTCAACTCTGTGAGTTGAATGCAGTCATCACAAACAAGTTTCTGACAATGCTTCTCTCTAGTTTTTACGTGACGATAATTCGTTTTCCACCACAGGCCTGAAATCTCTCCAAATGTCCACTTGCAGACCCTACGAAAAGCATGTTTCTCATCTGCTCTATGAAAAGCAACGTGAAACTCTGTGAGTTGAACACAAACATCACAGAGAAGTTTCTGAGAATGCTTCTGTTTAGTTTTTATGTGAAGATATTCCCGTTTCCAAAGACATCTTCAAAGAGGACCACATATCCACTTGCAGATTCCACAAAAAGAGAGATTCAAAACTGCTCTATCCATAGGAGGGTTCAACGCTTTGAGTTGAATGCAATCGTCACAGAGAAGTTTCTGAGAAGGCTTCTGTCTAGATTTTATTTGAAGATGTACCCTTTTCGAACGAAGGCCAAAGAGTGGTCCAAATATCCACCTGCAGATCCTACAAAAAGAGTGTTTCAAAGCTGAACTATCAAAGGAAGGTTCAACTCTGGGATTTGAATGCAAACATCACAAAGAATTTTGTGAGAATGCTTCCGTTTAGTTAGGTGCAGTTATCCCGTTTCCAACAAAATCCTCAGAGAGGTCCAAATATCCACTCGCAGATTCTACAGAAAGTGTGTTTCAAACCTTCTCCATCCAAAGGAATGTTCAGCTCTGTGTGTTAAACTCAATCATCACAAAGTATTTTCTGAGAATGCTTCTGTCTAGATTTTATGTGAAGCTCTTCCCTTTACTACCATAGGCCTCAAAGCGCTCCAAATCTCCACTAGCCGATTCTACAAGAAGAGTGTTTCCAAACTGCTCTGTCAATAGGAATGCTCCAATCCGTGAGGTGAATGCAATCATCACAAAGTAGTTTCTGAGAAGGTTTCTATCTAGTATTTATGTGGAGATATTTCCTTTTCCACCACAAACCTCACAGCCCTCCCAATGTCCACTTGCAGATTCTAGAAAAAGAGTGTTTCATAGCTGCTCTTTCCGAAGGAAAGTTCAACTCTGGAAGTTGAATACAAACATCACCAAGGAGTTCCTGAGGATGCTTCTGTGTAATTTTTATGTGAAGATGATTCCGTTTCCAATGAAACCTTCAAAGAGGTCTGCATGTCCCCTTGCAGATTCCAGAGAAAGAGAGTTTCAAAACTGCGCTCTCAAAAGGAGTGTTCAACTCTGTGAGTTGAATGCAGTCATCACAGAAAAGTTTCTGAGAATGCTTCTGTCTAGATGTTATGTGAAGATATACCCGTTTCGAACGAAGTCCACAGAGTGGTCCGAATATCCACTTGTAGATCCTGCAAAAAGAGTGTTTCCAACCTGAACTTTCAAAGGAAGGTTCAATTCTGGGATTTGAATGCAACCATCACAAGAAGATTCTGAGACTGCTTCTGTTTACTTAGCTGAAATTATCCCGTTTGCAACGAATTCCTCAGACAGGTCCAAATATCCACTTGCAGATTCTACAGAAAGTGTGTTTCGAAACTACTCCATCCCAAGGAAAGTACTGCTCTGTGAGTTCAACTCAATCATCGCAGAGAATTTTCTGAGAAAGCTTCTGTCTTGTTTTTATAGGAAGTTATTTCCTTTACTACGATAGGCCTCAAAGAAGTGCAGTTATCCACTTGCAGTTTCTACAGAAAGAGTGTTTCAAACCTGAACTATCAAAGAAAGGTTCAACACTGTGGGTTGAATGCAAACATCACGAAGAAGGTTCTGAGAATGCTTCTGTTTAGTTCTGTGCGGTTTATCCCGTTTCCAACGAAATCCTCAGGGAGGCCCAAGTATCCGCTTGCAGATCCTACAGATAGTGTGTTTCCAAACTGCTCCATCCAAAGGAATGTTCAGCCCTGTGAGTTAAACTCAGTCGTCACAAAGAGTTTTCTGAGAATGCTGCTGTCTAGTTTTTATATGAAGCTGTTTCCTTTACTACCATAGGCCTCAAAGCGGTCCATATCTCCACTTGCAGATTCTACACAACGAGAGTTTCCAAAGTGCTCTCTGAAAGGGAATGTTCACCTCTGTGACTTGAATGCAATCGTCACAAAGTAGTTTCTGAGAATGCATCTATCTAGTTCTTACGGGAAGATAATTCCTTTTCCACCTCAGGCCTCAAAACCCTCCAAATATCCTCTTGCAGATTCTAGAAAAAGAGTGTTTCAAAGCTTCTCTCTCAAAAGGAAAGTTCAACTCTGTGAGTTGAAAGCAAACATCACAAAGAAGTTTCTGAGAATGCTTCTGTTTAGCTTTTCTGTGAAGATTATCCCGTTTCCAACGAAATCTTCAAAGAGGCCCAAACCTCCACTTGCAGATGCCACAGAAAGAGTGTTTGGAAACTGCTGTTTGAAAAGGAACCTTCAACTCTGTGAGTTGAAGGCAGTCATCACAAACAAGTTTCTGACAATGCTTCCCTCTAGTTTTTACGTGACGATAATTCGTTTTCCACCACAGGCTTGAAATCTCTCCAAATGTCCACTTGCAGACCCTACGAAAAGCATGTTTCTCATCTGCTCTATGAAAAGCAACGTGAAACTCTGTGATTTGGACACAAACATCACAGAGAAGTTTATGAGAATGCTTCTGTTTAGTTTTTATGTGAAGATATTCCCGTTTCCAAAGACATCTTCAAAGAGGACCACATATCCACTTGCAGATTCCACAAAAAGAGAGATTCAAAACTGCTCTATCCATAGGAGGGTTCAACACTTTGAGTTGAATGCAATCATCACAGAGAAGTTTCTGAGAAGGCTTCTGTCTAGATTTTATTTGAAGATGTACCCGTTTCGAACGAAGGCCAAAGAGTGGTCCAAATATCCACTTGCAGATCCTACAAAAAGAGTGTTTCAAAGCTGAACTATCAAAGGAAGGTTCAACTCTGGGATTTGAATGCAAACATCACAAAGAATTTTGTGAGAATGCTTCCGTTTAGTTAGGTGCAGTTATCCCGTTTCCAACGAAATCCTCAGAGAGGTCCAAATATCCACTCGCAGATTCTACAGAAAGTGTGTTTCAAACCTTCTCCATCCAAAGGAATGTTCAGCTCTGTGTGTTAAACTCAATCATCACAAAGTATTTTCTGAGAATGCTTCTGTCTTGATTTTATGTGAAGTTCTTCCCTTTACTACCATAGGACTCAAAGCGCTCCAAATCTCCACTAGCCGATTCTACAAGAAGAGTGTTTCCAAACTGCTCTGTCAATAGGAATGCTCCACTCTGTGAGGTGAATGCAATCATCACAAAGTAGTTTCTGAGAAGGCTTCTATCTAGTATTTATGTGGAGATATTTCCTTTTCCACCACAAACCTCACAGCCCTCCCAATGTCCACTTGCAGATTCTAGAAAAAGAGTGTTTCATAGCTGCTCTTTCCGAAGGAAAGTTCAACTCTGGAAGTTGAATACAAACATCACCAAGGAGTTCCTGAGGATGCTTCTGTGTAATTTTATGTGAAGATGATTCCGTTTCCAACGAAACCTTCAAGGAGGTCTGCATGTCCCCTTGCAGATTCCAGAGAAAGAGAGTTTCCAAACTGCGCTCTCAAAAGGAGTGTTCAACTCTGTGAGTTGAATGCAGTCATCACAGAAAAGTTTCTGAGAATGCTTCTGTCTAGATGTTATGTGAAGATATACCCGTTTCGAACGAAGTCCACAGAGTGGTCCGAATATCCACTTGTAGATCCTGCAAAAAGAGTGTTTCCAACCTGAACTTTCAAAGGAAGGTTCAATTCTGGGATTTGAATGCAAACATCACAAGAAGATTCTGAGACTGCTTCTGTTTACTTAGCTGAAATTATCCCGTTTGCAACGAATTCCTCAGACAGGTCCAAATATCCACTTGCAGATTCTACAGAAAGTGTGTTTCGAAACTACTCCATCCCAAGGAAAGTACTGCTCTGTGAGTTCAACTCAATCATCCCAGAGAATTTTCTGAGAAAGCTTCTGTCTTGTTTTTATAGGAAGTTATTTCCTTTACTATGATAGGCCTCAAAGAAGTGCAGTTATCCACTTGCAGTTTCTACAAAAAGAGTGTTTCAAACCTGAACTATCAAAGAAAGGTTCAACACTGTGGGTTGAATGCAAACATCACGAAGAAGGTTCTGAGAATGCTTCTGTTTAGTTCTGTGCGGTTTATTCCGTTTCCAACGAAATCCTCAGAGAGGCCCAAGTATCCGCTTGCAGATCCTACAGATAGTGTGTTTCCAAACTGCTCCATCCAAAGGAATGTTCAGCCCTGTGAGTTAAACTCAGTCGTCACAAAGAGTTTTCTGAGAATGCTGCTGTCTAGTTTTTATATGAAGCTGTTTCCTTTACTACCATAGGCCTCAAAGCGGTCCATATCTCCACTTGCAGATTCTACACAACGAGAGTTTCCAAAGTGCTCTCTGAAAGGGAATGTTCACCTCTGTGACTTGAATGCAATCGTCACAAAGTAGTTTCTGAGAATGCATCTATCTAGTTCTTATGGGAAGATAATTCCTTTTCCACCACAGGCCTCAAAGCCCTCCAAATATCCACTTGCAGATTCTAGAAAAAGAGTGTTTCAAAGCTTCTCTCTCAAAAGGAAAGTTCAACTCTGTGAGTTGAAAGCAAACATCACAAAGAAGTTTCTGAGAATGCTTCTGTTTAGCTTTCCTGTGAAGATTATCCCGTTTCCAACGAAATCTTCAAAGAGGCCCAAACATCCACTTGCAGATGCCACAGAAAGAGTGTTTGGAAACTGCTGTTTGAAAAGGAACCTTCAACTCTGTGAGTTGAATGCAGTCATCACAAACAAGTTTCTGACAATGCTTCTCTCTGTTTTTACGTGACGATAATTCGTTTTCCACCACAGGCCTGAAATCTCTCCAAATGTCCACTTGCAGACCCTACGAAAAGCATGTTTCTCATCTGCTCTATGAAAAGCAACGTGAAACTCTGTGAGTTGAACACAAACATCACAGAGAAGTTTCTGAGAATGCTTCTGTTTAGTTTTTATGTGAAGATATTAACGTTTCCAAAGACATCTTCAAAGAGGACCACATATCCACTTGAAGATTCCACAAAAAGAGAGATTCAAAACTGCTCTATCCATAGGAGGGTTCAACGCTTTGAGTTGAATGCAATCGTCACAGAGAAGTTTCTGAGAAGGCTTCTGTCTAGATTTTATTTGAAGATGTTCCCGTTTCGAAAGAAGGCCAAAGAGTGGTCCAAATATCCACCTGCAGAACCTACAGAAAGAGTGTTTTAAAGCTGAACTATCAAAGGAAGGTTCAACTCTGGGATTTGAATGCAAACATCACAAAGAATTTTGTGAGAATGCTTCCGTTTAGTTAGGTGCAGTTATCCCGTTTCCAACGAAATCCTCAGAGAGGTCCAAATATCCACTCGCAGATTCTACAGAAAGTGTGTTTCAAACCTTCTCCATCCAAAGGAATGTTCAGCTCTGTGTGTTAAACTCAATCATCACAAAGTATTTTCTGAGAATGCTTCTGTCTAGATTTTATGTGAAGCTCTTCCCTTTACTACCATAGGCCTCAAAGCGCTCCAAATCTCCACTAGCCGATTCTACAACAAGAGTGTTTCCAAACTGCTCTGTCAATAGGGATGCTCCACTCCGTGAGGTGAATGCAATCATCACAAAGTAGTTTCTGAGAAGGCTTCTATCTAGTATTTATGTGGAGATATTTCCTTTTCCACCACAAACCTCACAGCCCTCCCAATGTCCACTTGCAGATTCTAGAAAAAGAGTGTTTCATAGCTGCTCTTTCCGAAGGAAAGTTCAACTCTGGAAGTTGAATACAAACATCACCAAGGAGTTCCTGAGGATGCCTCTGTGTAATTTTTATGTGAAGATGATTCCGTTTCCAACGAAACCTTCAAAGAAGTCTGCATGTCCCCTTGCAGATTCCAGAGAAAGAGAGTTTCAAAACTGCGCTCTCAAAAGGAGTGTTCAACTCTGTGAGTTGAATGCAGTCATCACAGAAAAGTTTCTGAGAATGCTTCTGTCTAGATGTTATGTGAAGATATACCCGTTTCGAACGAAGTCCACAGTGTGGTCCGAATATCCACTTGTAGATCCTGCAAAAAGAGTGTTTCCAACCTGAACTTTCAAAGGAAGGTTCAATTCTGGGATTTGAATGCAAACATCACAAGAAGATTCTGAGACTGCTTCTGTTTACTTAGCTGAAATTATCCCGTTTGCAACGAATTCCTCAGACAGGTCCAAATATCCACTTGCAGATTCTACAGAAAGTGTGTTTCGAAACTACTCCATCCCAAGGAAAGTACTGCTCTGTGAGTTCAACTCAATCATCCCAGAGAATTTTCTGAGAAAGCTTCTGTCTTGTTTTTATAGGAAGTTATTTCCTTTACTACGATAGGCCTCAAAGAAGTGCAGTTATCCACCTGCAGTTTCTACAAAAAGAGTGTTTCAAACCTGAACTATCAAAGAAAGGTTCAACACTGTGGGTTGAATGCAAACATCACGAAGAAGGTTCTGAGAATGCTTCTGTTTAGTTCTGTGCGGTTTATTCCGTTTCCAACGAAATCCTCAGGGAGGCCCAAGTATCCGCTTGCAGATCCTACAGATAGTGTGTTTCCAAACTGCTCCATCCAAAGGAATGTTCAGCCCTGTGAGTTAAACTCAGTCGTCACAAAGAGTTTTCTGAGAATGCTGCTGTCTAGTTTTTATATGAAGCTGTTTCCTTTACTACCATAGGCCTCAAAGCGGTCCATATCTCCACTTGCAGATTCTACACAACGAGAGTTTCCAAAGTGCTCTGTGAAAGGGAATGTTCACCTCTGTGACTTGAATGCAATCGTCACAAAGTAGTTTCTGAGAATGCATCTATCTAGTTCTTACGGGAAGATAATTCCTTTTCCACCTCAGGCCTCAAAGCCCTCCAAATATCCACTTGCAGATTCTAGAAAAAGAGTGTTTCAAAGCTTCTCTCTCAAAAGGAAAGTTCAACTCTGTGAGTTGAAAGCAAACATCACAAAGAAGTTTCTGAGAATGCTTCTGTTTAGCTTTTCTGTGAAGATTATCCCGTTTCCAACGAAATCTTCAAAGAGGCCCAAACATCCACTTGCAGATGCCACAGGAAGAGTGTTTGGAAACTGCTGTTTGAAAAGGAACCTTCAACTCTGTGAGTTGAATGCAGTCATCACAAACAAGTTTCTGACAATGCTTCTCTCTAGTTTTTACGTGACGATAATTCGTTTTCCACCACAGGCCTGAAAGCTCTCCAAATGTCCACTTGCAGACCCTACGAAAAGCATGTTTCTCATCTGCTCTATGAAAAGCAACGTGAAACTCTGTGAGTTGAACACAAACATCACAGAGAAGTTTCTGAGAATGCTTCTGTTTAGTTTTTATGTGAAGATATTCCCGTTTCCAAAGACATCTTCAAAGAGGACCACATATCCACTTGCAGATTCCACAAAAAGAGAGATTCAAAACTGCTCCATCCATAGGAGGGTTCAACTCTCTGAGTTGAATGCAATCGTCACAGAGAAGTTTCTGAGAAGGCTTCTGTCTAGATTTTATTTGAAGATGTACCCGTTTCGAACGAAGGCCAAAGAGTGGTCCAAATATCCACCTGCAGAACCTACAAAAAGAGTGTTTCAAAGCTGAACTATCAAAGGAAGGTTCAACTCTGGGATTTGAATGCAAACATCACAAAGAATTTTGTGAGAATGCTTCCGTTTAGTTAGGTGCAGTTATCCCGTTTCCAACGAAATCCTCAGAGAGGTCCAAATATCCACTCGCAGATTCTACAGAAAGTGTGTTTCAAACCTTCTCCATCCAAAGGAATGTTCAGCTCTGTGTGTTAAAATCAATCATCACAAAGTATTTTCTGAGAATGCTTCTGTCTAGATTTTATGTGAAGCTCTTCCCTTTACTACCATAGGCCTCAAAGCGCTCCAACTCTCCACTAGCCGATTCTACAAGAAGAGTGTTTCCAAACTGCTCTGTCAATAGGAATGCTCCACTCCGTGAGGTGAATGCAGTCATCACAAAGTAGTTTCTGAGAAGGCTTCTATCTAGTATTTATGTGGAGATATTTCCTTTTCCACCACAAACCTCACAGCCCTCCCAATGTCCACTTGCAGATTCTAGAAAAAGAGTGTTTCATAGCTGCTCTTTCCGAAGGAAAGTTCAACTCTGGAAGTTGAATGCAAACATCACCAAGGAGTTCCTGAGGATGCTTCCGTGTAATTTTTATGTGAAGATGATTCCGTTTCCAACGAAACCTTCAAAGAGGTCTGCATGTCCCCTTGCAGATTCCAGAGAAAGAGAGTTTCAAAACTGCGCTCTCAAAAGGAGTGTTCAACTCTGTGAGTTGAATGCAGTCATCACAGAAAAGTTTCTGAGAATGCTTCTGTCTAGATGTTATGTGAAGATATACCCGTTTCGAACGAAGTCCACAGAGTGGTCCGAATATACACTTGTAGATCCTGCAAAAAGAGTGTTTCCAACCTGAACTTTCAAAGGAAGGTTCCATTCTGGGATTTGAATGCAAACATCACAAGAAGATTCTGAGACTGCTTCTGTTTACTTAGCTGAAATTATCCCGTTTGCAACGAATTCCTCAGACAGGTCCAAATATCCACTTGCAGATTCTACAGAAAGTGTGTTTCGAAACTACTCCATCCCAAGGAAAGTACTGCTCTGTGAGTTCAACTCAATCATCCCAGAGAATTTTCTGAGAAAGCTTCTGTCTTGTTTTTATAGGAAGTTATTTCCTTTACTACGATAGGCCTCAAAGAAGTGCAGTTATCCACTTGCAGTTTCTACAAAAAGAGTGTTTCAAATCTGAACTATCAAAGAAAGGTTCAACACTGTGCGTTGAATGCAAACGTCACGAAGAAGGTTCTGAGAATGCTTCTGTTTAGTTCTGTGCGGTTTATCCCATTTCCAACGAAATCCTCAGGGAGGCCCAAGTATCCGCTTGCAGATCCTACAGATAGTGTGTTTCCAAACTGCTCCATCCAAAGGAATGTTCAGCCCTGTGAGTTAAACTCAGTCGTCACAAAGAGTTTTCTGAGAATGCTGCTGTCTAGTTTTTATATGAAGCCGTTTCCTTTACTACCATAGGCCTCAAAGCGGTCCATATCTCCACTTGCAGATTCTACACAACGAGAGTTTCCAAAGTGCTCTCTGAAAGGGAATGTTCACCTCTGTGACTTGAATGCAATCGTCACAAAGTAGTTTCTGAGAATGCATCTATCTAGTTCTTACGGGAAGATAATTCCTTTTCCACCTCAGGCCTCAAAGCCCTCCAAATATCCACTTGCAGATTCTAGAAAAAGAGTGTTTCAAAGCTTCTCTCTCAAAAGGAAAGTTCAACTCTGTGAGTTGAAAGCAAACATCACAAAGAAGTTTCTGAGAATGCTTCTGTTTAGCTTTTCTGTGAAGATTATCCCGTTTCCAACGAAATCTTCAAAGAGGCCCAAACATCCACTTGCAGATGCCACAGAAAGAGTGTTTGGAAACTGCTGTTTGAAAAGGAACCTTCAACTCTGTGAGTTGAATGCAGTCATCACAAACAAGTTTCTGACAATGCTTCTCTCTAGTTTTTACGTGACGATAATTCGTTTTCCACCACAGGCCGGAAATCTCTCCAAATGTCCACTTGCAGACCCTACGAAAAGCATGTTTCTCATCTGCTCTATGAAAAGCAACATGAAACTCTGGGAGTTGAACACAAACATCACAGAGAAGTTTCTGAGAATGCTTCTGTTTAGTTTTTATGTGAAGATATTCCCGTTTCCAAAGACATCTTCAAAGAGGACCACATATCCACTTGCAGATTCCACAAAAAGAGAGATTCAAAACTGCTCTATCCATAGGAGGGTTCAACGCTTTGAGTTGAATGCAATCGTCACAGAGAAGTTTCTGAGAAGGCTTCTGTCTAGATTTTATTTGAAGATGTACCCGTTTCGAACGAAGGCCAAAGAGTGGTCCAAATATCCACCTGCAGATCCTACAAAAAGAGTGTTTCAAAGCTGAACTATCAAAGGAAGGTTCAACTCTGGGATTTGAATGCAAACATCACAAAGAATTTTGTGAGAATGCTTCCGTTTAGTTAGGTGCAGTTATCCCGTTTCCAACGAAATCCTCAGAGAGGTCCAAATATCCACTCGCAGATTCTACAGAAAGTGTGTTTCAAACCTTCTCCATCCAAAGGAATGTTCAGGTCTGTGTGTTAAACTCAATCATCACAAAGTATTTTCTGAGAATGCTTCTGTCTAGATTTTATGTGAAGCTCTTCCCTTTACTACCATAGGCCTCAAAGCGCTCCAAATCTCCACTAGCAGATTCTACAACAAGAGTGTTTCCAAACTGCTCTGTCAATAGGAATGCTCCACTCCGTGAGGTGAATGCAATCATCACAACGTAGTTTCTGAGAAGGCTTCTATCTAGTATTTATGTGGAGATATTTCCTTTTCCACCACAAACCTCACAGCCCTCCCAATGTCCACTTGCAGATTCTAGAAAGAGAGTGTTTCATAGCTGCTCTTTCCGAAGGAAAGTTCAACTCTGGAAGTTGAATACAAACTTCACCAAGGAGTTCCTGAGGATGCCTCTGTGTAATTTTTATGTGAAGATGATTCCGTTTCCAACGAAACCTTCAAAGAGGTCTGCATGTCCCCTTGCAGATTCCAGAGAAAGAGAATTTCAAAACTGCGCTCTCAAAAGGAGAGTTCAACTCTGTGAGTTGAATGCAGTCATCACAGAAAAGTTTCTGAGAATGCTTCTGTCTAGATGTTATGTGAAGATTTACCCGTTTCGAACGAAGTCCACAGAGTGGTCCGAATATCCACTTGTAGATCCTGCAAAAAGAGTGTTTCCAACCTGAACTTTCAAAGGAAGGTTCAATTCTGGGATTTGAATGCAAACATCACAAGAAGATTCTGAGACTGCTTCTGTTTACTTAGCTGAAATTATCCCGTTTGCAACGAATTCCTCAGACAGGTCCAAATATCCACTTGCAGATTCTACAGAAAGTGTGTTTCGAAACTACTCCATTCCAAGGAAAGTACTGCTCTGTGTGTTCAACTCAATCATCCCAGAGAATTTTCTGAGAAAGCTTCTGTCTTGTTTTTATAGGAAGTTATTTCCTTTACTACGATAGGCCTCAAAGAAGTGCAGTTATCCACTTGCAGTTTCTACAAAAAGAGTGTTTCAAACCTGAACTATCAAAGAAAGGTTCAACACTGTGGGTTGAATGCAAACATCACGAAGAAGGTTCTGAGAATGCTTCTGTTTAGTTCTGTGCGGTTTATCCCGTTTCCAACGAAATCCTCAGAGAGGCCCAAGTATCCGCTTGCAGATCCTACAGATAGTGTATTTCCAAACTGCTCCATCCAAAGGAATGTTCAGCCCTGTGAGTTAAACTCAGTTGTCACTAAGAGTTTTCTGAGAATGCTGCTGTCTAGTTTTTATATGAAGCTGTTTCCTTTACTACCATAGGCCTCAAAGCGGTCCATATCTCCACTTGCAGATTCTACACAACGAGAGTTTCCAAAGTGCTCTGTGAAAGGGAATGTTCACCTCTGTGACTTGAATGCAATCGTCACAAAGTAGTTTCTGAGAATGCATCTATCTAGTTCTTACGGGAAGATAATTCCTTTTCCACCTCAGGCCTCAAAGCCCTCCAAATATCCACTTGCATATTCTAGAAAAAGAGTGTTTCAAAGCTTCTCTCTCAAAAGGAAAGTTCAACTCTGTGAGTTGAAAGCAAACATCACAAAGAAGTTTCTGAGAATGCTTCTGTTTAGCTTTTCTGTGAAGATTATCCCGTTTCCAACGAAATCTTCAAAGAGGCCCAAACATCCACTTGCAGATGCCACAGAAAGAGTGTTTGGAAACTGCTGTTTGAAAAGGAACCTTCAACTCTGTGAGTTGAATGCAGTCATCACAAACAAGTTTCTGACAATGCTTCTCTCTAGTTTTTACGTGACGATAATTCGTTTTCCACCACAGGCCTGAAAGCTCTCCAAATGTCCACTTGCAGACCCTACGAAAAGCATGTTTCTCATCTGCTCTATGAAAAGCAACGTGAAACTCTGTGAGTTGAACACAAACATCACAGAGAAGTTTCTGAGAATGCTTCTGTTTAGTTTTTATGTGAAGATATTCCCGTTTCCAAAGACATCTTCAAAGAGGACCACATATCCACTTGCAGATTCCACAAAAAGAGAGATTCAAAACTGCTCTATCCATAGGAGGGTTCAACTCTTTGAGTTGAATGCAATCGTCACAGAGAAGTTTCTGAGAAGGCTTCTGTCTAGATTTTATTTGAAGATGTACCCGTTTCGAACGAAGGCCAAAGAGTGGTCCAAATATCCACCTGCAGATCCTACAAAAAGAGTGTTTCAAAGCTGAACTATCAAAGGAAGGTTCAACTCTGGGATTTGAATGCAAACATCACAAAGAATTTTGTGAGAATGCTTCCGTTTAGTTAGGTGCAGTTATCCCGTTTCCAACGAAATCCTCAGAGAGGTCCAAATATCCACTCGCAGATTCTACAGAAAGTGTGTTTCAAACCTTCTCCATCCAAAGGAATGTTCAGCTCTGTGTGTTAAACTCAATCATCACAAAGTATTTTCTGAGAATGCTTCTGTCTAGATTTTATGTGAAGCTCTTCCCTTTACTACCATAGGCCTCAAAGCGCTCCAAATCTCCACTAGCCGATTCTACAACAAGAGTGTTTCCAAACTGCTCTGTCAATAGGAATGCTCCACTCCGTGAGGTGAATGCAATCATCACAAAGTAGTTTCTGAGAAGGCTTCTATCTAGTATTTATGTGGAGATATTTCCTTTTACACCACAAACCTCACAGCTCTCCCAATGTCCACTTGCAGATTCTAGAAAAAGAGTGTTTCATAGCTGCTCTTTCCGAAGGAAAGTTCAACTCTGGAAGTTGAATACAAACATCACCAAGGAGTTCCTGAGAATGCTTCTGTGTAATTTTTATGTGAAGATGATTCCGTTTCCAACGAAACCTTCAAAGAGGTCTGCATGTCCCCTTGCAGATTCCAGAGAAAGAGAGTTTCAAAACTGCGCTCTCAAAAGGAGTGTTCAACTCTGTGAGTTGAATGCAGTCATCACAGAAAAGTTTCTGAGAATGCTTCTGTCTAGATGTTATGTGAAGATATACCCGTTTCGAATGAAGTCCACAGAGTGGTCCGAATATCCACTTGTAGATCCTGCAAAAAGAGTGTTTCCAACCTGAACTTTCAAAGGAAGGTTCAATTCTGGGATTTGAATGCAAACATCACAAGAAGATTCTGAGACTGCTTCTGTTTACTTAGCTGAAATTATCCCGTTTGCAACGAATTCCTCAGACAGGTCCAAATATCCACTTGCAGATTCTACAGAAAGTGTGTTTCGAAACTACTCCATCCCAAGGAAAGTACTGCTCTGTGAGTTCAACTCAATCATCCCAGAGAATTTTCTGAGAAAGCTTCTGTCTTGTTTTTATAGGAAGTTATTTCCTTTACTACGATAGGCCTCAAAGAAGTGCAGTTATCCACTTGCAGTTTCTACAAAAAGAGTGTTTCAAACCTGAACTATCAAAGAAAGGTTCAACACTGTGGGTTGAATGCAAACGTCACGAAGAAGGTTCTGAGAATGCTTCTGTTTAGTTCTGTGCGGTTTATCCCGTTTCCAACGAAATCCTCAGGGAGGCCCAAGTATCCGCTTGCAGATCCTACAGATAGTGTGTTTCCAAACTGCTCCATCCAAAGGAATGTTCAGCCCTGTGAGTTAAACTCAGTCGTCACAAAGAGTTTTCTGAGAATGCTGCTGTCTAGTTTTTATATGAAGCTGTTTCCTTTACTACCGTAGGCCTCAAAGCGGTGCATATCTCCACTTGCAGATTCTACACAACGAGAGTTTCCAAAGTGCTCTCTGAAAGGGAATGTTCACCTCTGTGACTTGAATGCATTCGTCACAAAGTAGTTTCTGAGAATGCATCTATCTAGTTCTTACGGGAAGATAATTCCTTTTCCACCTCAGGCCTCAAAGCCCTCCAAATATCCACTTGCAGATTCTAGAAAAAGAGTGTTTCAAAGCTTCTCTCTCAAAAGGAAAGTTCAACTCTGTGAGTTGAAAGCAAACATCACAAAGAAGTTTCTGAGAATGCTTCTGTTTAGCTTTTCTGTGAAGATTATCCCGTTTCCAACGAAATCTTCAAAGAGACCCAAACATCCACTTGCAGATGCCACAGAAAGAGTGTTTGGAAACTGCTGTTTGAAAAGGAACCTTCAACTCTGTGAGTTGAATGCAGTCATCACAAACAAGTTTCTGACAATGCTTCTCTCTAGTTTTTACGTGACGATAATTCGTTTTCCACCACAGGCCTGAAAGCTCTCCAAATGTCCACTTGCAGACCCTACGAAAAGCATGTTTCTCATCTGCTCTATGAAAAGCAACGTGAAACTCTGTGAGTTGAACACAAACATCACAGAGAAGTTTCTGAGAATGCTTCTGTTTAGTTTTTATGTGAAGATATTCCCGTTTCCAAAGACATCTTCAAAGAGGACCACATATCCACTTGCAGATTCCACAAAAAGAGAGATTCAAAACTGCTCTATCCATAGGAGGGTTCAACGCTTTGAGTTGAATGCAATCGTCACAGAGAAGTTTCTGAGAAGGCTTCTGTCTAGATTTTATTTGAAGATGTACCCGTTTCGAACGAAGGCCAAAGAGTGGTCCAAATATCCACCTGCAGATCCTACAAAAAGAGTGTTTCAAAGCTGAACTATCAAAGGAAGGTTCAACTCTGGGATTTGAATGCAAACATCACAAAGAATTTTGTGAGAATGCTTCCGTTTAGTTAGGTGCAGTTATCCCGTTTCCAACGAAATCCTCAGAGAGGTCCAAATATCCACTCGCAGATTCTATAGAAAGTGTGTTTCAAACCTTCTCCATCCAAAGGAATGTTCAGCTCTGTGTGTTAAACTCAATCATCACAAAGTATTTTCTGAGAATGCTTCTGTCAAGATTTTATGTGAAGCTCTTCCCTTTACTACCATAGGCCTCAAAGCGCTCCAAATCTCCACTAGCAGATTCTACAACAAGAGTGTTTCCAAACTGCTCTGTCAATAGGAATGCTCCACTCCGTGAGGTGAATGCAATCATCACAGAGTAGTTTCTGAGAAGGCTTCTATCTAGTATTTACGTGGAGATATTTCCTTTTCCACCACAAACCTCACAGCCCTCCCAATGTCCACTTGCAGATTCTAGAAAAAGAGTGTTTCATAGCTGCTCTTTCCGAAGGAAAGTTCAACTCTGGAAGTTGAATACAAACATCACCAAGGAGTTCCTAAGAATGCTTCTGTGTAATTTTTATGTGAAGATGATTCCGTTTCCAACGAAACCTTCAAAGAGGTGTGCATGTCCCCTTGCAGATTCCAGAGAAAGAGAGTTTCAAAACTGCGCTCTCAAAAGGAGTGTTCAACTCTGTGAGTTGAATGCAGTCATCACAGAAAAGTTTCTGAGAATGCTTCTGTGTAGATGTTATGTGAAGATATACCCGTTTCGATCGAAGTCCACAGAGTGGTCCGAATATCCACTTGTGGATCCTGCAAAAAGTGTGTTTCAAACCTGAACTTTCAAAGGAAGGTTCAATTCTGGGATTTGAATGCAAACATCACAAGAAGATTCTGAGACTGCTTCTGTTTACTTAGCTGAAATTATCCCGTTTGCAACGAATTCCTCAGACAGGTCCAAATATCCACTTGCAGATTCTACAGAAAGTGTGTTTCGAAACTACTCCATCCCAAGGAAAGTACTGCTCTGTGAGTTCAACTCAATCATCCCAGAGAATTTTCTGAGAAAGCTTCTGTCTTGTTTTTATAGGAAGTTATTTCCTTTACTACGATAGGCCTCAAAGAAGTGCAGTTATCCACTTGCAGTTTCTACGAAAAGAGTGTTTCAAACCTGAACTATCAAAGAAAGTTTCAACACTGTGGGTTGAATGCAAACGTCACGAAGAAGGTTCTGAGAATGCTTCTGTTTAGTTCTGTGCGGTTTATCCCGTTTCCAACGAAATCCTCAGAGAGGCCCAAGTATCCGCTTGCAGATCCTACAGATAGTGTGTTTCCAAACTGCTCCATCCAAAGGAATGTTCAACCCTGTGAGTTACACTCAGTCGTCAGAAAGAGTTTTCTGAGAATGCTGCTGTCTAGTTTTTATATGAAGCTGTTTCCTTTACTACCATAGGCCTCAAAGCGGTCCATATCTCCACTTGCAGATTCTACACAACGAGAGTTTCCAAAGTGCTCTGTGAAAGGGAATGTTCACCTCTGTGACTTGAATGCAATCGTCACAAAGTAGTTTCTGAGAATGCATCTATCTAGTTCTTACGGGAAGATAATTCGTTTTCCACCACAGGCCTCAAAGCCCTCCAAATATCCACTTGCAGATTCTAGAAAAAGAGTGTTTCAAAGCTTCTCTCTCAAAAGGAAAGTTCAACTCTGTGAGTTGAAAGCAAACATCACAAAGAAGTTTCTGAGAATGCTTCTGTTTAGCTTTTCTGTGAAGATTATCCCGTTTCCAACGAAATCTTCAAAGAGGCCCAAACATCCACTTGCAGATGCCACAGAAAGAGTGTTTGGAAACTGCTGTTTGAAAAGGAACCTTCAACTCTGTGAGTTGAATGCAGGTATCACAAACAAGTTTCTGACAATGCTTCCCTCTAGTTTTTACGTGACGATAATTCGTTTTCCACCACAGGCTTGAAATCTCTCCAAATGTCCACTTGCAGACCCTACGAAAAGCATGTTTCTCATCTGCTCTATGAAAAGCAACGTGAAACTCTGTGATTTGGACACAAACATCACAGAGAAGTTTCTGAGAATGCTTCTGTTTAGTTTTTATGTGAAGATATTCCCGTTTCCAAAGACATCTTCAAAGAGGACCACATATCCACTTGCAGATTCCACAAAAAGAGAGATTCAAAACTGCCCTATCCATAGGAGGGTTCAACGCCTTGAGTTGAATGCAATCATCACAGAGAAGTTTCTGAGAAGGCTTCTGTCTAGATTTTATATGAAGATGTACCCGTTTCGAAGGAAGGCCAAAGAGTGGTCCAAATATCCACTTGCAGATCCTACAAAAAGAGTGTTTCAAAGCTGAACTATCAAAGGAAGGTTCAACTCTGGGATTTGAATGCAAACATCACGAAGAATTTTGTGAGAATGCTTCCGTTTAGTTAGGTGCAGTTATCCCGTTTCCAACGAAATCCTCAGAGAGGTCCAAATATCCACTCGCAGATTCTAGAGAAAGTGTGTTTCAAACCTGCTCCATCTAAAGTAATGTTCAGCTCTGTGTGTTAAACTCAATCATCACAAAGTATTTTCTGAGAATGCTTCTGTCTTGATTTTATGTGAAGCTCTTCCCTTTACTACCATAGGCCTCAAAGCGCTCCAAATCTCCACTAGCAGATTCTACAACAAGAGTGTTTCCAAACTGCTCTGTCAATAGGAATGCTCCACTCCGTGAGGTGAATGCAATCATCTGAAAGTAGTTTCTGAGAAGGCTTCTATCTAGTATTTACGTGGAGATATTTCCTTTTCCACCACAAACCTCACAGCCCTCCCAATGTCCACTTGCAGATTCTAGAAAAAGAGTGTTTCATAGCTGCTCTTTCCGAAGGAAAGTTCAACTCTGGAAGTTGAATACAAACATCACCAAGGAGTTCCTGAGAATGCTTCTGTGTAATTTTTATGTGAAGATGATTCCGTTTCCAACGAAACCTTCAAAGAGGTCTGCATGTCCCCTTGCAGATTCCAGAGAAAGAGAGTTTCAAAACTGCGCTCTCAAAAGGAGTGTTCAACTCTGTGAGTTGAATGCAGTCATCACAGAAAAGTTTCTGAGAATGCTTCTGTCTAGATGTTTTGTGAAGATATACCCGTTTCGAACGAAGTCCACAGAGTGGTCCGAATATCCACTTGTAGATCCTGCAAAAAGAGTGTTTCCAACCTGAACTTTCAAAGGAAGGTTCAATTCTGGGATTTGAATGCAAACATCACAAGAAGATTCTGAGACTGCTTCTGTTTACTTAGCTGAAATTATCCCGTTTGCAACGAATTCCTCAGACAGGTCCAAATATCCACTTGCAGATTCTACAGAAAGTGTGTTTCGAAACTACTCCATCCCAAGGAAAGTACTGCTCTGTGAGTTCAACTCAATCATCCCAGAGAATTTTCTGAGAAAGCTTCTGTCTTGTTTTTATAGGAAGTTATTTCCTTTACTACGATAGGCCTCAAAGAAGTGCAGTTATCCACTTGCAGTTTCTACAAAAAGAGTGTTTCAAACCTGAACTATCAAAGAAAGGTTCAACACTGTGGGTTGAATGCAAACATCACGAAGAAGGTTCTGAGAATGCTTCTGTTTAGTTCTGTGCGGTTTATCCCGTTTCCCACGAAATCCTCAGGGAGGCCCAAGTATCCGCTTGCAGATCCTACAGATAGTGTGTTTCCAAACTGCTCCATCCAAAGGAATGTTCAGCCCTGTGAGTTAAACTCAGTCGTCACAAAGAGTTTTCTGAGAATGCTGCTGTTTAGTTTTTATATGAAGCTCTTTCCTTTACTACCATAGGCCTCAAAGCGGTCCATATCTCCACTTGCAGATTCTACACAACGAGAGTTTCCAAAGTGCTCTCTGAAAGGGAATGTTCACCTCTGTGACTTGAATGCAATCGTCACAAAGTAGTTTCTGAGAATGCATCTATCTGGTTCTTACGGGAAGATAATTCCTTTTCCACCTCAGGCCTCAAAGCCCTCCAAATATCCACTTGCAGATTCTAGAAAAAGGGTGTTTCAAAGCTTCTCTCTCAAAAGGAAAGTTCAACTCTGTGAGTTGAAAGCAAACATCACAAAGAAGTTTCTGAGAATGCTTCTGTTTAGCTTTTCTGTGAAGATTATCCCGTTTCCAACGAAATCTTCAAAGAGGCCCAAACATCCACTTGCAGATGCCACAGAAAGAGTGTTTGGAAACTGCTGTTTGAAAAGGAACCTTCAACTCTGTGAGTTGAATGCAGTCATCACAAACAAGTTTCTGACAATGCTTCTCTCTAGTTTTTACGTGACGATAATTCGTTTTCCACCACAGGCCTGAAATCTCTCCAAATGTCCACTTGCAGACCCTACGAAAAGCATGTTTCTCATCTGCTCTATGAAAAGCAACGTGAAACTCTGGGAGTTGAACACAAACATCACAGAGAAGTTTCTGAGAATGCTTCTGTTTAGTTTTTATGTGAAGATATTCCCGTTTCCAAAGACATCTTCAAAGAGGACCACATATCCACTTGCAGATTCCACAAAAAGAGAGATTCAAAACTGCTCTATCCATAGGAGGGTTCAACGCTTTGAGTTGAATGCAATCGTCACAGAGAAGTTTCTGAGAAGGCTTCTGTCTAGATTTTATTTGAAGATGTACCCTTTTCGAACGAAGGCCAAAGAGTGGTCCAAATATCCACCTGCAGATCCTACAAAAAGAGTGTTTCAAAGCTGAACTATCAAAGGAAGGTTCAACTCTGGGATTTGAATGCAAACATCACAAAGAATTTTGTGAGAATGCTTCCGTTTAGTTAGGTGCAGTTATCCCGTTTCCAACGAAATCCTCAGAGAGGTCCAAATATCCACTCGCAGATTCTACAGAAAGTGTGTTTCAAACCTTCTCCATCCAAAGGAATGTTCAGCTCTGTGTGCTAAACTCAATCATCACAAAGTATTTTCTGAGAATGCTTCTGTCTAGATTTTATGTGAAGCTCTTCCCTTTACTACCATAGGCCTCAAAGCGCTCCAAATCTCCACTAGCAGATTCTACAACAAGAGTGTTTCCAAACTGCTCTGTCAATAGGAATGCTCAACTCCGTGAGGTGAATGCAATCATCACAAAGTTGTTTCTGAGAAGGCTTCTATCTAGTATTTATGTGGAGATATTTCCTTTTCCACCACAAACCTCACAGCCCTCCCAATGTCCACTTGCAGATTCTAGAAAGAGAGTGTTTCATAGCTGCTCTTTCCGAAGGAAAGTTCAACTCTGGAAGTTGAATACAAACATCACCAAGGAGTTCCTGAGGATGCCTCTGTGTAATTTTTATGTGAAGATGATTCCGTTTCCAACGAAACCTTCAAAGAGGTCTGCATGTCCCCTTGCAGATTCCAGAGAAAGAGAGTTTCAAAACTGCGCTCTCAAAAGGAGTGTTCAACTCTGTGAGTTGAATGCAGTCATCACAGAAAAGTTTCTGAGAATGCTTCTGTCTAGATGTTATGTGAAGATATACCCGTTTCGAACGAAGTCCACAGAGTGGTCCGAATATCCACTTGTAGATCCTGCAAAAAGAGTGTTTCCAACCTGAACTTTCAAAGGAAGGTTCAATTCTGGGATTTGAATGCAAACATCACAAGAAGATTCTGAGACTGCTTCTGTTAACTTAGCTGAAATTATCCCGTTTGCAACGAATTCCTCAGACAGGTCCAAATATCCACTTGCAGATTCTACAGAAAGTGTGTTTCGAAACTACTCCATCCCAAGGAAAGTACTGCTCTGTGAGTTCAACTCAATCATCCCAGAGAATTTTCTGAGAAAGCTTCTGTCTTGTTTTTATAGGAAGTTATTTCCTTTACTACGATAGGCCTCAAAGAAGTGCAGTTATCCACTTGCAGTTTCTACAAAAAGAGTGTTTCAAACCTGAACTACCAAAGAAAGGTTCAACACTGTGGGTTGAATGCAAACGTCACGAAGAAGGTTCTGAGAATGCTTCTGTTTAGTTCTGTGCGGTTTATCCCGTTTCCAACGAAATCCTCAGAGAGGCCCAAGTATCCGCTTGCAGATCCTACAGATAGTGTGTTTCCAAACTGCTCCATCCAAAGGAATGTTCAACCCTGTGAGTTACACTCAGTCGTCAGAAAGAGTTTTCTGAGAATGCTGCTGTCTAGTTTTTATATGAAGCTGTTTCCTTTACTACCATAGGCCTCAAAGCGGTCCATATCTCCACTTGCAGATTCTACACAACGAGAGTTTCCAAAGTGCTCTGTGAAAGGGAATGTTCACCTCTGTGACTTGAATGCAATCGTCACAAAGTAGTTTCTGAGAATGCATCTATCTAGTTCTTACGGGAAGATAATTCCTTTTCCACCTCAGGCCTCAAAGCCCTCCAAATATCCACTTGCAGATTCTAGAAAAAGAGTGTTTCAAAGCTTCTCTCTCAAAAGGAAAGTTCAACTCTGTGAGTTGAAAGCAAACATCACAAAGAAGTTTCTGAGAATGCTTCTGTTTAGCTTTTCTGTGAAGATTATCCCGTTTCCAACGAAATCTTCAAAGAGGCCCAAACATCCACTTGCAGATGCCACAGAAAGAGTGTTTGGAAACTGCTGTTTGGAAAGGAACCTTCAACTCTGTGAGTTGAATGCAGTCATCACAAACAAGTTTCTGACAATGCTTCTCTCTAGTTTTTACGTGACGATAATTCGTTTTCCACCACAGGCCGGAAATCTCTCCAAATGTCCACTTGCAGACCCTACGAAAAGCATGTTTCTCATCTGCTCTATGGAAAGCAACGTGAAACTCTGTGAGTTGAACACAAACATCACAGAGAAGTTTCTGAGAATGCTTCTGTTTAGTTTTTATGTGAAGATATTCCCGTTTCCAAAGACATCTTCAAAGAGGACCACATATCCACTTGCAGATTCCACAAAAAGAGAGATTCAAAACTGCTCTATCCATAGGAGGGTTCAACGCTTTGAGTTGAATGCAATCGTCACAGAGAAGTTTCTGAGAAGGCTTCTGTCTAGATTTTATTTGAAGATGTACCCGTTTCGAACGAAGGCCAAAGAGGGGTCCAAATATCCACCTGCAGAACCTCCAAAAAGAGTGTTTCAAAGCTGAACTATCAAAGGAAGGTTCAACTCTGGGATTTGAATGCAAACATCACAAAGAATTTTGTGAGAATGCTTCCGTTTAGTTAGGTGCAGTTATCCCGTTTCCAACGAAATCCTCAGAGAGGTCCAAATATCCACTCGCAGATTCTACAGAAAGTGTGTTTCAAACCTTCTCCATCCAAAGGAATGTTCAGCTCTGTGTGTTAAACTCAATCATCACAAAGTATTTTCTGAGAATGCTTCTGTCTAGATTTTATGTGAAGCTCTTCCCTTTACTACCATAGGCCTCAAAGCGCTCCAAATCTCCACTAGCCGATTCTACAAGAAGAGTGTTTCCAAACTGCTCTGTCAATAGGAATGCTCCACTCCGTGAGGTGAATGCGATCATCACAAAGTAGTTTCTGAGAAGGCTTCTAACTAGTATTTATGTGGAGATATTTCCTTTTCCACCACAAACCTCACAGCCCTCCCAATGTCCACTTGCAGATTCTAGAAAAAGAGTGTTTCATAGCTGCTCTTTCCGAAGGAAAGTTCAACTCTGGAAGTTGAATACAAACATCACCAAGGAGTTCCTGAGGATGCTTCTGTGTAATTTTTATGTGAAGATGATTCCGTTTCCAACGAAACCTTCAAAGAGGTCTGCATGTCCCCTTGCAGATTCCAGAGAAAGAGAGTTTCAAAACTGCGCTCTCAAAAGGAGTGTTCAACTCTGTGAGTTGAATGCAGTCATCACAGAAAAGTTTCTGAGAATGCTTCTGTCTAGATGTTATGTGAAGATATACCCGTTTCGAACGAAGTCCACAGAGTGGTCCGAATATCCACTTGTAGATCCTGCAAAAAGAGTGTTTCCAACCTGAACTTTCAAAGGAAGGTTCAATTCTGGGATTTCAATGCAACCATCACAAGAAGATTCTGAGACTGCTTCTGTTTACTTAGCTGAAATTATCCCGTTTGCAACGAATTCCTCAGACAGGTCCAAATATCCACTTGCAGATTCTACAGAAAGTGTGTTTTGAAACTACTCCATCCCAAGGAAAGTACTGCTCTGTGAGTTCAACTCAATCATCCCAGAGAATTTTCTGAGAAAGCTTCTGTCTTGTTTTTATAGGAAGTTATTTCCTTTACTACGATAGGCCTCAAAGAAGTGCAGTTATCCACTTGCAGTTTCTACGAAAAGAGTGTTTCAAACCTGAACTATCAAAGAAAGGTTCAACACTGTGTGTTGAATGCAAACATCACGAAGAAGGTTCTGAGAATGCTTCTGTTTAGTTCTGTGCGGTTTATCCGGTTTCCAACGAAATCCTCAGGGAGGCCCAAGTATCTGCTTGCAGATCCTACAGATAGTGTGTTTCCAAACTGCTCCATCCAAAGGAATGTTCAGCCCTGTGAGTTAAACTCAGTCGTCACAAAGGGTTTTCTGAGAATGCTGCTGTCTAGTTTTTATATGAAGCTGTTTCCTTTACTACCATAGGCCTCAAAGCGGTCCATATCTCCACTTGCAGATTCTACACAACGAGAGTTTCCAAAGTGCTCTCTGAAAGGGAATGTTCACCTCTGTGACTTGAATGCAATCGTCACAAAGTAGTTTCTGAGAATGCATCTATCTAGTTCTTACGGGAAGATAATTCCTTTTCCACCACAGGCCTCAAAGCCCTCCAAATATCCACTTGCAGATTCTAGAAAAAGAGTGTTTCAAAGCTTCTCTCTCAAAAGGAAAGTTCAACTCTGTGAGTTGAAAGCAAACGTCACAAAGAAGTTTCTGAGAATGCTTCTGTTTAGCTTTTCTGTGAAGATTATCCCGTTTCCAACGAAATCTTCAAAGAGGCCCAAACATCCACTTGCAGATGCCACAGAAAGAGTGTTTGGAAACTGCTGTTTGAAAAGGAACCTTCAACTCTGTGAGTGGAATGCAGTCATCACAAACAAGTTTCTGACAATGCTTCTCTCTAGTTTTTACGTGACGATAATTCGTTTTCCACCACAGGCCTGAAATCTCTCCAAATGTCCACTTGCAGACCCTACGAAAAGCATGTTTCTCATCTGCTCTATGAAAAGCAACGTGAAACTCTGTGAGTTGAACACAAACATCACAGAGAAGTTTCTGAGAATGCTTCTGTTTAGTTTTTATGTGAAGATATTCCCGTTTCCAAAGACATCTTCAAAGAGGACCACATATCCACTTGCAGATTCCACAAAAAGAGAGATTCAAAACTGCTCTATCCATAGGAGGGTTCAACGCTTTGAGTTGAATGCAATCGTCACAGAGAAGTTTCTGAGAAGGCTTCTGTCTAGATTTTATTTGAAGATGTACCCGTTTCGAACGAAGGCCAAAGAGTGGTCCAAATATCCACATGCAGATCCTACAAAAAGAGTGTTTCAAAGCTGAACTATCAAAGGAAGGTTCAACTCTGGGATTTGAATGCAAACATCACAAAGAATTTTGTGAGAATGCTTCCGTTTAGTTAGGTGCAGTTATCCCGTTTCCAACGAAATCCTCAGAGAGGTCCAAATATCCACTCGCAGATTCTACAGAAAGTGTGCTTCAAACCTTCTCCATCCAAAGGAATGGTCAGCTCTGTGTGTTAAACTCAATCATCACAAAGTATTTTCTGAGAATGCTTCTGTCTAGATTTTATGTGAAGCTCTTCCCTTTACTAACATAGGCCTCAAAGCGCTCCAACTCTCCACTAGCCGATCCTACAAGAAGAGTGTTTCCAAACTGCTCTGTCAATAGGAATGCTCCACTCCGTGAGGTGAATGCAGTCATCACAAAGTAGTTTCTGAGAAGGCTTCTATCTAGTATTTATGTGGAGATATTTCCTTTTCCACCACAAACCTCACAGCCCTCCCAATGTCCACTTGCAGATTCTAGAAAAAGCGTGTTTCATAGCTGCTCTTTCCGAAGGAAAGTTCAACTCTGGAAGTTGAATACAAACATCACCAAGGAGTTCCTGAGGATGCTTCTGTGTAATTTTTATGTGAAGATGATTCCGTTTCCAACGAAACCTTCAAAGAGGTCTGCATGTCCCCTTGCAGATTCCAGAGAAAGAGAGTTTCAAAACTGCGCTCTCAAAAGGAGTGTTCAACTCTGTGAGTTGAATGCAGTCATCACAGAAAAGTTTCTGAGAATGCTTCTGTCTAGATGTTATGTGAAGATATACCCGTTTCGAACGAAGTCCACAGAGTGGTCCGAATATCCACTTGTAGATCCTGCAAAAAGAGTGTTTCCAACCTGAACTTTCAAAGGAAGGTTCAATTCTGGGATTTGAATGCAACCATCACAAGAAGATTCTGAGACTGCTTCTGTTTACTTAGCTGAAATTATCCCGTTTGCAACGAATTCCTCAGACAGGTCCAAATATCCACTTGCAGATTCTACAGAAAGTGTGTTTCGAAACTACTCCATCCCAAGGAAAGTACTGCTCTGTGAGTTCAACTCAATCATCCCAGAGAATTTTCTGAGAAAGCTTCTGTCTTGTTTTTATAGGAAGTTATTTCCTTTACTACGATAGGCCTCAAAGAAGTGCAGTTATACACTTGCAGTTTCTACAAAAAGAGTGTTTCAAACCTGAACTATCAAAGAAAGGTTCAACACTGTGGGTTGAATGCAAACATCACGAAGAAAGTTCTGAGAATGCTTCTGTTTAGTTCTGTGCGGTTTATCCCGTTTCCAACGAAATCCTCAGGGAGGCCCAAGTATCCGCTTGCAGATCCTACAGATAGTGTGTTTCCATACTGCTCCATCCAAAGGAATGTTCAGCCCTGTGAGTTAAACTCAGTCGTCACAAAGAGTTTTCTGAGAATGCTGCTGTCTAGTTTTTATATGAAGCTGTTTCCTTTACTACCATAGGCCTCAAAGCGGTCCATATCTCCACTTGCAGATTCTACACAACGAGAGTTTCCAAAGTGCTCTCTGAAAGGGAATGTTCACCTCTGTGACTTGAATGCAATCGTCACAAAGTAGTTTCTGAGAATGCATCTATCTAGTTCTTATGGGAAGATAATTCCTTTTCCACCACAGGCCTCAAAGCCCTCCAAATATCCACTTGCAGATTCTAGAAAAAGAGTGTTTCAAAGCTTCTCTCTCAAAAGGAAAGTTCAACTCTGTGAGTTGAAAGCAAACATCACAAAGAAGTTTCTGAGAATGCTTCTGTTTAGCTTTTCTGTGAAGATTATCCCGTTTCCAACGAAATCTTCAAAGAGGCCCAAACATCCACTTGCAGATGCCACAGAAAGAGTGTTTGGAAACTGCTGTTTGAAAAGGAACCTTCAACTCTGTGAGTTGAATGCAGTCATCACAAACAAGTTTCTGACAATGCTTCTCTCTAGTTTTTACGTGACGATAATTCGTTTTCCACCACAGGCCTGAAATCTCTCCAAATGTCCACTTGCAGACCCTACGAAAAGCATGTTTCTCATCTGCTCTATGAAAAGCAACGTGAAACTCTGTGAGTTGAACACAAACATCACAGAGAAGTTTCTGAGAATGCTTCTGTTTAGTTTTTATGTGAAGATATTCCCGTTTCCAAAGACATCTTCAAAGAGGACCACATATCCACTTGCAGATTCCACAAAAAGAGAGATTCAAAACTGCTCTATCCATAGGAGGGTTCAACGCTGTGAGTTGAATGCAATCGTCACAGAGAAGTTTCTGAGAAGGCTTCTGTCTAGATTTTATTTGAATATGTACCCGTTTCGAACGAAGGCCAAAGAGTGGTCCAAATATCCACTTGCAGATCCTACAAAAAGAGTGTTTCAAAGCTGAACTATCAAAGGAAGGGTCAACTCTGGGATTTGAATGCAAACATCACAAAGAATTTTGTGAGAATGCTTCCGTTTAGTTAGGTGCAGTTATCCCGTTTCCAACGAAATCCTCAGAGAGTTCCAAATATCCACTCGCAGATTCTACAGAAAGTGTGTTTCAAACCTTCTCCATCCAAAGGAATGTGCAGCTCTGTGTGTTAAACTCAATCATCACAAAGTATTTTCTGAGAATGCTTGTGTCTAGATTTTATGTGAAGCTCTTCCCTTTACTACCATAGGCCTCAAAGCGCTCCAAATCTCCACTAGCAGATTCTACAACAAGAGTGTTTCCAAACTGCTCTGTCAATAGGAATGCTCCACTCCGTGAGGTGAATGCAATCATCACAAAGTAGTTTCTGAGAAGGCTTCTATCTAGTATTTATGTGGAGATATTTCCTTTTCCACCACAAACCTCACAGCCCTCCCAATGTCCACTTGCAGATTCTAGAAAAAGAGTGTTTCATAGCTGCTCTTTCCGAAGGAAAGTTCAACTCTGGAAGTTGAATACAAACATCACCAAGGAGTTCCTGAGGATGCTTCTGTGTAATTTTTATGTGAAGATGATTCCGTTTCCAACGAAACCTTCAAAGAGGACTGCATGTCTCCTTGCAGATTCCAGAGAAAGAGAGTTTCCAAACTGCGCTCTCAAAAGGAGTGTTCAACTCTGTGAGTTGAATGCAGTCATCACAGAAAAGTTTGTGAGAATGCTTCTGTCTAGATGTTATGTGAAGATATACCCGTTTCGAACGAAGTCCACAGAGTGGTCCGAATATCCACTTGTAGATCCTGCAAAAAGAGTGTTTCCAACCTGAACTTTCAAAGGAAGGTTCAATTCTGGGATTTGAATGCAAACATCACAAGAAGATTCTGAGACTGCTTCTGTTTACTTAGCTGAAATTATCCTGTTTGCAACGAATTCCTCATACAGGTCCAAATATCCACTTGCAGATTCTACAGAAAGTGTGTTTTGAAACTACTCCATCCCAAGGAAAGTACTGCTCTGTGAGTTCAACTCAATCATCCCAGAGAATTTTCTGAGAAAGCTTCTGTCTTGTTTTTATAGGAAGTTATTTCCTTTACTACGATAGGCCTCAAAGAAGTGCAGTTATCCACTTGCAGTTTCTACAAAAAGAGTGTTTCAAACCTGAACTATCAAAGAAAGGTTCAACACTGTGGGTTGAATGCAAACATCACGAAGAAGGTTCTGAGAATGCTTCTGTTTAGTTCTGTGCGGTTTATCCCGTTTCCAACGAAATCCTCAGAGAGGCCCAAGTATCCGCTTGCAGATCCTACAGATAGTGTGTTTCCAAACTGCTCCATCCAAAGGAATGTTCAGCCCTGTGAGTTAAACTCAGTCGTCACAAAGAGTTTTCTGAGAATGCTGCTGTCTAGTTTTTATATGAAGCTCTTTCCTTTACTACCATAGGCCTCAAAGCGGTCCATATCTCCACTTGCAGATTCTACACAACGAGAGTTTCCAAAGTGCTCTGTGAAAGGGAATGTTCACCTCTGTGACTTGAATGCAATCGTCACAAAGTAGTTTCTGAGAATGCATCTATCTAGTTCTTACGGGAAGATAATTCCTTTTCCACCTCAGGCCTCAAAGCCCTCCAAATATCCACTTGCAGATTCTAGAAAAAGAGTGTTTCAAAGCTTCTCTCTCAAAAGGAAAGTTCAACTCTGTGAGTTGAAAGCAAACATCACAAAGAAGTTTCTGAGAATGCTTCTGTTTAGCTTTTCTGTGAAGAGTATCCCGTTTCCAACGAAATCTTCAAAGAGGCCCAAACATCCACTTGCAGATGCCACAGAAAGAGTGTTTGGAAACTGCTGTTTGAAAAGGAACCTTCAACTCTGTGAGTTGAATGCAGTCATCACAAACAAGTTTCTGACAATGCCTCTCTCTAGTTTTTACGTGACGATAATTCGTTTTCCACCACAGGCCTGAAATCTCTCCAAATGTCCACTTGCAGACCCTACGAAAAGCATGTTTCTCATCTGCTCTATGAAAAGCAACGTGAAACTCTGTGAGTTGAACACAAACATCACAGAGAAGTTTCTGAGAATGCTTCTGTTTAGTTTTTATGTGAAGATATTCCCGTTTCCAAAGACATCTTCAAAGAGGACCACATATCCACTTGCAGATTCCACAAAAAGAGAGATTCAAAACTGCTCTATCCATAGGAGGGTTCAACTCTTTGAGTTGAATGCAATCGTCACAGAGAAGTTTCTGAGAAGGCTTCTGTCTAGATTTTATTTGAAGATGTACCCGTTTCGAACGAAGGCCAAAGAGTGGTCGAAATATCCACCTGCAGATCCTACAAAAAGAGTGTTTCAAACCTGAACTATCAAAGGAAGGTTCAACTCTGGGATTTGAATGCAAACATCACAAAGAATTTTGTGAGAATGCTTCCGTTTAGTTAGGTGCAGTTATCCCGTTTCCAACGAAATCCTCAGAGAGGTCCAAATATCCACTCGCAGATTCTACAGAAAGTGTGTTTCAAACCTTCTCCATCCAAAGGAATGTTCAGCTCTGTGTGTTAAACTCAATCATCACAAAGTATTTTCTGAGAATGCTTCTGTCTAGATTTTATGTGAAGCTCTTCCCTTTACTACCATAGGCCTCAAAGCGCTCCAAATCTCCACTAGGAGATTCTACAACAAGAGTGTTTCCAAACTGCTCTGTCAATACGAATGCTCCACTCCGTGAGGTGAATGAAATCATCACAAAGTAGTTTCTGAGAAGGCTTCTATCTAGTATTTATGTGGAGATATTTCCTTTTCCACCACAAACCTCACAGCCCTCCCAATGTCCACTTGCAAATTCTAGAAAAAGAGTGTTTCATAGCTGTTCTTTCCGAAGGAAAGTTCAACTCTGGAAGTTGAATACAAACATCACCAAGGAGTTCCTGAGGATGCTTCTGTGTAATTTTTATGTGAAGATGATTCCGTTTCCAACGAAACCTTCAAAGAGGTCTGCATGTCCCCTTGCAGATTCCAGAGAAAGAGAGTTTCAAAACTGCGCTCTCAAAAGGAGTGTTCAACTCTGTGAGTTGAATGCAGTCATCACAGAAAAGTTTCTGAGAATGCTTCTGTCTAGATGTTATGTGAAGATATACCCGTTTCGAACGAAGTCCACAGAGTGGTCCGAATATCCACTTGTAGATCCTGCAAAAAGAGTGTTTCCAACCTGAACTTTCAAAGGAAGGTTCAATTCTGGGATTTGAATGCAAACATCACAAGAAGATTCTGAGACTGCTTCTGTTTACTTAGCTGAAATTATCCCGTTTGCAACGAATTCCTCAGACAGGTCCAAATATCCACTTGCAGATTCTACAGAAAGTGTGTTTCGAAACTACTCCATCCCAAGGAAAGTACTGCTCTGTGAGATCAACTCAATCATCCCAGAGAATTTTCTGAGAAAGCTTCTGTCTTGTTTTTATAGGAAGTTATTTCCTTTACTACGATAGGCCTCAAAGAAGTGCAGTTATCCACTTGCAGTTTCTACAAAAAGAGTGTTTCAAACCTGAACTATCAAAGAAAGGTTCAACACTGTGGGTTGAATGCAAACATCACGAAGAAGGTTCTGAGAATGCTTCTGTTTAGTTTTGTGCGGTTTATCCCGTTTCCAACGAAATCCTCAGGGAGGCCCAAGTATCCGCTTGCAGATCCTACAGATAGTGTGTTTCCAAACTGCTCCATCCAAAGGAATGTTCAGCCCTGTGAGTTAAACTCAGTCGTCCCAAAGTGTTTTCTGAGAATGCTGCTGTCTAGTTTTTATATGAAGCTGTTTCCTTTACTACCATAGGCCTCAAAGCGGTCCATATCTCCACTTGCAGATTCTACACAACGAGAGTTTCCAAAGTGCTCTGTGAAAGGGAATGTTCACCTCTGTGACTTGAATGCAATCGTCACAAAGTAGTTTCTGAGAATGCATCTATCTAGTTCTTACGGGAAGATAATTCCTTTTCCACCTCAGGCCTCAAAGCCCTCCAAATATCCACTTGCAGATTCTAGAAAAAGAGTGTTTCAAAGCTTCTCTCTCAAAAGGAAAGTTCAACTCTGTGAGTTGAAAGCAAACATCACAAAGAAGTTTCTGAGAATGCTTCTGTTTAGCTTTTCTGTGAAGATTATCCAGTTTCCAACGAAATCTTCAAAGAGGCCCAAACATCCACTTGCAGATGCCTCAGAAAGAGTGTTTGGAAACTGCTGTTTGAAAAGGAACCTTCAACTCTGTGAGTTGAATGCAGTCATCACAAACAAGTTTCTGACAATGCTTCTCTCTAGTTTTTACGTGACGATAATTCGTTTTCCACCACAGGCCTGAAAGCTCTCCAAATGTCCACTTGCAGACACTACGAAAAGCATGTTTCTCATCTGCTCTATGAAAAGCAACGTGAAACTCTGTGAGTTGAACACAAACATCACAGAGAAGTTTCTGAGAATGCTTCTGTTTAGTTTTAATGTGAAGATATTCCCGTTTCCAAAGACATCTTCAAAGAGGACCACATATCCACTTGCAGATTCCACAAAAAGAGAGATTCAAAACTGCTCTATCCATAGGAGGTTTCAACGCTTTGAGTTGAATGCAATCGTCACAGAGAAGTTTCTGAGAAGGCTTCTGTCTAGATTTTATTTGAAGATGTACCCGTTTCGAACGAAGGCCAAAGAGTGGTCCAAATATCCACCTGCAGAACCTACAAAAAGAGTGTTTCAAAGCTGAACTATCAAAGGAAAGTTCAACTCTGGGATTTGAATGCAAACATCACACAGAATTTTGTGAGAATGCTTCCGTTTAGTTAGGTGCAGTTATCCCGTTTCCAACGAAATCCTCAGAGAGGTCCAAATATCCACTCGCAGATTCTACAGAAAGTGTGTTTCAAACCTTCTCCATCCAAAGGAATGTTCAGCTCTGTGTGTTAAACTCAATCATCACAAAGTATTTTCTGAGAATGCTTCTGTCTAGATTTTATGTGAAGCTCTTCCCTTTACTACCATAGGCCTCAAAGCGCTCCAAATCTCCACTAGCCGATTCTACAACAAGAGTGTTTCCAAACTGCTCTGTCAATAGGAATGCTCCACTCCGTGAGGTGAATGCAATCATCACAAAGTAGTTTCTGAGAAGGCTTCTATCTAGTATTTATGTGGAGATATTTCCTTTTCCACCACAAACCTCACAGCCCTCCCAATGTCCACTTGCAGATTCTAGAAAAAGAGTGTTTCATAGCTGCTCTTTCCGAAGGAAAGTTCAACTCTGGAAGTTGAATACAAACATCACCAAGGAGTTCCTGAGGATGCTTCTGTGTAATTTTTATGTGAAGATGATTCCGTTTCCAACGAAACCTTCAAAGAGGTCTGCATGTCCCCTTGCAGATTCCAGAGAAAGAGAGTTTCAAAACTGCGCTCTCAAAAGGAGTGTTCAACTCTGTGAGTTGAATGCAGTCATCACAGAAAAGTTTCTGAGAATGCTTCTGTGTAGATGTTATGTGAAGATATACCCGTTTCGAACGAAGTCCACAGAGTGGTCCGAATATCCACTTGTAGATCCTGCAAAAAGAGTGTTTCAAACCTGAACTTTCAAAGGAAGGTTCAATTCTGGGATTTGAATGCAAACATCACAAGAAGATTCTGAGACTGCTTCTGTTTACTTAGCTGAAATTATCCCGTTTGCAACGAATTCCTCAGACAGGTCCAAATATCCACTTGCAGATTCTACAGAAAGTGTGTTTCGAAACTACTCCATCCCAAGGAAAGTACTGCTCTGTGAGTTCAACTCAATCATCCCAGAGAATTTTCTGAGAAAGCTTCTGTCTTGTTTTTATAGGAAGTTATTTCCTTTATTACGATAGGCCTCAAAGAAGTGCAGTTATCCACTTGCAGTTTCTACAAAAAGAGTGTTTCAAACCTGAACTATCAAAGAAAGGTTCAACACTGTGGGTTGAATGCAAACATCACGAAGAAGGTTCTGAGAATGCTTCTGTTTAGTTCTGTGCGGTTTATCCCGTTTCCCACGAAATCCTCAGGGAGGCCCAAGTATCCGCTTGCAGATCCTACAGATAGTGTGTTTCCAAACTGCTCCATCCAAAGGAATGTTCAGCCCTGTGAGTTTAACTCAGTCGTCACAAAGAGTTTTCTGAGAATGCTGCTGTCTAGTTTTTATATGAAGCTGTTTCCTTTACTACCATAGGCCTCAAAGCGGTCCATATCTCCACTTGCAGATTCTACACAACGAGAGTTTCCAAAGTGCTCTCTGAAAGGGAATGTTCACCTCTGTGACTTGAATGCAATCGTCACAAAGTAGTTTCTGAGAATGCATCTATCTAGTTCTTACGGGAAGATAATTCCTTTTCCACCACAGGCCTCAAAGCCCTCCAAATATCCACTTGCAGATTCTAGAAAAAGAGTGTTTCAAAGCTTCTCTCTCAAAAGGAAAGTTCAACTCTGTGAGTTGAAAGCAAACATCACAAAGAAGTTTCTGAGAATGCTTCTGTTTAGCTTTTCTGTGAAGATTATCCCGTTTCCAACGAAATCTTCAAAGAGGCCCAAACATCCACTTGCAGATGCCACAGAAAGAGTGTTTGGAAACTGCTGTTTGAAAAGGAACCTTCAACTCTGTGAGTTGAATGCAGTCATCACAAACAAGTTTCTGACAATGCTTCTCTCTAGTTTTTACGTGACGATAATTCGTTTTCCACCACAGGCCGGAAATCTCTCCAAATGTCCACTTGCAGACCCTACGAAAAGCATGTTTCTCATCTGCTCTATGAAAAGCAACGTGAAACTCTGTGAGTTGAACACAAACATCACAGAGAAGTTTCTGAGAATGCTTCTGTTTAGTTTTTATGTGAAGATATTCCCGTTTCCAAAGACATCTTCAAAGAGGACCACATATCCACTTGCAGATTCCACAAAAAGAGAGATTCAAAACTGCTCTATCCATAGGAGGGTTCAACGCTTTGAGTTGAATGCAATCGTCACAGAGAAGTTTCTGAGAAGGCTTCTGTCTAGATTTTATTTGAAGATGTACCCGTTTCGAATGAAGGCCAAAGAGTGGTCCAAATATCCACCAGCAGATCCTACAAAAAGAGTGTTTCAAAGCTGAACTATCAAAGGAAGGTTCAACTCTGGGATTTGAAAGCAAACATCACAAAGAATTTTGTGAGAATGCTTCCGTTTAGTTAGGTGCAGTTATCCCGTTTCCAACGAAATCCTCAGAGAGGTCCAAATATCCACTCGCAGATTCTACAGAAAGTGTGTTTCAAACCTTCTCCATCCAAAGGAATGTTCAGCTCTGTGTGTTAAACTCAATCATCACAAAGTATTTTCTGAGAATGCTTCTGTCTAGATTTTATGTGAAGCTCTTCCCTTTACTACCATAGGCCTCAAAGCGCTCCAAATCTCCACTAGCCGATTCTACAACAAGAGTGTTTCCAAACTGCTCTGTCAATAGGAATGCTCCACTCCGTGAGGTGAATGCAATCATCACAAAGTAGTTTCTGAGAAGGCTTATATCTAGTATTTACGTGGAGATATTTCCTTTTCCACCACAAACCTCACAGCCCTCCCAATGTCCACTTGCAGATTCTAGAAAAGGAGTGTTTCATAGCTGCTCTTTCCGAAGGAAAGTTCAACTCTGGAAGTTGAATACAAACATCACCAAGGAGTTCCTGAGAATGCTTCTGTGTAATTTTTATGTGAAGATGATTCTGTTTCCAATGAAACCTTCAAAGAGGTCTGCATGTCCCCTTGCAGATTCCAGAGAAAGAGAGTTTCAAAACTGCGCTCTCAAAAGGAGTGTTCAACTCTGTGAGTTGAATGCAGTCATCACAGAAAAGTTTCTGAGAATGCTTCTGTCTAGATGTTATGTGAAGATATACCCGTTTCGAACGAAGTCCACAGAGTGGTCCGAATATCCACTTGTAGATCCTGCAAAAAGAGTGTTTCCAACCTGAACTCTCAAAGGAAGGTTCAATTCTGGGATTTGAATGCAAACATCACAAGAAGATTCTGAGACTGCTTCTGTTTACTTAGCTGAAATTATCCCGTTTGCAACGAATTCCTCAGACAGGTCCAAATATCCACTTGCAGATTGTACAGAAAGTGTGTTTCGAAACTCCTCCATCCCAAGGAAAGTACTGCTCTGTGAGTTCAACTCAATCATCCCAGAGAATTTTCTGAGAAAGCTTCTGTCTTGTTTTTATAGGAAGTTATTTCCTTTACTACGATAGGCCTCAAAGAAGTGCAGTTATCCACTTGCAGTTTCTACAAAAAGAGTGTTTCAAACCTGAACTATCAAAGAAAGGTTCAACACTGTGTGTTGAATGCAAACGCCACGAAGAAGGTTCTGAGAATGCTTCTGTTTAGTTCTGTGCGGTTTATCCCGTTTCCAACGAAATCCTCAGAGAGGCCCAAGTATCCGCTTGCAGATCCTACAGATAGTGTGTTTCCAAACTGCTCCATCCAAAGGAATGTTCAGCCCTGTGAGTTAAACTCAGTCGTCACAAAGAGTTTTCTGAGAATGCTGCTGTCTAGTTTTTATATGAAGCTGTTTCCTTTACTACCATAGGCCTCAAAGCGGTCCATATCTCCACTTGCAGATTCTACACAACGAGAGTTTCCAAAGTGCTCTGTGAAAGGGAATGTTCACCTCTGTGACTTGAATGCAATCGTCACAAAGTAGTTTCTGAGAATGCATCTATCTAGTTCTTACGGGAAGATAATTCCTTTTCCACCTCAGGCCTCAAAGCCCTCCAAATATCCACTTGCAGATTCTAGAAAAAGAGTGTTTCAAAGCTTCTCTCTCAAAAGGAAAGTTCAACTCTGTGAGTTGAAAGCAAACATCACAAAGAAGTTTCTGAGAATGCTTCTGTTTAGCTTTTCTGTGAAGATTATCCCGTTTCCAACGAAATCTTCAAAGAGGCCCAAACATCCACTTGCAGATGCCACAGAAAGAGTGTTTGGAAACTGCTGTTTGAAAAGGAACCTTCAACTCTGTGAGTTGAATGCAGTCATCACAAACAAGTTTCTGACAATGCTTCTCTCTAGTTTTTACGTGACGATAATTCGTTTTCCACCACAGGCCTGAAATCTCTCCAAATGTCCACTTGCAGACCCTACGAAAAGCATGTTTCTCATCTGCTCTATGAAAAGCAACGTGAAACTCTGTGAGTTGAACACAAACATCACAGAGAAGTTTCTGAGAATGCTTCTGTTTAGTTTTTATGTGAAGATATTCCCGTTTCCAAAGACATCTTCAAAGAGGACCACATATCCACTTGCAGATTCCACAAAAAGAGAGATTCAAAACTGCTCTATCCATAGGAGGGTTCAACGCTTTGAGTTGAATGCAATCGTCACAGAGAAGTTTCTGAGAAGGCTTCTGTCTAGATTTTATTTGAAGATGTACCCTTTTCGAACGAAGGCCAAAGAGTGGTCCAAATATCCACCTGTAGATCCTACAAAAAGAGTGTTTCAAAACTGAACTATCAAAGGAAGGTTCAACTCTGGGATTTGAATGCAAACATCACAAAGAATTTTGTGAGAATGCTTCCGTTTAGTTAGGTGCAGTTATCCCGTTTCCAACGAAATCCTCAGAGAGGTCCAAATATCCACTCGCAGATTCTACAGAAAGTGTGTTTCAAACCTTCTCCATCCAAAGGAATGTTCAGCTCTGTGTGTTAAACTCAATCATCACAAAGTATTTTCTGAGAATGCTTCTGTCTAGATTTTATGTGAAGCTCTTCCCTTTACTACCATAGGCCTCAAAGCGCTCCAAATCTCCACTAGCCTATTCTACAACAAGAGTGTTTCCAAACTGCTCTGTCAATAGGGATGCTCAACTCCGTGAGGTGAATGCAATCATCACAAAGTAGTTTCTGAGAAGGCTTCTATCTAGTATTTATGTGGAGATATTTCCTTTTCCACCACAAACCTCACAGCCCTCCCAATGTCCACTTGCAGATTCTAGAAAGAGAGTGTTTCATAGCTGCTCTTTCCGAAGGAAAGTTCAACTCTGGAAGTTGAATACAAACATCACCAAAGAGTTCCTGAGGATGCCTCTGTGTAATTTTTATGTGAAGATGATTCCGTTTCCAACGAAACCTTCAAAGAGGTCTGCATGTCCCCTTGCAGATTCCAGAGAAAGAGAGTTTCAAAACTGCGCTCTCAAAAGGAGTGTTCAACTCTGTGAGTTGAATGCAGTCATCACAGAAAAGTTTCTGAGAATGCTTCTGTCTAGATGTTATGTGAAGATATACCCGTTTCGATCGAAGTCCACAGAGTGGTCCGAATATCCACTTGTAGATCCTGCAAAAAGAGTGTTTCCAACCTGAACGTTCAAAGGAAGGTTCAATTCTGGGATTTGAATGCAAACATCACAAGAAGATTCTGAGACTGCTTCTGTTTACTTAGCTGAAATTATCCCGTTTGCAACGAATTCCTCAGACAGGTCCAAATATCCACTTGCAGATTGTACAGAAAGTGTGTTTCGAAACTACTCCATCCCAAAGAAAGTACTGCTCTGTGAGTTCAACTCAATCATCCCAGAGAATTTTCTGAGAAAGCTTCTGTCTTGTTTTTATAGGAAGTTATTTCCTTTACTACGATAGGCCTCAAAGAAGTGCAGTTATCCACTTGAAGTTTCTACAAAAAGAGTGTTTCAAACCTGAACTATCAAAGAAAGTTTCAACACTGTGGGTTGAATGCAAACATCACGAAGAAGGTTCTGAGAATGCTTCTGTTTAGTTCTGTGCGGTTTATCCCGTTTCCAACGAAATCCTCAGGGAGGCCCAAGTATCCGCTTGCAGATCCTACAGATAGTGTGTTTCCAAACTGCTCCATCCAAAGGAATGTTCAGCCCTGTGAGTTAAACTCAGTCGTCACAAAGAGTTTTCTGAGAATGCTGCTGTCTAGTTTTTATATGAAGCTGTTTCCTTTACTACCATAGGCCTCAAAGCGGTCCATATCTCCACTTGCAGATTCTACACAACGAGAGTTTCCAAAGTGCTCTCTGAAAGGGAATGTTCACCTCTGTGACTTGAATGCATTCGTCACAAAGTAGTTTCTGAGAATGCATCTATCTAGTTCTTACGGGAAGATAATTCCTTTTCCACCTCAGGCCTCAAAGCCCTCCAAATATCCACTTGCAGATTCTAGAAAAAGAGTGGTTCAAAGCTTCTCTCTCAAAAGGAAAGTTCAACTCTGTGAGTTGAAAGCAAACATCACAAAGAAGTTTCTGAGAATGCTTCTGTTTAGCTTTTCTGTGAAGATTATCCCGTTTCCAACGAAATCTTCAAAGAGGCCCAAACATCCACTTGCAGATGCCACAGAAAGAGTGTTTGGAAACTGCTGTTTGAAAAGGAACCTTCAACTCTGTGAGTTGAATGCAGTCATCACAAACAAGTTTCTGACAATGCTTCTCTCTAGTTTTTACGTGACGATAATTCGTTTTCCACCACAGGCCTGAAATCTCTCCAAATGTCCACTTGCAGACCCTACGAAAAGCATGTTTCTCATCTGCTCTATGAAAAGCAACATGAAACTCTGTGAGTTGAACACAAACATCACAGAGAAGTTTCTGAGAATGCTTCTGTTTAGTTTTTATGTGAAGATATTCCCGTTTCCAAAGACATCTTCAAAGAGGACCACATATCCACTTGCAGATTCCACAAAAAGAGAGATTCAAAACTGCTCTATCCATAGGAGGGTTCAACGCTTTGAGTTGAATGCAATCGTCACAGAGAAGTTTCTGAGAAGGCTTCTGTCTAGATTTTATTTGAAGATGTACCCGTTTTGAACGAAGGCCAAAGAGTGGTCCAAATATCCACCTGCAGATCCTACAAAAAGAGTGTTCCAAAGCTGAACTATCAAAGGAAGGTTCAACTCTGGGATTTGAATGCAAATATCACAAAGAATTTTGTGAGAATGCTTCCGTTTAGTTAGGTGCAGTTATCCCGTTTCCAACGAAATCCTCAGAGAGGTCCAAATATCCACTCGCAGATTCTACAGAAAGTGTGGTTCCAACCTTCTCCATCCAAAGGAATGTTCAGCTCTGTGTGTTAAACTCAATCATCACAAAGTATTTTCTGAGAATGCTTCTGTCTAGATTTTATGTGAAGCTCTTCCCTTTACTACCATAGGCCTCAAAGCGCTCCAAATCTCCACTAGCCGATTCTACAAGAAGAGTGTTTCCAAACTGCTCTGTCAATAGGAATGCTCCACTCCGTGAGGTGAATGCAATCATCACAAAGTAGTTTCTGAGAAGGCTTCTATCTAGTACTTATGTGGAGATATTTCCTTTTCCACCACAAACCTCACAGCCCTCCCAATGTCCACTTGCAGATTCTAGAAAAAGAGTGTTTCATAGCTGCTCTTTCCGAAGGAAAGTTCACCTCTGGAAGTTGAATACAAACATCACCAAGGAGTTCCTGAGGATGCTTCTGTGTAATTTTTATGTGAAGATGATTCCGTTTCCAACGAAACCTTCAAAGAGGTCTGCATGTCCCCTTGCAGATTCCAGAGAAAGAGAGTTTCAAAACTGCGCTCTCAAAAGGAGTGTTCAACTCTGTGAGTTGAATGCAGTCATCACAGAAAAGTTTCTGAGAATGCTTCTGTCTAGATGTTATGTGAAGATATACCCGTTTCGAACGAAGTCCACAGAGTGGTCCGAATATCCACTTGTAGATCCTGCAAAAAGAGTGTTTCCAACCTGAACTTTCAAAGGAAGGTTCAATTCTGGGATTTGAATGCAAACATCACAAGAAGATTCTGAGACTGCTTCTGTTTACTTAGCTGAAATTATCCCGTTTGCAACGAATTCCTCAGACAGGTCCAAATATCCACTTGCAGATTCTACAGAAAGTGTGTTTCGAAACTACTCCATCCCAAGGAAAGTACTGCTCTGTGAGTTCAACTCAATCATCCCAGAGAATTTTTTGAGAAAGCTTCTGTCTTGTTTTTATAGGAAGTTATTTCCTTTACTACGATAGGCCTCAAAGAAGTCCAGTTATCCACTTGCAGTTTCTACAAAAAGAGTGTTTCAAACCTGAACTATCAAAGAAAGGTTCAACACTGTGGGTTGAATGCAAACATCACGAAGAAAGTTCTGAGAATGCTTCTGTTTAGTTCTGTGCGGTTTATCCCGTTTCCAACGAAATCCTCAGAGAGGCCCAAGTATCCGCTTGCAGATCCTACAGATAGTGTGTTTCCAAACTGCTCCATCCAAAGGAATGTTCAGCCCTGTGAGTTAAACTCAGTCGTCACAAAGAGTTTTCTGAGAATGCTGCTGTCTAGTTTTTATATGAAGCTGTTTCCTTTACTACCATAGGCCTCAAAGCGGTCCATATCTCCACTTGCAGATTCTACACAACGAGAGTTTCCAAAGTGCTCTCTGAAAGGGAATGTTCACCTCTGGGACTTGAATGCAATCGTCACAAAGTAGTTTCTGAGAATGCATCTATCTAGTTCTTACGGGAAGTTAATTCCTTTTCCACCACAGGCCTCAAAGCCCTCCAAATATCCACTTGCAGATTCTAGAAAAAGAGTGTTTCAAAGCTTCTCTCTCAAAAGGAAAGTTCAACTCTGTGAGTTGAAAGCAAACATCTCAAAGAAGTTTCTGAGAATGCTTCTGTTTAGCTTTTCTGTGAAGAGTATCCCGTTTCCAACGAAATCTTCAAAGAGGCCCAAACATCCACTTGCAGATGCCACAGAAAGAGTGTTTGGAAACTGCTGTTTGAAAAGGAACCTTCAACTCTGTGAGTTGAATGCAGTCATCACAAACAAGTTTCTGACAATGCTTCTCTCTAGTTTTTACGTGACGATAATTCGTTTTCCACCACAGGCCTGAAATCTCTCCAAATGTCCACTTGCAGACCCTACGAAAAGCATGTTTCTCATCTGCTCTATGAAAAGCAACGTGAAACTCTGTGAGTTGAACACAAACATCACAGAGAAGTTTCTGAGAATGCTTCTGTTTAGTTTTTATGTGAAGATATTCCTGTTTCCAAAGACATCTTCAAAGAGGACCACATATCCACTTGCAGATTCCACAAAAAGAGAGATTCAAAACTGCTCTATCCATAGGAGGGTTCAACTCTTTGAGTTGAATGCAATCGTCACAGAGAAGTTTCTGAGAAGGCTTCTGTCTAGATTTTATTTGAAGATGTACCCGTTTCGAACGAAGGCCAAAGAGTGGTCCAAATATCCACCAGCAGATCCTACAAAAAGAGTGTTTCAAAGCTGAACTATCAAAGGAAGGTTCAACTCTGGGATTTGAATGCAAACATCACAAAGAATTTTGTGAGAATGCTTCCGTTTAGTTAGGTGCAGTTATCCCGTTTCCAACGAAATCCTCAGAGAGGTCCAAATATCCACTCGCAGATTCTACAGAAAGTGTGTTTCAAACCTGCTCCATCCAAAGGAATGTTCAGCTCTGTGTGTTAAACTCAATCATCACAAAGTATTTTCTGAGAATGCTTCTGTCTAGATTTTATGTGAAGCTCTTCCCTTTACTACCGTAGGCCTCAAAGCGCTCCAAATCTCCACTAGGAGATTCTACAACAAGAGTGTTTCCAAACTGCTCTGTCAATAGGAATGCTCCACTCCGTGAGGTGAATGCAATCATCACAAAGTAGTTTCTGAGAAGGCTTCTATCTAGTATTTATGTGGAGATATTTCCTTTTCCACCACAAACCTCACAGCCCTCCCAATGTCCACTGGCAGATTCTAGAAAAAGAGTGTTTCATAGCTGCTCTTTCCGAAGGAAAGTTCAACTCTGGAAGTTGAATACAAACATCACCAAGGAGTTCCTGAGGATGCTTCTGTGTAATTTTTATGTGAAGATGATTCCGTTTCCAACGAAACCTTCAAAGAGGTCTGCATGTCCCCTTGCAGATTCCAGAGAAAGAGAGTTTCAAAACTGCGCTCTCAAAAGGAGTGTTCAACTCTGTGAGTTGAATGCAGTCATCACAGAAAAGTTTCTGAGAATGCTTCTGTCTAGATGTTATGTGAAGATATAGCCGTTTCGAATGAAGTCCACAGAGTGGTCCGAATATCCACTTGTAGATCCTGCAAAAAGAGTGTTTCCAACCTGAACTTTCAAAGGAAGGTTCAATTCTGGGATTTGAATGCAAACATCACAAGAAGATTCTGAGACTGCTTCTGTTTACTTAGCTGAAATTATCCCGTTTGCAACGAATTCCTCAGACAGGTCCAAATATCCACTTGCAGATTGTACAGAAAGTGTGTTTCGAAACTACTCCATCCCAAAGAAAGTACTGCTCTGTGAGTTCAACTCAATCATCCCAGAGAATTTTCTGAGAAAGCTTCTGTCTTGTTTTTATAGGAAGTTATTTCCTTTACTATGATAGGCCTCAAAGAAGTGCAGTTATCCACTTGAAGTTTCTACAAAAAGAGTGTTTCAAACCTGAACTATCAAAGAAAGTTTCAACACTGTGGGTTGAATGCAAACATCACGAAGAAGGTTCTGAGAATGCTTCTGTTTAGTTCTGTGCGGTTTATCCCGTTTCCAACGAAATCCTCAGGGAGGCCCAAGTATCCGCTTGCAGATCCTACAGATAGTGTGTTTCCAAACTGCTCCATCCAAAGGAATGTTCAGCCCTGTGAGTTAAACTCAGTCGTCACAAAGAGTTTTCTGAGAATGCTGCTGTCTAGTTTTTATATGAAGCTGTTTCCTTTACTACCATAGGCCTCAAAGCGGTCCATATCTCCACTTGCAGATTCTACAGAACGGGGGTTTCCAAAGTGCTCTCTGAAAGGGAATGTTCACCTCTGTGACTTGAATGCAATCGTCACAAAGTAGTTTCTGAGAATGCATCTATCTAGTTCTTACGGGAAGATAATTCCTTTTCCACCACAGGCCTCAAAGCCCTCCAAATATCCACTTGCAGATTCTAGAAAAAGAGTGTTTCAAAGCTTCTCTCTCA
Organism: Homo sapiens; assembly: GCF_000001405.40. Taxonomy (NCBI): domain Eukaryota; kingdom Metazoa; phylum Chordata; class Mammalia; order Primates; family Hominidae; genus Homo; species Homo sapiens. The sequence continues at coordinate 22,856,764 of NC_000017.11, read as the reverse complement.
AAAGGAAAGTTCAACTCTGTGAGTTGAAAGCAAACATCAAAAGAAGTTTCTGAGAATGTTTCTGTTTAGCTTTTCTGTGAAGATTATCCCGTTTCCAACGAAATCTTCAAAGAGGCCCAAACATCCACTTGCAGATGCCACAGAAAGAGTGTTTGGAAACTGCTGTTTGAAAAGGAACCTTCAACTCTGTGAGTTGAATGCAGTCATCACAAACAAGTTTCTGACAATGCTTCTCTCTAGTTTTTACGTGACGATAATTCGTTTTCCACCACAGGCCTGAAAGCTCTCCAAATGTCCACTTGCAGACCCTACGAAAAGCATGTTTCTCATCTGCTCTATGAAAAGCAACGTGAAACTCTGTGAGTTGAACACAAACATCACAGAGAAGTTTCTGAGAATGCTTCTGTTTAGTTTTTATGTGAAGATATTCCCGTTTCCAAAGACATCTTCAAAGAGGACCACATATCCAGTTGCAGATTCCACAAAAAGAGAGATTCAAAACTGCTCTATCCATAGGAGGGTTCAACGCTTTGAGTTGAATGCAATCGTCACAGAGAAGTTTCTGAGAAGGCTTCTGTCTAGATTTTATTTGAAGATGTACCCGTTTCGAACGAAGGCCAAAGAGTGGTCCAAATATCCACCTGCAGATCCTACAAAAAGAGTGTTTCAAAGCTGAACTCTCAAAGGAAGGTTCAACTCTGGGATTTGAATGCAAACCTCACGAAGAATTTTGTGAGAATGCTTCCGTTTAGTTAGGTGCAGTTATCCCGTTTCCAACGAAATCCTCAGAGAGGTCCAAATATCCACTCGCAGATTCTACAGAAAGTGTGTTTCAAACCTTCTCCATCCAAAGGAATGTTCAGCTCTGTGTGTTAAACTCAATCATCACAAAGTATTTTCTGAGAATGCTTCTGTCTAGATTTTATGTGAAGCTCTTCCCTTTACTACCATAGGCCTCAAAGCGCTCCAAATCTCCGCTAGCCGATTCTACAAGAAGAGTGTATCCAAACTGCTCTGTCAATAGGAATGCTCCACTCCGTGAGGTGAATGCAATCATCACAAAGTAGTTTCTGAGAAGGCTTCTATCTAGTATTTATGTGGAGATATTTCCTTTTCCACCACAAACCTCACAGCCCTCCCAATGTCCACTTGCAGATTCTAGAAAAAGAGTGTTTCATAGCTGCTCTTTCCGAAGGAAAGTTCAACTCTGGAAGTTGAATACAAACATCACCAAGGAGTTCCTGAGAATGCTTCTGTGTAATTTTTATGTGAAGATGATTCCGTTTCCAACGAAACCTTCAAAGAGGTCTGCATGTCCCCTTGCAGATTCCAGAGAAAGAGAGTTTCAAAACTGCGCTCTCAAAAGGAGTGTTCAACTCTGTGAGTTGAATGCAGTCATCACAGAAAAGTTTCTGAGAATGCTTCTGTCTAGATGTTATGTGAAGATATACCCGTTTCGAACGAAGTCCACAGAGTGGTCCGAATATCCACTTGTAGATCCTGCAAAAAGAGTGTTTCCAACCTGAGCTTTCAAAGGAAGGTTCAATTCTGGGATTTGAATGCAAACATCACAGGAAGATTCTGAGACTGCTTCTGTTTACTTAGCTGAAATTATCCCGTTTGCAACGAATTCCTCAGACAGGTCCAAATATCCACTTGCAGATTCTACAGAAAGTGTGTTTCGAAACTACTCCATCCCAAGGAAAGTAGTGCTCTGTGAGTTCAACTCAATCATCCCAGAGAATTTTCTGAGAAAGCTTCTGTCTTGTTTTTATAGGAAGTTATTTCCTTTACTACGATAGGCCTCAAAGAAGTGCAGTTATCCACTTGCAGTTTCTACAAAAAGAGTGTTTCAAACCTGAACTATCAAAGAAAGGTTCAACACTGTGGGTTGAATGCAAACATCACGAAGAAGGTTCTGAGAATGCTTCTGTTTAGTTCTGTGCGGTTTATCCTGTTTCCAACGAAATCCTCAGCGAGGCCCAAGTATCCGCTTGCAGATCCTACAGATAGTGTGTTTCCAAACTGCTCCATCCAAAGGAATGTTCAGCCCTGTGAGTTAAACTCAGTCGTCACAAAGAGTTTTCTGAGAATGCTGTTGTCTAGTTTTTATATGAAGCTGTTTCCTTTACTACCATAGGCCTCAAAGCGGTCCATATCTCCACTTGCAGATTCTACACAACGAGAGTTTCCAAAGTGCTCTCTGAAAGGGAATGTTCACCTCTGTGACTTGAATGCAATCGTCACAAAGTAGTTTCTGAGAATGCATCTATCTAGTTCTTACGGGAAGATAATTCCTTTTCCACCTCAGGCCTCAAAGCCCTCCAAATATCCACTTGCGGATTCTAGAAAAAGAGTGTTTCAAAGCTTCTCTCTCAAAAGGAAAGTTCAACTCTGTGAGTTGAAAGCAAACATGACAAAGAAGTTTCTGAGAATGCTTCTGTTTAGCTTTTCTGTGAAGATTATCCCGTTTCCAACGAAATCTTCAAAGAGGCCCAAACATCCACTTGCAGATGCCACAGAAAGAGTGTTTGGAAACTGCTGTTTGAAAAGGAACCTTCAACTCTGTGAGTTGAATGCAGTCATCACAAACAAGTTTCTGACAATGCTTCTCTCTAGTTTTTACGTGACGATAATTCGTTTTCCACCACAGGCCTGAAATCTCTCCAAATGTCCACTTGCAGACCCTACGAAAAGCATGTTTCTCATCTGCTCTATGAAAAGCAACGTGAAACTCTGTGAGTTGAACACAAACATCACAGAGAAGTTTCTGAGAATGCTTCTGTTTAGTTTTTATGTGAAGATATTCCCGTTTCCAAAGACATCTTCAAAGAGGACCACATATCCACTTGCAGATTCCACAAAAAGAGAGATTCAAAACTGCTCTATCCATAGGAGGGTTCAACTCTTTGAGTTGAATGCAATCGTCACAGAGAAGTTTCTGAGAAGGCTTCTGTCTAGATTTTATTTGAAGATGTACCCGTTTCGAACGAAGGCCAAAGAGTTGTCCAAATATCCACCTGCAGATCCTACAAAAAGAGTGTTTCAAACCTGAACTATCAAAGGAAGGTTCAACTATGGGATTTGAATGCAAACATCACAAAGAATTTTGTGAGAATGCTTCCGTTTAGTTAGGTGCAGTTATCCCGTTTCCAACGAAATCCTCAGAGAGGTCCAAATATCCACTCGCAGATTCTACAGAAAGTGTGTTTCAAACCTTCTCCATCCAAAGGAATGTTCAGCTCTGTGTGTTAAACTCAATCATCACAAAGTATTTTCTGAGAATGCTTCTGTCTAGATTTTATGTGAAGCTCTTCCCTTTACTACCATAGGCCTCAAAGCGCTCCAAATCTCCACTAGCCGATTCTACGAGAAGAGTGTTTCCAAACTGCTCTGTCAATAGGAATGCTCCAATCCGTGAGGTGAATGCAATCATCACAAAGTAGTTTCTGAGAAGGCTTCTATCTAGTATTTATGTGGAGATATTTCCTTTTCCACCACAAACCTCACAGCCCTCCCAATGTCCACTTGCAGATTCTAGAAAAAGAGTGTTTCATAGCTGCTCTTTCCGAAGGAAAGTTCAACTCTGGAAGTTGAATACAAACATCACCAAGGAGTTCCTGAGGATGCTTCTGTGTAATTTTTATGTGAAGATGATTCCGTTTCCAACGAAACCTTCAAAGAGGTCTGCATGTCCCCTTGCAGATTCCAGAGAAAGAGAGTTTCAAAACTGCGCTCTCAAAAGGAGTGTTCAACTCTGTGAGTTGAATGCAGTCATCACAGAAAAGTTTCTGAGAATGCTTCTGTCTAGATGTTATGTGAAGATATACCCGTTTCGAACGAAGTCCACAGAGTGGTCCGAATATCCACTTGTAGATCCTGCAAAAAGAGTGTTTCCAACCTGAACTTTCAAAGGAAGGTTCAATTCTGGGATTTGAATGCAAACATCACAAGAAGATTCTGAGACTGCTTCTGTTTACGTAGCTGAAATTATCCCGTTTGCAACGAATTCCTCAGACAGGTCCAAATATCCACTTGCAGATTCTACAGAAAATGTGTTTCGAAATTACTCCATCCCAAGGAAAGTACTGCCCTGTGAGTTCAACTCAATCATCCCAGAGAATTTTCTGAGAAAGCTTCTGTCTTGTTTTTATAGGAAGTTATTTCCTTTACTACGATAGGCCTCAAAGAAGTGCAGTTATCCACTTGCAGTTTCTACAAAAAGAGTGTTTCAAACCTGAACTATCAAAGAAAGGTTCAACACTGTGGGTTGAATGCAAACATCACGAAGAAGGTTCTGAGAATGCTTCTGTTTAGTTCTGTGCGGTGTATCCCGTTTCCAACGAAATCCTCAGGGAGGCCCAAGTATCCGCTTGCAGATCCTACAGATAGTGTGTTTCCAAACTGCTCCATCCAAAGGAATGTTCAGCCCTGTGAGTTAAACTCAGTCGTCACAAAGAGTTTTCTGAGAATGCTGCTGTCTAGTTTTTATATGAAGCTGTTTCCTTTACTACCATAGGCCTCAAAGCGGTCCATATCTCCACTTGCAGATTCTACACAACGAGAGTTTCCAAAGTGCTCTCTGAAAGGGAATGTTCACCTCTGTGACTTGAATGCAATCGTCACAAAGTAGTTTCTGAGAATGCATCTATCTAGTTCTTACGGGAAGATAATTCCTGTTCCACCTCAGGCCTCAAAGCCCTCCAAATATCCACTTGCAGATTCTAGAAAAAGAGTGTTTCAAAGCTTCTCTCTCAAAAGGAAAGTTCAACTCTGTGAGTTGAAAGCAAACATCACAAAGAAGTTTCTGAGCATGCTTCTGTTTAACTTTTCTGTGAAGATTATCCCGTTTCCAACGAAATCTTCAAAGAGGCCCAAACATCCACTTGCAGATGCCACAGAAAGAGTGTTTGGAAACTGCTGTTTGAAAAGGAACCTTCAACTCTGTGAGTTGAATGCAGTCATCACAAACAAGTTTCTGACAATGCTTCTCTCTAGTTTTTACGTGACGATAATTCGTTTTCCACCACAGGCCTGAAAGCTCTCCAAATGTCCACTTGCAGACCCTACGAAAAGCATGTTTCTCATCTGCTCTATGAAAAGCAACGTGAAACTCTGTGAGTTGAACACAAACATCACAGAGAAGTTTCTGAGAATGCTTCTGTTTAGTTTTTATGTGAAGATATTCCCGTTTCCAAAGACATCTTCAAAGAGGACCACATATCCACTTGCAGATTCCACAAAAAGAGAGATTCAAAACTGCTCTATCCATAGGAGGGTTCAACGCTTTGAGTTGAATGCAATCGTCACAGAGAAGTTTCTGAGAAGGCTTCTGTCTAGATTTTATTTGAAGATGTACCCGTTTCGAACGAAGGCCAAAGAGTGGTCCAAATATCCACCTGCAGATCCTACAAAAAGAGTGTTTCAAAGCTGAACTATCAAAGGAAGGTTCAACTCTGGGATATGAATGCAAACATCACAAAGAATTTTGTGAGAATGCTTCCGTTTAGTTAGGTGCAGTTATCCCGTTTCCAACGAAATCCTCAGAGAGGTCCAAATATCCACTCGCAGATTCTACAGAAAGTGTGTTTCAAACCTTCTCCATCCAAAGGAATGTTCAGCTCTGTGTGTTAAACTCAATCATCACAAAGTATTTTCTGAGAATGCTTCTGTCTAGATTTTATGTGAAGCTCTTCCCTTTACTACCATAGGCCTCAAAGCGCTCCAAATCTCCACTAGCCTATTGTACAACAAGAGTGTTTCCAAACTGCTCTGTCAATAGGGATGCTCAACTCCGTGAGGTGAATGCAATCATCACAAAGTAGTTTCTGAGAAGGCTTCTATCTAGTATTTATGTGGAGATATTTCCTTTTCCACCACAAACCTCACAGCCCTCCCAATGTCCACTTGCAGATTCTAGAAAGAGAGTGTTTCATAGCTGCTCTTTCCGAAGGAAAGTTCAACTCTGGAAGTTGAATACAAACATCACCAAGGAGTTCCTGAGGATGCCTCTGTGTAATTTTTATGTGAAGATGATTCCGTTTCCAACGAAACCTTCAAAGAGGTCTGCATGTCCCCTTGCAGATTCCAGAGAAAGAGAGTTTCAAAACTGCGCTCTCAAAAGGAGTGTTCAACTCTGTGAGTTGAATGCAGTCATCACAGAAAAGTTTCTGAGAATGCTTCTGTCTAGATGTAATGTGAAGATATACCCGTTTCGAACGAAGTCCACAGAGTGGTCCGAATATCCACTTGTAGATCCTGCAAAAAGAGTGTTTCCAACCTGAACTTTCAAAGGAAGGTTCAATTCTGGGATTTGAATGCAAACATCACAAGAAGATTCTGAGACTGCTTCTGTTTACTTAGCTGAAATTATCCCGTTTGCAACGAATTCCTCAGACAGGTCCAAATATCCACTTGCAGATTCTACAGAAAGTGTGTTTCGAAACTACTCCATCCCAAGGAAAGTACTGCTCTGTGAGTTCAACTCAATCATCCCAGAGAATTTTCTGAGAAAGCTTCTGTCTTGTTTTTATAGGAAGTTATTTCCTTTACTACGATAGGCCTCAAAGAAGTGCAGTTATCCACTTGCAGTTTCTACAAAAAGAGTGTTCCAAACCTGAACTATCAAAGAAAGGTTCAACACTGTGGGTTGAATGCAAACATCACGAAGAAGGTTCTGAGAATGCTTCTGTTTAGTTCTGTGCGGTTTATCCCGTTTCCAACGAAATCCTCAGAGAGGCCCAAGTATCCGCTTGCAGATCCTACAGATAGTGTGTTTCCAAACTGCTCCATCCAAAGGAATGTTCAGCCCTGTGAGTTAAACTCAGTCGTCACAAAGAGTTTTCTGAGAATGCTGCTCTCTAGTTTTTATATGAAGCTGTTTCCTTTACTACTATAGGCCTCAAAGGGTTCCATATCTCCACTTGCAGATTCTACACAACGAGAGTTTCCAAAGTGCTCTCTGAAAGGGAATGTTCACCTCTGTGACTTGAATGCAATCGTCACAAAGTAGTTTCTGAAAATGCATCTATCTAGTTCTTACGGGAAGATAATTCCTTTTCCACCACAGGCCTCAAAGCCCTCCAAATATCCACTTGCAGATTCTAGAAAAAGAGTGTTTCAAAGCTTCTCTCTCAAAAGGAAAGTTCAACTCTGTGAGTTGAAAGCAAACATCACAAAGAAGTTTCTGAGAATGCTTCTGTTTAGCTTTTCTGTGAAGATTATCCCGTTTCCAACGAAATCTTCAAAGAGGCCCAAACATCCACTTGCAGATGCCACAGAAAGAGTGTTTGGAAACTGCTGTTTGAAAAGGAACCTTCAACTCTGTGAGTTGAATGCAGTCATCACAAACAAGTTTCTGACAATGCTTCTCTCTAGTTTTTACGTGACGATAATTCGTTTTCCACCACAGGCCTGAAATCTCCCCAAATGTCCACTTGCAGACCCTACGAAAAGCATGTTTCTCATCGGCTCTATGAAAAGCAATGTGAAACTCTGTGTGTTGAACACAAACATCACAGAGAAGTTTCTGAGAATGCTTCTGTTTAGTTTTTATGTGAAGATATTCCCGTTTCCAAAGACATCTTCAAAGAGGACCACATATCCACTTGCAGATTCCACGAAAAGAGAGATTCAAAACTGCTCTATCCATAGGAGGGTTCAACTCTTTGAGTTGAATGCAATCGTCACAGAGAAGTTTCTGAGAAGGCTTCTGTCTAGATTTTATTTGAAGATGTACCCGTTTCGAACGAAGGCCAAAGAGTGGTCCAAATATCCACCTGCAGATCCTACAAAAAGAGTGTTTCAAAGCTGGACTATCAAAGGAAGGTTCAACTCTGGGATTTGAATGCAAACATCACAAAGAATTTTGTGAGAATGCTTCCGTTTAGTTAGGTGCAGTTATCCCGTTTCCAACGAAATCCTCAGAGAGGTCCAAATATCCACTCGCAGATTCTACAGAAAGTGTGTTTCAAACCTTCTCCATCCAAAGGAATGTTCAGCTCTGTGTGTTAAACTCAATCATCACAAAGTATTTTCTGAGAATGCTTCTGTCTTGATTTTATGTGAAGCTCTTCCCTTTACTACCATAGGCCTCAAAGCGCTCCAAATATCCACTAGCAGTTTCTACAACAAGAGTGTTTCCAAACTGCTCTGTCAATAGGAATGCTCCACTCCGTGAGTTGAATGCAATCATCACAACGTAGTTTCTGAGAAGGCTTCTATCTAGTATTTATGTGGAGATATTTCCTTTTCCACCACAAACCTCACAGCCCTCCCAATGTCCACTTGCAGATTCTAGAAAAAGAGTGTTTCATAGCTGCTCTTTCCGAAGGAAAGTTCAGCTCTGGAAGTTGAATACAAACATCACCAAGGAGTTCCTGAGGATGCTTCTGTGTAATTTTTATGTGAAGATGATTCCGTTTCCAACGAAACCTTCAAAGAGGTCTGCATGTCCCCTTGCAGATTCCAGAGAAAGAGAGTTTCAAAACTGCGCTCTCAAAAGGAGTGTTCAACTCTGTGAGTTGAATGCAGTCATCACAGAAAAGTTTCTGAGAATGCTTCTGTCTAGATGTTATGTGAAGATATACCCGTTTCGAACGAAGTCCACAGAGTGGTCCGAATATCCACTTGTAGATCCTGCAAAAAGAGTGTTTCCAACCTGAACTTTCAAAGGAAGGTTCAATTCTGGGATTTGAATGCAAACATCACAAGAAGATTCTGAGACTGCTTCTGTTTACTTAGCTGAAATTATCCCGTTTGCAACGAATTCCTCAGACAGGTCCAAATATCCACTTGCAGATTCTACAGAAAGTGTGTTTCGAAACTACTCCATCCCAAGGAAAGTACTGCTCTGTGAGTTCAACTCAATCATCCCAGAGAATTTTCTGAGAAAGCTTCTGTCTTGTTTTTATAGGAAGTTATTTCCTTTACTACGATAGGCCTCAAAGAAGTGCAGTTATCCACTTGCAGTTTCTACAAAAAGAGTGTTTCAAACCTGAACTATCAAAGAAAGGTTCAACACTGTGGGTTGAATGCAAACGTCACGAAGAAGGTTCTGAGAATGCTTCTGTTTAGTTCTGTGCGGTTTATCCCGTTTCCAACGAAATCCTCAGGGAGGCCCAAGTATCCGCTTGCAGATCCTACAGATAGTGTGTTTCCAAACTGCTCCATCCAAAGGAATGTTCAGCCCTGTGAGTTAAACTCAGTCGTCACAAAGAGTTTTCTGAGAATGCTGCTGTCTAGTTTTTATATGAAGCTGTTTCCTTTACTACCATAGGCCCCAAAGCAGTCCATATCTCCACTTGCAGATTCTACACAACGAGGGTTTCCAAAGTGCTCTCTGAAAGGGAATGTTCACCTCTGTGACTTGAATGCAATCGTCACAAAGTAGTTTCTGAGAATGCATCTATCTAGTTCTTACGGGAAGATAATTCCTTTTCCACCTCAGGCCTCAAAGCCCTCCAAATATCCACTTGCAGATTCTAGAAAAAGAGTGTTTCAAAGCTTCTCTCTCAAAAGGAAAGTTCAACTCTGTGAGTTGAAAGCAAACATCACAAAGAAGTTTCTGAGAATGCTTCTGTTTAGCTTTTCTGTGAAGATTATCCCGTTTCCAACGAAATCTTCAAAGAGGCCCAAACATCCACTTGCAGATGCCACAGAAAGAGTGTTTGGAAACTGCTGTTTGAAAAGGAACCTTCAACTCTGTGAGTTGAATGCAGTCATCACAAACAAGTTTCTGACAATGCTTCTCTCTAGTTTTTACGTGACGATAATTCGTTTTCCACCACAGGCCTGAAATCTCTCCGAATGTCCACTTGCAGACCCTACGAAAAGCATGTTTCTCATCTGCTCTATGAAAAGCAACGTGAAACTCTGTGAGTTGAACACAAACATCACAGAGAAGTTTCTGAGAATGCTTCTGTTTAGTTTTAATGTGAAGATATTCCCGTTTCCAAAGACATCTTCAAAGAGGACCACATATCCACTTGCAGATTCCACAAAAAGAGAGATTCAAAACTGCTCTATCCATAGGAGGGTTCAACGCTTTGCGTTGAATGCAATCGTCACAGAGAAGTTTCTGAGAAGGCTTCTGTCTAGATTTTATTTGAAGATGTACCCGTTTCGAACGAAGGCCAAAGAGTGGTCCAAATATCCACCTGCAGAACCTACAAAAAGAGTGTTTCAAAGCTGAACTATCAAAGGAAGGTTCAACTCTGGGATTTGAATGCAAACATCACAAAGAATTTTGTGAGAATGCTTCCGTTTAGTTAGGTGCAGTTATCCCGTTTCCAACGAAATCCTCAGAGAGGTCCAAATATCCACTCGCAGATTCTACAGAAAGTGTGTTTCAAACCTTCTCCATCCAAAGGAATGTTCAGCTCTGTGTGTTAAACTCAATCATCACAAAGTATTTTCTGAGAATGCTTCTGTCTAGATTTTATGTGAAGCTCTTCCCTTTACTACCATAGGCCTCAAAGCGCTCCAACTCTCCACTAGCCGATTCTACAAGAAGAGTGTTTCCAAACTGCTCTGTCAATAGGAATGCTCCACTCCGTGAGGTGAATGCAGTCATCACAAAGTAGTTTCTGAGAAGGCTTCTATCTAGTATTTATGTGGAGATATTTCCTTTTCCACCACAAACCTCACAGCCCTCCCAATGTCCACTTGCAGATTCTAGAAAAAGAGTGTTTCATAGCTGCTCTTTCCGAAGGAAAGTTCAACTCTGGAAGTTGAATACAAACATCACCAAGGAGTTCCTGAGGAGGCTTCCGTGTAATTTTTATGTGAAGATGATTCCGTTTCCAACGAAACCTTCAAAGAGGTCTGCATGTCCCCTTGCAGATTCCAGAGAAAGAGAGTTTCAAAACTGCGCTCTCAAAAGGAGTGTTCAACTCTGTGAGTTGAATGCAGTCATCACAGAAAAGTTTCTGAGAATGCTTCTGTCTAGATGTTATGTGAAGATATACCCGTTTCGAACGAAGTCCACAGAGTGGTCCGAATATCCACTTGTAGATCCTGCAAAAAGAGTGTTTCCAACCTGAACTTTCAAAGGAAGGTTCCATTCTGGGATTTGAATGCAAACATCACAAGAAGATTCTGAGACTGCTTCTGTTTACTTAGCTGAAATTATCCCGTTTGCAACGAATTCCTCAGACAGGTCCAAATATCCACTTGCAGATTCTACAGAAAGTGTGTTTCGAAACTACTCCATCCCAAGGAAAGTACTGCTCTGTGAGTTCAACTCAATCATCCCAGAGAATTTTCTGAGAAAGCTTCTGTCTTGTTTTTATAGGAAGTTATTTCCTTTACTACGATAGGCCTCAAAGAAGTGCAGTTATCCACTTGCAGTTTCTACAAAAAGAGTGTTTCAAACCTGAACTATCAAAGAAAGGTTCAACACTGTGGGTTGAATGCAAACGTCACGAAGAAGTTCTGAGAATGCTTCTGTTTAGTTCTGTGCGGTTTATCCCGTTTCCAACGAAATCCTCAGGGAGGCCCAAGTATCCGCTTGCAGATCCTACAGATAGTGTGTTTCCAAACTGCTCCATCCAAAGGAATGTTCAGCCCTGTGAGTTAAACTCAGTCGTCACAAAGAGTTTTCTGAGAATGCTGCTGTCTAGTTTTTATATGAAGCTGTTTCCTTTACTACCATAGGCCTCAAAGCGGTCCATATCTCCACTTGCAGATTCTACACAACGAGAGTTTCCAAAGTGCTCTGTGAAAGGGAATGTTCACCTCTGTGACTTGAATGCAATCGTCACAAAGTAGTTTCTGAGAATGCATCTATCTAGTTCTTACGGGAAGATAATTCCTTTTCCACCACAGGCCTCAAAGCCCTCCAAATATCCACTTGCAGATTCTAGAAAAAGAGTGTTTCAAAGCTTCTCTCTCAAAAGGAAAGTTCAACTCTGTGAGTTGAAAGCAAACATCACAAAGAAGTTTCTGAGAATGCTTCTGTTTAGCTTTTCTGTGAAGATTATCCCGTTTCCAACGAAATCTTCAAAGAGGCCCAAACATCCACTTGCAGATGCCACAGAAAGAGTGTTTGGAAACTTCTGTTTGAAAAGGAACCTTCAACTCTGTGAGTTGAAAGCAGTCATCACAAACAAGTTTCTGACAATGCTTCTCGCTAGTTTTTACGTGACGATAATTCGTTTTCCACCACAGGCCTGAAATCTCTCCAAATGTCCACTTGCAGACCCTACGAAAAGCATGTTTCTCATCTGCTCTATGAAAAGCAACGTGAAACTCTGTGAGGTGAACACAAACATCACAGAGAAGTTTCTGAGAATGCTTCTGTTTAGTTTTTATGTGAAGATATTCCCGTTTCCAAAGACATCTTCAAAGAGGACCACATATCCACTTGCAGATTCCACAAAAAGAGAGATTCAAAACTGCTCTATCCATAGGAGGGTTCAACTCTTTGAGTTGAATGCAATCGTCACAGAGAAGTTTCTGAGAAGGCTTCTGTCTAGATTTTATTTGAAGATGTACCCGTTTCGAACGAAGGCCAAAGAGTGGTCCAAATATCCACCTGCAGATCCTACAAAAAGACTGTTTCAAAGCTGAACTATCAAAGGAAGGTTCAACTCTGGGATTTGAATGCAAACATCACAAAGAATTTTGTGAGAATGCTTCCGTTTAGTTAGGTGCAGTTATCCCGTTTCCAACGAAATCCTCAGAGAGGTCCAAATATCCACTCGCAGATTCTACAGAAAGTGTGTTTCAAACCTTCTCCATCCAAAGGAATGTTCAGCTCTGTGTGTTAAACTCAATCATCACAAAGTATTTTCTGAGAATGCTTCTGTCTAGATTTCATGTGAAGCTCTTCCCTTTACTGCCATAGGCCTCAAAGCGCTCCAAACCTCCACTAGCCGATTCTACAAGAAGAGTGTTTCCAAACTGCTCTGTCAATAGGAATGCTCCACTCCGTGAGGTGAATGCAATCATCACAAAGTAGTTTCTGAGAAGGCTTCTATCTAGTATTTATGTGGAGATATTTCCTTTTCCACCACAAACCTCACAGCCCTCCCAATGTCCACTTGCAGATTCTAGAAAAAGAGTGTTTCATAGCTGCTCTTTCCGAAGGAAAGTTCAACTCTGGAAGTTGAATACAAACATCCCCAAGGAGTTCCTGAGAATGCTTCTGTGTAATTTTTATGTGAAGATGATTCCGTTTCCAACGAAACCTTCAAAGAGGTCTGCATGTCCCCTTGCAGATTCCAGAGAAAGAGAGTTTCAAAACTGCGCTCTCAAAAGGAGTGTTCAACTCTGTGAGTTGAATGCAGTCATCACAGAAAAGTTTCTGAGAATGCTTCTGTCTAGATGTTATGTGAAGATATACCCGTTTTGAACGAAGTCCACAGAGTGGTCCGAATATCCACTTGTAGATCCTGCAAAAAGAGTGTTTCCAACCTGAACTTTCAAAGGAAGGTTCAATTCTGGGATTTGAATGCAAACATCACAAGAAGATTCTGAGACTGCTTCTGTTTACTTAGCTGAAATTATCCCGTTTGCAACGAATTCCTCAGACAGGTCCAAATATCCACTTGCAGATTCTACAGAAAGTGTGTTTCGAAACTACTCCATCCCAAGGAAAAGTACTGCTCTGTGAGTTCAACTCAATCATCCCAGAGAATTTTCTGAGAAAGCTTCTGTCTTGTTTTTATAGGAAGTTATTTCCTTTACTACGATAGGCCTCAAAGAAGTGCAGTTATCCACTTGCAGTTTCTACAAAAAGAGTGTTTCAAACCTGAACTATCAAAGAAAGGTTCAACACTGTGGGTTGAATGCAAACATCACGAAGAAGGTTCTGAGAATGCTTCTGTTTAGTTCTGTGCGGTTTATCCCGTTTCCAACGAAATCCTCAGAGAGGCCCAAGTATCTGCTTGCAGATCCTACAGATAGTGTGTTTCCAAACTGCTCCATCCAAAGGAATGTTCAGCCCTGTGAGTTAAACTCAGTCGTCACAAAGAGTTTTCTGAGAATGCTGCTGTCTAGTTTTTATATGAAGCCGTTTCCTTTACTACCATAGGCCTCAAAGAGGTCCATATCTCCACTTGCAGATTCTACACAACTAGAGTTTCCAAAGTGCTCTCTGAAAGGGAATGTTCACCTCTGTGACTTGAATGCAATCGTCACAAAGTAGTTTGTGAGAATGCATCTATCTAGTTCTTACGGGAAGATAATTCCTTTTCCACCACAGGCCTCAAAGCCCTCCAAATATCCACTTGCAGATTCTAGAAAAAGAGTGTTTCAAAGCTTCTCTCTCAAAAGGAAAGTTCAACTCTGTGAGTTGAAAGCAAACATCACAAAGAAGTTTCTGAGAATGCTTCTGTTTAGCTTTTCTGTGAAGAGTATCCCGTTTCCAACGAAATCTTCAAAGAGGCCCAAACATCCACTTGCAGATGCCACAGAAAGAGTGTTTGGAAACTGCTGTTTGAAAAGGAACCTTCAACTCTGTGAGTTGAATGCAGTCATCACAAACAAGTTTCTGACAATGCTTCTCTCTAGTTTTTACGTGACGATAATTCGTTTTCCACCACAGGCCTGAAATCTCTCCAAATGTCCACTTGCAGACCCTACGAAAACCATGTTTCTCATCTGCTGTATGAAAAGCAACGTGAAACTCTGTGAGTTGAACATAAACATCACAGAGAAGTTTCTGAGAATGCTTCTGTTTAGTTTTTATTTGAAGATATTCCCGTTTCCAAAGACATCTTCAAAGAGGACCACATATCCACTTGCAGATTCCACAAAAAGAGAGATTCAAAACTGCTCTATCCATAGGAGGGTTCAACGCTGTGAGTTGAATGCAATCGTCACAGAGAAGTTTCTGAGAAGGCTTCTGTCTAGATTTTATTTGAAGATGTACCCGTTTCGAACGAAGGCCAAAGAGTGGTCCAAATATCCACTTGCAGATCCTACAAAAAGAGTGTTTCAAAGCTGAACTATCAAAGGAAGGGTCAACTCTGGGATTTGAATGCAAACATCACAAAGAATTTTGTGAGAATGCTTCCGTTTAGTTAGGTGCAGTTATCCCGTTTCCAACGAAATCCTCAGAGAGGTCCAAATATCCACTCGCAGATTCTACAGAAAGTGTGTTTCAAACCTTCTCCATCCAAAGGAATGTGCAGCTCTGTGTGTTAAACTCAATCATCACAAAGTATTTTCTGAGAATGCTTGTGTCTAGATTTTATGTGAAGCTCTTCCCTTTACTACCATAGGCCTCAAAGCGCTCCAAATCTCCACTAGCAGATTCTACAACAAGAGTGTTTCCAAACTGCTCTGTCAATAGGAATGCTCCACTCCGTGAGGTGAATGCAATCATCACAAAGTAGTTTCTGAGAAGGCTTCTATCTAGTATTTATGTGGAGATATTTCCTTTTACACCACAAACCTCACAGCTCTCCCAATGTCCACTTGCAGATTCTAGAAAAAGAGTGTTTCATAGCTGCTCTTTCCGAAGGAAAGTTCAACTCTGGAAGTTGAATACAAACATCACCAAGGAGTTCCTGAGAATGCTTCTGTGTAATTTTTATGTGAAGATGATTCCGTTTCCAACGAAACCTTCAAAGAGGTCTGCATGTCCCCTTGCAGATTCCAGAGAAAGAGAGTTTCAAAACTGCGCTCTCAAAAGGAGTGTTCAACTCTGTGAGTTGAATGCAGTCATCACAGAAAAGTTTCTGAGAATGCTTCTGTCTAGATGTTATGTGAAGATATACCCGTTTCGAATGAAGTCCACAGAGTGGTCCGAATATCCACTTGTAGATCCTGCAAAAAGAGTGTTTCCAACCTGAACTTTCAAAGGAAGGTTCAATTCTGGGATTTGAATGCAAACATCACAAGAAGATTCTGAGACTGCTTCTGTTTACTTAGCTGAAATTATCCCGTTTGCAACGAATTCCTCAGACAGGTCCAAATATCCACTTGCAGATTCTACAGAAACTGTGTTTCGAAACTACTCCATCCCAAGGAAAGTACTGCTCTGTGAGTTCAACTCAATCATCCCAGAGAATTTTCTGAGAAAGCTTCTGTCTTGTTTTTATAGGAAGTTATTTCCTTTACTACGATAGGCCTCAAAGAAGTGCAGTTATCCACTTGCAGTTTCTACAAAAAGAGTGTTTCAAACCTGAACTATCAAAGAAAGGTTCAACACTGTGGGTTGAATGCAAACATCACGAAGAAAGTTCTGAGAATGCTTCTGTTTAGTTCTGTGCGGTTTATCCCGTTTCCAACGAAATCCTCAGGGAGGCCCAAGTATCCGCTTGCAGATCCTACAGATAGTGTGTTTCCAAACTGCTCCATCCAAAGGAATGTTCAGCCCTGTGAGTTAAACTCAGTCGTCACAAAGAGTTTTCTGAGAATGCTGCTGTCTAGTTTTTATATGAAGCTGTTTCCTTTACTACCATAGGCCTCAAAGCGGTCCATATCTCCACTTGCAGATTCTACACAACGAGAGTTTCCAAAGTGCTCTGTGAAAGGGAATGTTCACCTCTGTGACTTGAATGCAATCGTCACAAAGTAGTTTCTCAGAATGCATCTATCTGGTTCTTACGGGAAGATAATTCCTTTTCCACCTCAGGCCTCAAAGCCCTCCAAATATCCACTTGCAGATTCTAGAAAAAGAGTGTTTCAAAGCTTCTCTCTCAAAAGGAAAGTTCAACTCTGTGAGTTGAAAGCAAACATCACAAAGAAGTTTCTGAGAATGCTTCTGTTTAGCTTTTCTGTGAAGATTATCCCGTTTCCAACGAAATCTTCAAAGAGGCCCAAACATCCACTTGCAGATGCCACAGAAAGAGTGTTTGGAAACTGCTGTTTGAAAAGGAACCTTCAACTCTGTGGGTTGAATGCAGTCATCACAAACAAGTTTCTGACAATGCTTCCCTCTAGTTTTTACGTGACGATAATTCGTTTTCCACCACAGGCCTGAAATCTCTCCAAATGTCCACTTGCAGACCCTACGAAAAGCATGTTTCTCATCTGCTCTATGAAAAGCAACGTGAAACTCTGTGAGTTGAACACAAACATCACAGAGAAGTTTCTGAGAATGCTTCTGTTTAGTTTTTATGTGAAGATATTCCCGTTTCCAAAGACATCTTCAAAGAGGACCACATATCCACTTGCAGATTCCACAAAAAGAGAGATTCAAAACTGCTCTATCCATAGGAGGGTTCAACGCTTTGAGTTGAATGCAATCGTCACAGAGAAGTTTCTGAGAAGGCTTCTGTCTAGATTTTATTTGAAGATGTACCCATTTCGAACGAAGGCCAAAGAGTGGTCCAAATATCCACCTGCAGATCCTACAAAAAGAGTGTTTCAAAGCTGAACTATCAAAGGAAGGTTCAACTCTGGGATTTGAATGCAAACATCACAAAGAATTTTGTGAGAATGCTTCCGTTTAGTTAGGTGCAGTTATCCCGTTTCCAACGAAATCCTCAGAGAGGTCCAAATATCCACTCGCAGATTCTACAGAAAGTGTGTTTCAAACCTTCTCCATCCAAAGGAATGTTCAGCTCTGTGTGTTAAACTCAATCATCACAAAGTATTTTCTGAGAATGCTTCTGTCTAGATTTTATGTGAAGCTCTTCCCTTTACTACCATAGGCCTCAAAGCGCTCCAAATCTCCACTAGCCGATTCTACAAGAAGAGTGTTTCCAAACTGCTCTGTCAATAGGAATGCTCCACTCCGTGAGGTGAATGCGATCATCACAAAGTAGTTTCTGAGAAGGCTTCTAACTAGTATTTATGTGGAGATATTTCCTTTTCCACCACAAACCTCACAGCCCTCCCAATGTCCACTTGCAGATTCTAGAAAAAGAGTGTTTCATAGCTGCTCTTTCCGAAGGAAAGTTCAACTCTGGAAGTTGAATACAAACATCACCAAGGAGTTCCTGAGGATGCTTCTGTGTAATTTTTATGTGAAGATGATTCCGTTTCCAACGAAACCTTCAAAGAGGTCTGCATGTCCCCTTGCAGATTCCAGAGAAAGAGAGTTTCAAAACTGCGCTCTCAAAAGGAGTGTTCAACTCTGTGAGTTGAATGCAGTCATCACAGAAAAGTTTCTGAGAATGCTTCTGTCTAGATGTTATGTGAAGATATACCCGTTTCGAACGAAGTCCACAGAGTGGTCCGAATATCCACTTGTAGATCCTGCAAAAAGAGTGTTTCCAACCTGAACTTTCAAAGGAAGGTTCAATTCTGGGATTTCAATGCAAACATCACAAGAAGATTCTGAGACTGCTTCTGTTTACTTAGCTGAAATTATCCCGTTTGCAACGAATTCCTCAGACAGGTCCAAATATCCACTTGCAGATTCTACAGAAAGTGTGTTTCGAAACTACTCCATCCCAAGGAAAGTACTGCTCTGTGAGTTCAAGTCAATCATCCCAGAGAATTTTCTGAGAAAGCTTCTGTCTTGTTTTTACAGGAAGTTATTTCCTTTACTATGATAGGCCTCAAAGAAGTGCAGTTATCCACTTGCAGTTTCTACAAAAAGAGTGTTTCAAACCCGAACTATCAAAGAAAGGTTCAACACTGTGGGTTGAATGCAAACATCACGAAGAAGGTTCTGAGAATGCTTCTGTTTAGTTCTGTGCGGTTTATCCCGTTTCCAACGCAATCCTCAGAGAGGCCCAAGTATCCGCTTGCAGATCCTACATATAGTGTGTTTCCAAACTGCTCCATCCAAAGGAATGTTCAGCCCTGTGAGTTAAACTCAGTCGTCACAAAGAGTTTTCTGAGAATGCTGCTGTCTAGTTTTTATATGAAGCTGTTTCCTTTACTACCATAGGCCTCAAAGCGGTCCATATCTCCACTTGCAGATTCTACACAACGAGAGTTTCCAAAGTGCTCTCTGAAAGGGAATGTTCACCTCTGTGACTTGAATGCAATCCTCACAAAGTAGTTTCTGAGAATGCATCTATCTAGTCCTTACGGGAAGATAATTCCTTTTCCACCTAAGGCCTCAAAGCCCTCCAAATATCCACTTGCAGATTCTAGAAAAAGAGTGTTTCAAAGCTTCTCTCTCAAAAGGAAAGTTCAACTCTGTGAGTTGAAAGCATACATCACAAAGAAGTTTCTTAGAATGCTTCTGTTTAGCTTTTCTGTGAAGATTATCCCGTTTCCAACGAAATCTTCAAAGAGGCCCAAACATCCACTTGCAGATGCCACAGAAAGAGTGTTTGGAAACTGCTGTTTGAAAAGGAACCTTCAACTCTGTGAGTTGAATGCAGTCATCACAAACAAGTTTCTGACAATGCTTCTCTCTAGTTTTTACGTGACGATAATTCGTTTTCCACCACAGGCCTGAAAGCTCTCCAAATGTCCACTTGCAGACCCTACGAAAAGCATGTTTCTCATCTGCTCTATGAAAAGCAACGTGAAACTCTGTGAGTTGAACACAAACATCACAGAGAAGTTTCTGAGAATGCTTCTGTTTAGTTTTTATGTGAAGATATTCCCGTTTCCAAAGACATCTTCAAAGAGGACCACATATCCACTTGCAGATTCCACAAAAAAAGAGATTCAAAACTGCTCTATCCATAGGAGGTTTCAACGCTTTGAGTTGAATGCAATCATCAAAGAGAAGTTTCTGAGAAGGCTTCTGTCTAGATTTTATTTGAAGATGTACCCGTTTCGAAGGAAGGCCAAAGTGTGGTCCAAATATCCACTTGCAGATCCTACAAAAAGAGTGTTTCAAAGCTGAACTATCAAAGGAAGGTTCAACTCTGGGATTTGAATGCAAACATCACAAAGAATTTTGTGAGAATGCTTCCGTTTAGTTAGGTGCAGTTATCCCGTTTCCAACGAAATCCTCAGAGAGGTCCAAATATCCACTCGCAGATTCTACAGAAAGTGTGTTTCAAACCTTCTCCATCCAAAGGAATGTTCAGCTCTGTGTGTTAAACTCAATCATCACAAAGTATTTTCTGAGAATGCTTCTGTCTAGATTTTATGTGAAGCTCTTCCCTTTACTACCATAGGCCTCAAAGCGCTCCAAATCTCCACTAGCCGATTCTAAAAGAAGAGTGTTTCCAAACTGCTCTGTCAATAGGAATGCTCCACTCCGTGAGGTGAATGCAATCATCACAAAGTAGTTTCTGAGAAGGCTTCTATCTAGTATTTATGTGGAGATATTTCCTTTTCCACCACAAACCTCACAGCCCTCCCAATGTCCACTTGCAGATTCTAGAAAAAGAGTGTTTCATAGCTGCTCTTTCCGAAGGAAAGTTCAACTCTGGAAGTTGAATACAAACATCACCAAGGAGTTCCTGAGGATGCTTCTGTGTAATTTTTATGTGAAGATGATTCCGTTTCCAACGAAACCTTCAAAGAGGTCTGCATGTCCCCTTGCAGGTTCCAGAGAAAGAGAGTTTCAAAACTGCGCTCTCAAAAGGAGTGTTCAACTCTGTGAGTTGAATGCAGTCATCACAGAAAAGTTTCTGAGAATGCTTCTGTCTAGATGTTATGTGAAGATATACCCGTTTCGAACGAAGTCCACAGAGTGGTCCGAATATCCACTTGTAGACCCTGCAAAAAGAGTGTTTCCAACCTGAACGTTCAAAGGAAGGTTCAATTCTGGGATTTGAATGCAAACATCACAAGAAGATTCTGAGACTGCTTCTGTTTACTTAGCTGAAATTATCCCGTTTGCAACGAATTCCTCAGACAGGTCCAAATATCCACTTGCAGATTCTACAGAAAGTGTGTTTCGAAACTACTCCATCCCAAGGAAAGTACTGCTCTGTGAGTTCAACTCAATCATCCCAGAGAATTTTCTGAGAAAGCTTCTGTCTTGTTTTTATAGGAAGTTATTTCCTTTACTACGATAGGCCTCAAAGAAGTGCAGTTATCCACTTGCAGTTTCTACAAAAAGAGTGTTTCAAACCTGAACTATCAAAGAAAGGTTCAACACTGTGGGTTGAATGCAAACATCACGAAGAAGGTTCTGAGAATGCTTCTGTTTAGTTCTGTGCGGTTTATCCCGTTTCCCACGAAATCCTCAGGGAGGCCCAAGTATCCGCTTGCAGATCCTACAGATAGTGTGTTTCCAAACTGCTCCATCCAAAGGAATGTTCAGCCCTGTGAGTTTAACTCAGTCGTCACAAAGAGTTTTCTGAGAATGCTGCTGTCTAGTTTTTATATGAAGCTGTTTCCTTTACTACCATAGGCCTCAAAGCGGTCCATATCTCCACTTGCAGATTCTACACAACGAGAGTTTCCAAAGTGCTCTCTGAAAGGGAATGTTCACCTCTGTGACTTGAATGCAATCGTCACAAAGTAGTTTCTGAAAATGCATCTATCTAGTTCTTACGGGAAGATAATTCCTGTTCCACCTCAGGCCTCAAAGCCCTCCAAATATCCACTTGCAGATTCTAGAAAAAGAGTGTTTCAAAGCTTCTCTCTCAAAAGGAAAGTTCAACTCTGTGAGTTGAAAGCAAACATCACAAAGAAGTTTCTGAGCATGCTTCTGTTTAGCTTTTCTGTGAAGATTATCCCGTTTCCAACGAAATCTTCAAAGAGGCCCAAACATCCACTTGCAGATGCCACAGAAAGAGTGTTTGGAAACTGCTGTTTGAAAAGGAACCTTCAACTCTGTGAGTTGAATGCAGTCATCACAAACAAGTTTCTGACAATGCTTCCCTCTAGTTTTTACGTGACGATAATTCGTTTTCCACCACAGGCCTGAAATCTCTCCAAATGTCCACTTGCAGACCCTACGAAAAGCATGTTTCTCATCTGCTCTATGAAAAGCAACGTGAAACTCTGTGATTTGGACACAAACATCACAGAGAAGTTTCTGAGAATGCTTCTGTTTAGTTTTTATGTGAAGATATTCCCGTTTCCAAAGACATCTTCAAAGAGGACCACATATCCACTTGCAGATTCCACAAAAAGAGAGATTCGAAACTGCTCTATCCATAGGAGGGTTCAACGCTTTGAGTTGAATGCAATCATCACAGAGAAGTTTCTGAGAAGGCTTCTGTCTAGATTTTATTTGAAGATGTACCCGTTTCGCACGAAGGCCAAAGTGTGGTCCAAATATCCACTTGCAGATCCTACAAAAAGAGTGTTTCAAACCTGAACTATCAAAGGAAGGTTCAACTCTGGGATTTGAATGCAAACCTCACGAAGAATTTTGTGAGAATGCTTCCGTTTAGTTAGGTGCAGTTATCCCGTTTCCAACGAAATCCTCAGAGAGGTCCAAATATCCACTCGCAGATTCTACAGAAAGTGTGTTTCAAACCTGCTCCATCCAAAGGAATGTTCAGCTCTGTGTGTTAAACTCAATCATCACAAAGTATTTTCTGAGAATGCTTCTGTCTAGATTTTATGTGAAGCTCTTCCCTTTACTACCATAGGCCTCAAAGCGCTCCAAATCTCCACTAGCAGATTCTACAACAAGAGTGTTTCCAAACTGCTCTGTCAATAGGAATGCTCCACTCCGTGAGGTGAATGCAATCATCTGAAAGTAGTTTCTGAGAAGGCTTCTATCTAGTATTTATGTGGAGATATTTCCTTTTCCACCACAAACCTCACAGCCCTCCCAATGTCCACTTGCAGATTCTAGAAAAAGAGTGTTTCATAGCTGCTCTTTCCGAAGGAAAGTTCAACTCTGGAAGTTGAATACAAACATCACCAAGGAGTTCCTGAAGATGCTTCTGTGTAATTTTTATGTGAAGATGATTCCGTTTCCAACGAAACCTTCAAAGAGGTCTGCATGTCCCCTTGCAGATTCCAGAGAAAGAGAGTTTCAAAACTGCACTCTCAAAAGGAGTGTTCAACTCTGTGAGTTGAATGCAGTCATCACAGAAAAGTTTCTGAGAATGCTTCTGTCTAGATGTTATGTGAAGATATACCCGTTTCGAACGAAGTCCACAGAGTGGTCCGAATATCCACTTGTAGATCCTGCAAAAAGAGTGTTTCCAACCTGAACTTTCAAAGGAAGGTTCAATTCTGGGATTTGAATGCAAACATCACAAGAAGATTCTGAGACTGCTTCTGTTTACTTAGCTGAAATTATCCCGTTTGCAACGAATTCCTCAGACAGGTCCAAATATCCACTTGCAGATTCTACAGAAAGTGTGTTTCGAAACTACTCCATCCCAAGGAAAGTACTTCTCTGTGAGTTCAACTCAATCATCTCAGAGAATTTTCTGAGAAAGCTTCTGTCTTGTTTTTATAGGAAGTTATTTCCTTTACTACGATAGGCCTCAAAGAAGTGCAGTTATCCACTTGCAGTTTCTACAAAAAGAGTGTTTCAAACCTGAACTATCAAAGAAAGGTTCAACACTGTGGGTTGAATGCAAACATCAGGAAGAAGGTTCTGAGAATGCTTCTGTTTAGTTCTGTGCGGTTTATCCCGTTTCCAACGAAATCCTCAGGGAGGCCCAAGTATCCGCTTGCAGATCCTACAGATAGTGTGTTTCCAAACTGCTCCATCCAAAGGAATGTTCAGCCCTGTGAGTTAAACTCAGTCGTCACAAAGAGTTTTCTGAGAATGCTGCTGTCTAGTTTTTATATGAAGCTGTTTCCTTTACTACCATAGGCCTCAAAGCAGTCCATATCTCCACTTGCAGATTCTACACAACGAGAGTTTCCAAAGTGCTCTGTGAAAGGGAATGTTCACCTCTGTGACTTGAATGCAATCGTCACAAAGTACTTTCTGAGAATGCATTCTATCTAGTTCTTACGGGAAGATAATTCCTTTTCCACCTCAGGCCTCAAAGCCCTCCAAATATCCACTTGCAGATTCTAGAAAAAGAGTGTTTCAAAGCTTCTCTCTCAAAAGGAAAGTTCAACTCTGTGAGTTGAAAGCAAACATCACAAAGAAGTTTCTGAGAATGCTTCTGTTTAGCTTTTCTGTGAAGATTATCCCGTTTCCAACGAAATCTTCAAAGAGGCCCAAACATCCACTTGCAGATGCCACAGAAAGAGTGTTTGGAAACTGCTGTTTGAAAAGGAACCTTCAACTCTGTGAGTTGAATGCAGTCATCACAAACAAGTTTCTGACAATGCTTCTCTCTAGTTTTTACGTGACGATATTTCGTTTTCCACCACAGGCCGGATATCTCTCCAAATGTCCACTTGCAGACCCTACGAAAAGCATGTTTCTCATCTGCTCTATGAAAAGCAACGTGAAACTCTGTGAGTTGAACACAAACATCACAGAGAAGTTTCTGAGAATGCTTCTGTTTAGTTTTTATGTGAAGATATTCCCGTTTCCAAAGACATCTTCAAAGAGGACCACACAACCACTTGCAGATTCCACAAAAAGAGAGATTCAAAACTGCTCTATCCATAGGAGGGTTCAACGCTTTGATTTGAATGCAATCATCACAGAGAAGTTTCTGAGAAGGCTTCTGTCTAGATTTTATTTGAAGATGTACCCGTTTTGAACGAAGGCCAAAGAGTGGTCCAAATATCCACCTGCAGATCCTACAAAAAGAGTGTTCCAAAGCTGAACTATCAAAGGAAGGTTCAACTCTGGGATTTGAATGCAAACATCACAAAGAATTTTGTGAGAATGCTTCCGTTTAGTTAGGTGCAGTTATCCGGTTTCCAAAGAAATCCTCAGAGAGGTCCCAATATCCACTCGCAGATTCTACAGAAAGTGTGTTTCAAACCTTCTCCATCCAAAGGAATGTTCAGCTCTGTGTGTTAAACTCAATCATCACAAAGTATTTTCTGAGAATGCTTCTGTCTAGATTTTATGTGAAGCTCTTCCCTTTACTACCATAGGCCTCAAAGCGCTCCAAATCTCCACTAGCCGATTCTACAAGAAGAGTGTTTCCAAACTGCTCTGTCAATAGGAATGCTCCACTCCGTGAGGTGAATGCAATCATCACAAAGTAGTTTCTGAGAAGGCTTCTATCTAGTATTTATGTGGAGATATTTCCTTTTCCACCACAAACCTCACAGCCCTCCCAATGTCCACTTGCAGATTCTAGAAAAAGAGTGTTTCATAGCTGCTCTTTCCGAAGGAAAGTTCAACTCTGGAAGTTGAATACAAACATCACCAAGGAGTTCCTGAGGATGCTTCTGTGTAATTTTTATGTGAAGATGATTCCGTTTCCAACGAAACCTTCAAAGAGGTCTGGATGTCCCCTTGCAGATTCCAGAGAAAGAGAGTTTCAAAACTGCGCTCTCAAAAGTAGTGTTCAACTCTGTGAGTTGAATGCAGTCATCACAGAAAAGTTTCTGAGAATGCTTCTGTCTAGATGTTATGTGAAGATATACCCGTTTCGAACGAAGTCCACAGAGTGGTCCGAATATCCACTTGTAGATCCTGCAAAAAGAGTGTTTCCAACCTGAACTTTCAAAGGAAGGTTCAATTCTGGGATTTGAATGCAAACATCACAAGAAGATTCTGAGACTGCTTCTGTTTACTTAGCTGAAATTATCCCGTTTGCAACGAATTCCTCAGACAGGTCCAAATATCCACTTGCAGATTCTACAGAAAGTGTGTTTCGAAACTACTCCATCCCAAGGAAAGTACTGCTCTGTGAGTTCAACTCAATCATCCCAGAGAATTTTCTGAGAAAGCTTCTGTCTTGTTTTTATAGGAAGTTATTTCCTTTACTACGATAGGCCTCAAAGAAGTGCAGTTATCCACTTGCATTTTCTACGAAAAGAGTGTTTCAAACCTGAACTATCAAAGAAAGTTTCAACACTGTGGGTTGAATGCAAACGTCACGAAGAAGGTTCTGAGAATGCTTCTGTTTAGTTCTGTGCGGTTTATTCCGTTTCCAACGACATCCTCAGAGAGGCCCAAGTATCCGCTTGCAGATCCTACAGATAGTGTGTTTCCAAACTGCTCCATCCAAAGGAATGTTCAGCCCTGTGAGTTAAACTCAGTCGTCACAAAGAGTTTTCTGAGAATGCTGCTGTCTAGTTTTTATATGAAGCTGTTTCCTTTACTACCATAGGCCAAAAGCGGTCCATATCTCCACTTGCAGATTCTACACAACGAGAGTTTCCAAAGTGCTCTCTGAAAGGGAATGTTCACCTCTGTGACTTGAATGCAATCGTCACAAAGTAGTTTCTGAGAATGCATCTATCTAGTTCTTACGGGAAGATAATTCCTTTTCCACCTCAGGCCTCAAAGCCCTCCAAATATCCACTTGCAGATTCTAGAAAAAGAGTGTTTCAAAGCTTCTCTCTCAAAAGGAAAGTTCAACTCTGTGAGTTGAAAGCAAACATCACAAAGAAGTTTCTGAGAATGCTTCTGTTTAGCTTTTCTGTGAAGATTATCCCGTTTCCAACGAAATCTTCAAAGAGGCCCAAACATCCACTTGCAGATGCCACAGAAAGAGTGTTTGGAAACTGCTGTTTGAAAAGGAACCTTCAACTCTGTGAGTTGAATGCAGTCATCACAAACAAGTTTCTGACAATGCTTCCCTCTAGTTTTTACGTGACGATAATTCGTTTTCCACCACAGGCCTGAAATCTCTCCAAACGTCCACTTGCAGACCCTACGAAAAGCATGTTTCTCATCTGCTCTATGAAAAGCAACGTGAAACTCTGTGATTTGGACACAAACATCACAGAGAAGTTTCTGAGAATGCTTCTGTTTAGTTTTTATGTGAAGATATTCCCGTTTCCAAAGACATCTTCAAAGAGTACCACATATCCACTTGCAGATTCCACAAAAAGAGAGATTCAAAACTGCTCTATCCATAGGAGGGTTCAACGCTTTGTGTTGAATGCAATCGTCACAGAGAAGTTTCTGAGAAGGCTTCTGTCTAGATTTTATTTGAAGATGTACCCGTTTCGAAGGAAGGCCAAAGTGTGGTCCAAATATCCACTTGCAGATCCTACAAAAAGAGTGTTTCAAAGCTGAACTATCAAAGGAAGGTTCAACTCTGGGGTTTGAATGCAAACCTCACGAAGAATTTTGTGAGAATGCTTCCGTTTAGTTAGGTGCAGTTATCCCGTTTCCAACGAAATCCTCAGAGAGGTCCAAATATCCACTCGCAGATTCTACAGAAAGTGTGTTTCAAACCTGATCCATCCAAAGGAATGTTCAGCTCTGTGTGTTAAACTCAATCATCACAAAGTATTTTCTGAGAATGCTTCTGTCTAGATTTTATGTGAAGCTCTTCCCTTTACTACCATAGGCCTCAAAGTGCTCCAAATCTCCACTAGCAGATTCTACAACAAGAGTGTTTCCAAACTGCTCTGTCAATAGGAATGCTCCACTCCGTGAGGTGAATGCAATCATCACAACGTAGTTTCTGAGAAGGCTTCTATCTAGTATTTATGTGGAGATATTTCCTTTTCCACCACAAACCTCACAGCCCTCCCAATGTCCACTTGCAGATTCTAGAAAAAGAGTGTTTCATAGCTGCTCTTTCCGAAGGAAAGTTCACCTCTGGAAGTTGAATACAAACATCACCAAGGAGTTCCTGAGGATGCTTCTGTGTAATTTTTATGTGAAGATGATTCCGTTTCCAACGAAACCTTCAAAGAGGTCTGCATGTCCCCTTGCAGATTCCAGAGAAAGAGAGTTTCAAAACTGCGCTCTCAAAAGGAGTGTTCAACTCTGTGAGTTGAATGGAGTCATCACAGAAAAGTTTCTGAGAATGCTTCTGTCTAGATGTTATGTGAAGATATACCCGTTTCGATCGAAGTCCACAGAGTGGTCCGAATATCCACTTGTAGATCCTGCAAAAAGAGTGTTTCAAACCTGAACTTTCAAAGGAAGGTTCAATTCTGGGATTTGAATGCAAACATCACAAGAAGATTCTGAGACTGCTTCTGTTTACTTAGCTGAAATTATCCCGTTTGCAACGAATTCCTCAGACAGGTCGAAATATCCACTTGCAGATTCTACAGAAAGTGTGTTTCGAAACTACTCCATCCCAAGGAAAGTACTGCTCTGTGAGTTCAACTCAATCATCCCAGAGAATTTTCTGAGAAAGCTTCTGTCTTGTTTTTATAGGAAGTTATTTCCTTTACTACGATAGGCCTCAAAGAAGTGCAGTTATCCACTTGCAGTTTCTACAAAAAGAGTGTTTCAAACCTGAACTATCAAAGAAAGGTTCAACACTCTGGGTTGAATGCAAACATCACGAAGAAGGTTCTGAGAATGCTTCTGTTTCGTTCTGTGCGGTTTATCCCGTTTCCAACGCAATCCTCAGAGAGGCCCAAGTATCCGCTTGCAGATCCTACAGATAGTGTGTTTCCAAACTGCTCCATCCAAAGGAATGTTCAGCCCTGTGAGTTAAACTCAGTCGTCACAAAGAGTTTTCTGAGAATGCTGCTGTCTAGTTTTTATATGAAGCTGTTTCCTTTACTACCATAGGCCTCAAAGCGGTCCATATCTCCACTTGCAGATTCTACACAACGAGAGTTTCCAAAGTGCTCTCTGAAAGGGAATGTTCACCTCTGTGACTTGAATGCAATCGTCACAAAGTAGTTTCTGAGAATGCATCTATCTAGTTCTTACGGGAAGATAATTCCTTTTCCACCTCAGGCCTCAAAGCCCTCCAAATATCCACTTGCAGATTCTAGAAAAAGAGTGTTTCAAAGCTTCTCTCTCAAAAGGAAATTTCAACTCTGTGAGTTGAAAGCAAACATCACAAAGAAGTTTCTGAGAATGCTTCTGTTTAGCTTTTCTGTGAAGATTATCCCGTTTCCAACGAAATCTTCAAAGAGGCCCAAACATCCACTTGCAGATGCCACAGAAAGAGTGTTTGGAAACTGCTGTTTGAAAAGGAACCTTCAACTCTGTGAGTTGAATGCAGTCATCACAAACAAGTTTCTGACAATGCTTCTCTCTAGTTTTTACGTGACGATAATTCGTTTTCCACCGCAAGCCGGAAATCTCTCGAAATGTCCACTTGCAGACCCTACGAAAAGCATGTTTCTCATCTGCTCTATGAATAGCAACGTGAAACTCTGTGAGTTGAACACAAACATCACAGAGAAGTTTCTGAGAATGCTTCTGTTTAGTTTTTATGTGAAGATATTCCCGTTTCCAAAGACATCTTCAAAGAGGACCACACATCCACTTGCAGATTCCACAAAAACAGAGATTCAAAACTGCTCTATCCATAGGAGGGTCCAACGCTTTGAGTTGAATGCAATCGTCACAGAGAAGTTTCTGAGAAGGCTTCTGTCTAGATTTTATATGAAGATGTACCCGTTTCGAAGGAAGGCCAAAGAGTGGTCCAAATAAACACTTGCAGATCCTACAAAAAGAGTGTTTCAAAGCTGAACTATCAAAGGAAGGTTCAACTCTGGGATTTGAATGCAAACATCACGAAGAATTTTGTGAGAATGCTTCCGTTTATTTAGGTGCAGTTATCCCGTTTCCAACGAAATCCTCAGAGAGGTCCAAATATCCACTCGCAGATTCTACAGAAAGTGTGGTTCCAACCTTCTCCATCCAAAGGAATGTTCAGCTCTGTGTGTTAAACTCAATCATCACAAAGTATTTTCTGAGAATGCTTCTGTCTAGATTTTATGTGAAGCTCTTCCCTTTACTACCATAGGCCTCAAAGCGCTCCAAATCTCCACTAGCCGATTCTACAAGAAGAGTGTTTCCAAACTGCTCTGTCAATAGGAATGCTCCACTCCGTGAGGTGAATGCAATCATCACAAAGTAGTTTCTGAGAAGGCTTCTATCTAGTATTTATGTGGAGATATTTCCTTTTCCACCACAAACCTCACAGCCCTCCCAATGTCCACTTGCAGATTCTAGAAAAAGAGTGTTTCATAGCTGCTCTTTCCGAAGGAAAGTTCAACTCTGGAAGTTGAATACAAACATCACCAAGGAGTTCCTGAGGATGCTTCTGTGTAATTTTTATGTGAAGATGATTCCGTTTCCAACGAAACCTTCAAAGAGTTCTGCATGTCCCCTTGCAGATTCCAGAGAAAGAGAGTTTCAAAACTGCGCTCTCAAAAGGAGTGTTCAACTCTGTGAGTTGAGTGCAGTCATCACAGAAAAGTTTCTGAGAATGCTTCTGTCTAGATGTTATGTGAAGATATACCCGTTTCGAACGAAGTCCACAGAGTGTTCCGAATATCCACTTGTAGATCCTGCAAAAAGAGTGTTTCCAACCTGAACTTTCAAAGGAAGGTTCAATTCTGGGATTTGAATGCAACCATCACAAGAAGATTCTGAGACTGCTTCTGTTTACTTAGCTGAAATTATCCCGTTTGCAACGAATTCCTCAGACAGGTCCAAATATCCACTTGCAGATTCTACAGAAAGTGTGTTTCGAAACTACTCCATCCCAAGGAAAGTACTGCTCTGTGAGTTCAACTCAATCATCCCAGAGAATTTTCTGAGAAAGCTTCTGTCTTGTTTTTATAGGAAGTTATTTCCTTTACTACGATAGGCCTCAAAGAAGTGCAGTTATCCACTTGCAGTTTCTACAAAAAGAGTGTTTCAAACCTGAACTATCAAAGAAAGGTTCAACACTGTGGGTTGAATGCAAACATCATGAAGAAGGTTCTGAGAATGCTTCTGTTTAGTTCTGTGCGGTTTATCCCGTTTCCCACGAAATCCTCAGGGAGGCCCAAGTATCCGCTTGCAGATCCTACAGATAGTGTGTTTCCAAACTGCTCCATCCAAAGGAATGTTCAGCCCTGTGAGTTTAACTCAGTCGTCACAAAGAGTTTTCTGAGAATGCTGCTGTCTAGTTTTTATATGAAGCTGTTTCCTTTACTACCATAGGCCTCAAAGCGGTCCATATCTCCACTTGCAGATTCTACACAACGAGAGTTTCCAAAGTGCTCTCTGAAAGGGAATGTTCACCTCTGTGACTTGAATGCAATCGTCACAAAGTAGTTTCTGAGAATGCATCTATCTAGTTCTTACGGGAAGATAATTCCTGTTCCACCTCAGGCCTCAAAGCCCTCCAAATATCCACTTGCAGATTCTAGAAAAAGAGTGTTTCAAAGCTTCTCTCTCAAAAGGAAAGTTCAACTCTGTGAGTTGAAAGCAAACATCACAAAGAAGTTTCTGAGCATGCTTCTGTTTAGCTTTTCTGTGAAGATTATCCCGTTTCCAACGAAATCTTCAAAGAGGCCCAAACATCCACTTGCAGATGCCACAGAAAGAGTGTTTGGAAACTGCTGTTTGAAAAGGAACCTTCAACTCTGTGAGTTGAATGCAGTCATCACAAACAAGTTTCTGACAATGCTTCTCTCTAGTTTTTACGTGACGATAATTCGTTTTCCACCACAGGCCTGAAAGCTCTCCAAATGTCCACTTGCAGACCCTACGAAAAGCATGTTTCTCATCTGCTCTATGAAAAGCAACGTGAAACTCTGTGAGTTGAACACAAACATCACAGAGAAGTTTCTGAGAATGCTTCTGTTTAGTTTTAATGTGAAGATATTCCCGTTTCCAAAGACATCTTCAAAGAGGACCACATATCCACTTGCAGATTCCACAAAAAGAGAGATTCAAAACTGCTCTATCCATAGGAGGTTTCAACGCTTTGAGTTGAATGCAACCGTCACAGAGAAGTTTCTGAGAAGGCTTCTGTCTAGATTTTATTTGAATATGTACCCGTTTCGAACGAAGGCCAAAGAGTGGTCCAAATATCCACTTGCAGATCCTACAAAAAGAGTGTTTCAAAGCTGAACTATCAAAGGAAGGTTCAACTACTGGGATTTGAATGCAAACATCACAAAGAATTTTGTGAGAATGCTTCCGTTTAGTTAGGTGCAGTTATCCGGTTTCCAACGAAATCCTCAGAGAGGTCCAAATATCCACTCGCAGATTCTACAGAAAGTGTGGTTCAAACCTTCTCCATCCAAAGGAATGTTCAGCTCTGTGTGTTAAACTCAATCATCACAAAGTATTTTCTGAGAATGCTTCTGTCTAGATTTTATGTGAAGCTCTTCCCTTTACTACCATAGGACTCAAAGCGCTCCAAATCTCCACTAGCCGATTCTACAAGAAGAGTGTTTCCAAACTGCTCTGTCAATAGGAATGCTCCACTCCGTGAGGTGAATGCAATCATCACAAAGTAGTTTCTGAGAAGGCTTCTATCTAGTATTTATGTGGAGATATTTCCTTTTCCACCACAAACCTCACAGCCCTCCCAATGTCCACTTGCAGATTCTAGAAAAAGAGTGTTTCATAGCTGCTCTTTCCGAAGGAAAGTTCAACTCTGGAAGTTGAATACAAACATCACCAAGGAGTTCCTGAGGATGCTTCTGTGTAATTTTTATGTGAAGATGATTCCGTTTCCAACGAAACCTTCAAAGAGGTCTGCATGTCCCCTTGCAGATTCCAGAGAAAGAGAGTTTCCAAACTGCGCTCTCAAAAGGAGTGTTCAACTCTGTGAGTTGAATGCAGTCATCACAGAAAAGTTTCTGAGAATGCTTCTGTCTAGATGTTATGTGAAGATATACCCGTTTCGAACGAAGTCCACAGAGTGGTCCGAATATCCACTTGTAGACCCTGCAAAAAGAGTGTTTCAAACCTGAACTTTCAAAGGAAGGTTCAATTCTGGGATTTGAATGCAAACATCACAAGAAGATTCTGAGACTGCTTCTGTTTACTTAGCTGAAATTATCCCGTTTGCAACGAATTCCTCAGACAAGTCCAAATATCCACTTGCAGATTCTACAGAAAGTGTGTTTCGAAACTACTCCATCCCAAGGAAAGTACTGCTCTGTGAGTTCAACTCAATCATCCCAGAGAATTTTCTGAGAAAGCTTCTGTCTTGTTTTTATAGGAAGTTATTTCCTTTACTACGATAGGCCTCAAAGAAGTGCAGTTATCCACTTGCAGTTTCTACAAAAAGAGTGTTTCAAACCTGAACTATCAAAGAATGGTTCAACACTGAGGGTTGAATGCAAACGTCACGAAGAAGGTTCTGAGAATGCTTCTGTTTAGTTCTGTGTGGTTTATCCCGTTTCCAACGAAATCCTCAGGGAGGCCCAAGTATCCACTTGCAGATCTTACAGATAGTATGTTTCCAAACTGCTCCATCCAAAGGAATGTTCAGCCCTGTGAGTTAAACTCAGTCGTCACAAAGAGTTTTCTGAGAATGCTGCTGTCTAGTTTTTATATGAAGCTGTTTCCTTTACTACCATAGGCCTCAAAGCGGTCCATATCT
This sequence comes from Homo sapiens, assembly GCF_000001405.40. Taxonomy (NCBI): domain Eukaryota; kingdom Metazoa; phylum Chordata; class Mammalia; order Primates; family Hominidae; genus Homo; species Homo sapiens. The sequence continues at coordinate 22,823,675 of NC_000017.11, read as the reverse complement.
CCACTTGCAGATTCTACACAACGAGAGTTTCCAAAGTGCTCTCTGAAAGGGAATGTTCACCTCTGTGACTTGAATGCAATCGTCACAAAGTAGTTTCTGAGAATGCATCTATCTAGTTCTTACGGGAAGATAATTCCTTTTCCACCTCAGGCCTCAAAGCCCTCCAAATATCCTCTTGCAGATTCTAGAAAAAGAGTGTTTCAAAGCTTCTCTCTCAAAAGGAAAGTTCAACTCTGTGAGTTGAAAGCAAACATCACAAAGAAGTTTCTGAGAATGCTTCTGTTTAGCTTTTCTGTGAAGATTATCCCGTTTCCAACGAAATCTTCAAAGAGGCCCAAACCTCCACTTGCAGATGCCACAGAAAGAGTGTTTGGAAACTGCTGTTTGAAAAGGAACCTTCAACTCTGTGAGTTGAAGGCAGTCATCACAAACAAGTTTCTGACAATGCTTCTCTCTAGTTTTTACGTGACGATAATTCGTTTTCCACCACAGGCCTGAAAGCTCTCCAAATGTCCACTTGCAGACCCTATGAAAAGCATGTTTCTCATCTGCTCTATGAAAAGCAACGTGAAGCTCTGTGAGTTGAACACAAACATCACAGAGAAGTTTCTGAGAATGCTTCTGTTTAGTTTTTATGTGAAGATATTCCCGTTTCCAAAGACATCTTCAAAGAGGACCACACATCCACTTGCAGATTCCACAAAAAGAGAGATTCAAACCTGCTCTATCCATAGGAGGGTTCAACGCTGTGAGTTGAATGCAATCGTCACAGAGAAGTTTCTGAGAAGGCTTCTGTCTAGATTTTATTTGAAGATGTACCCGTTTCGAACGAAGGCCAAAGAGTGGTCTAAATATGCACTTGCAGATCCTACAAAACGAGTGTTTCAAAGCTGAACTATCAAAGGAAGTTTCAACTCTGGGATTTGAATGCAAACATCACAAAGAATTTTGTGAGAATGCTTCCGTTTAGTTAGGTGCAGTTATCCCGTTTCCAACGAAATCCTCAGAGAGGTCCAAATATCCACTCGCAGATTCTACAGAAAGTGTGTTTCAAACCTCCTCCATCCAAAGGAATGTTCAGCTCTGTGTGTTAAACTCAATCATCACAAAGTATTTTCTGAGAATGCTTCTGTCTAGATTTTATGTGAAGCTCTTCCCTTTACTACCATAGGCCTCAAAGCGCTCCAAATCTCCACTAGCAGATTCTACAACAAGGGTGTTTCCAAACTGCTCTGTCAATAGGAATGCTCCACTCCGTGAGGTGAATGCAATCATCACAACGTAGTTTCTGAGAAGTCTTCTATCTAGTATTTATGTGGAGATATTTCCTTTTCCACCACAAACCTCACAGCCCTCCCAATGTCCACTTGCAGATTCTAGAAAAAGAGTGTTTCATAGCTGCTCTTTCCGAAGGGAAGTTCAACTCTGGAAGTTGAATGCAAACATCACCAAGGAATTCCTGAGAATGCTTCTGTGTAATTTTTATGTGAAGATGATTCCGTTTCCAATGAAACCTTCAAAGAGGTGTGCATGTCCCCTTGCAGATTCCAGAGAAAGAGAGTTTCAAAACTGCGCTCTCGAAAGGAGTGTTCAACTCTGTGAGTTGAATGCAGTCATCACAGAAAAGTTTCTGAGAATGCTTCTGTGTAGATGTTATGTGAAGATATACCCGTTTCGATCGAAGTCCACAGAGTGGTCCAAATATCCACTTGTAGATCCTGCAAAAAGAGTGTTTCAAACCTGAACTTTCAAAGGAAGGTTCAATTCTGGGATTTGAATGCAAACATCACAAGAAGATTCTGAGACTGCTTCTGTTTACTTAGCTGAAATTATCCCGTTTGCAACGAATTCCTCAGACAGGTCCAAATATCCACTTGCAGATTCTACAGAAAGTGTGTTTCGAAACTACTCCATCCCAAGGAAAGTACTGCTCTGTGAGTTCAACTCAATCATCGCAGAGAATTTTCTGAGAAAGCTTCTGTCTTGTTTTTATAGGAAGTTATTTCCTTTACTACGATAGGCCTCAAAGAAGTGCAGTTATCCACTTGCAGTTTCTACAGAAAGAGTGTTTCAAACCTGAACTATCAAAGAAAGGTTCAACACTGTGGGTTGAATGCAAACATCACGAAGAAGGTTCTGAGAATGCTTCTGTTTAGTTCTGTGCGGTTTATCCCGTTTCCAACGAAATCCTCAGGGAGGCCCAAGTATCCGCTTGCAGATCCTACAGATAGTGTGTTTCCATACTGCTCCATCCAAAGGAATGTTCAGCCCTGTGAGTTAAACTCAGTCGTCACAAAGAGTTTTCTGAGAATGCTGCTGTCTAGTTTTTATATGAAGCTGTTTCCTTTACTACCATAGGCCTCAAAGCGGTCCATATCTCCACTTGCAGATTCTACACAACGAGAGTTTCCAAAGTGCTCTCTGAAAGGGAATGTTCACCTCTGTGACTTGAATGCAATCGTCACAAAGTAGTTTCTGAGAATGCATCTATCTAGTTCTTACGGGAAGATAATTCCTTTTCCACCTCAGGCCTCAAAGCCCTCCAAATATCCACTTGCAGATTCTAGAAAAAGAGTGTTTCAAAGCTTCTCTCTCAAAAGGAAAGTTCAACTCTGTGAGTTGAAAGCAAACATCACAAAGAAGTTTCTGAGAATGCTTCTGTTTAGCTTTTCTGTGAAGATTATCCCGTTTCCAACGAAATCTTCAAAGAGGCCCAAACATCCACTTGCAGATGCCACAGAAAGAGTGTTTGGAAACTGCTGTTTGAAAAGGAACCTTCAACTCTGTGAGTTGAATGCAGTCATCACAAACAAGTTTCTGACAATGCTTCTCTCTAGTTTTTACGTGACGATAATTCGTTTTCCACCACAGGCCGGAAATCTCTCCAAATGTCCACTTGCAGACCCTACGAAAAGCATGTTTCTCATCTGCTCTATGAAAAGCAACGTGAAACTCTGTGAGTTGAACACAAACATCACAGAGAAGTTTCTGAGAATGCTTCTGTTTAGTTTTTATGTGAAGATATTCCCGTTTCCAAAGACATCTTCAAAGAGGACCACATATCCACTTGCAGATTCCACAAAAAGAGAGATTCAAAACTGCTCTATCCATAGGAGGGTTCAACTCTTTGAGTTGAATGCAATCGTCACAGAGAAGTTTCTGAGAAGGCTTCTGTCTAGATTTTATTTGAAGATGTACCCGTTTCGAACGAAGGCCAAAGAGTGGTCCAAATATCCACCTGCAGATCCTACAAAAAGAGTGTTTCAAAGCTGAACTATCAAAGAAAGGTTCAACACTGTGGGTTGAATGCAAACATCACGAAGAAGGTTCTGAGAATGCTTCTGTTTAGTTCTGTGCGGTTTATCCCGTTTCCAACGAAATCCTCAGAGAGGCCCAAGTATCCGCTTGCAGATCCTACAGATAGTGTGTTTCCAAACTGCTCCATCCAAAGGAATGTTCAGCCCTGTGAGTTAAACTCAGTCATCACAAAGAGTTTTCTGAGAATGCTGCTGTCTAATTTTTATACGAAGCTGTTTCCTTTACTACCATAGGCCTCAAAGCGGTCCATGTCTCCACTTGCAGATTCTACACAACGAGAGTTTCCAAAGTGCTCTCTGAAAGGGAATGTTCACCTCTGTGACTTGAATGCAATCGTCACAAAGTAGTTTCTGAGAATGCATCTATCTAGTTCTGACGGGAAGATAATTCCTTTTCCACCTCAGGCCTCAAAGCCCTCCAAATATCCACTTGCAGATTCTAGAAAAAGAGTGTTTCAAAGCTTCTCTCTCAAAAGGAAAGTTCAACTTCTGTGAGTTGAAAGCAAACATCACAAAGAAGTTTCTGAGAATGCTTCTGTTTAGCTTTTCTGTGAAGATTATCCCGTTTCCAACGAAATCTTCAAAGAGGCCCAAACATCCACTTGCAGATGCCACAGAAAGAGTGTTTGGAAACTGCTGTTTGAAAAGGAACCTTCAACTCTGTGAGTTGAATGCAGTCATCACAAACAAGTTTCTGACAATGCTTCTCTCTAGTTTTTACGTGACGATAATTCGTTTTCCACCACAGGCCGGAAATCTCTCCAAATGTCCACTTGCAGACCCTACGAAAAGCATGTTTCTCATCTGCTCTATGAAAAGCAACGTGAAACTCTGTGAGTTGAACACAAACATCACAGAGAAGTTTCTGAGAATGCTTCTGTTTAGTTTTTATGTGAAGATATTCCCGTTTCCAAAGACATCTTCAAAGAGGACCACATATCCACTTGCAGATTCCACAAAAAGAGAGATTCAAAACTGCTCTATCCATAGGAGGGTTCAACGCTTTGAGTTGAATGCAATCGTCACAGAGAAGTTTCTGAGAAGACTTCTGTCTAGATTTTATTTGAAGATGTACCCTTTTCGAACGAAGGCCTAAGAGTGGTCCAAATATCCACCTGCAGATCCTACAAAAAGAGTGTTTCAAAGCTGAACTATCAAAGGAAGGTTCAACTCTGGGATTTGAATGCAAACATCACAAAGAATTTTGTGAGAATGCTTCCGTTTAGTTAGGTGCAGTTATCCCGTTTCCAACGAAATCCTCAGAGAGTTCCAAATATCCACTCGCAGATTCTACAGAAAGTGTGTTTCAAACCTTCTCCATCCAAAGGAATGTGCAACTCTGTGTGTTAAACTCAATCATCACAAAGTATTTTCTGAGAATGCTTCTGTCTAGATTTTATGTGAAGCTCTTCCCTTTACTACCATAGGCCTCAAAGCGCTCCAAATCTCCACTAGCAGATTCTACAATAAGAGTGTTTCCAAACTGCTCTGTCAATAGGAATGCTCCACTCCGTGAGGTGAATGCAATCATCACAAAGTAGTTTCTGAGAAGGCTTCTATCTAGTATTTATGTGGAGATATTTCCTTTTCCACCACAAACCTCACAGCCCTCCCAATGTCCACTTGCAGATTCTAGAAAAAGAGTGTTTCATAGCTGCTCTTTCCGAAGGAAAGTTCAACTCTGGAAGTTGAATACAAACATCACCAAGGAGTTCCTGAGAATGCTTCTGTGTAATTTTTATGTGAAGATGATTCCGTTTCCAACGAAACCTTCAAAGAGGTCTGCATGTCCCCTTGCAGATTCCAGAGAAAGAGAGTTTCAAAACTGCGCTCTCAAAAGGAGAGTTCAACTCTGTGAGTTGAATGCAGTCATCACAGAAAAGTTTCTGAGAATGCTCTGTCTAGATGTTATGTGAAGATATACCCGTTTCGAACGAAGTCCACAGTGTGGTCCGAATATCCACTTGTAGATCCTGCAAAAAGAGTGTTTCCAACCTGAACTTTCAAAGGAAGGTTCAATTCTGGGATTTGAATGCAAACATCACAAGAAGATTCTGAGACTGCTTTCTGTTTACTTAGCTGAAATTATCCCGTTTGCAAAGTATTCCTCAGACAGGTCCAAATATCCACTTGCAGATTCTACAGAAAGTGTGCTTCGAAACTACTCCATCCCAAGGAAAGTACTGCTCTGTGAGTTCAACACAATCATCCCAGAGAATTTTCTGAGAAAGCTTCTGTCTTGTTTTTATAGGAAGTTATTTCCTTTACTACGATAGGCCTCAAAGAAGTGCAGTTATCCACTTGCAGTTTCTACAAAAAGAGTGTTTCAAACCTGAACTAGCAAAGAAAGGTTCAACACTGTGGGTTGAATGCAAACATCACGAAGAAGCTTCTGAGAATGCTTCTGTTTAGTTCTGTGTGGTTTATCCCGTTTCCAACGAAATCCTCAGAGAGGCCCAAGTATCCGCTTGCAGATCCTACAGATAGTGTGTTTCCAAACTGCTCCATCCAAAGGAATGTTCAGCCCTGTGAGTTAAACTCAGTCTTCACAAAGGGTTTTCTGACAATGCTGCTGTCTAGTTTTTATATGAAGCTGTTTCCTTTACTACCATAGGCCTCAAAGCGGTCCATATCTCCACTTGCAGATTCTACACAACGAGAGTTTCCAAAGTGCTCTGTGAAAGGGAATGTTCACCTCTGTGACTTGAATGCAATCGTCACAAAGTAGTTTCTGAGAATGCATCTATGTAGTTCTTACGGGAAGATAATTCCTTTTCCACCACAGGCCTCAAAGCCCTCCAAATATCCACTTGCAGATTCTAGAAAAAGTGTGTTTCAAAGCTTCTCTCTCAAAAGGAAAGTTCAACTCTGTGAGTTGAAAGCAAACATCACAAAGAAGTTTCTGAGAATGCTTCTGTTTAGCTTTTCTGTGAAGATTATCCTGTTTCCAACGAAATCTTCAAAGAGGCCCAAACATCCACTTGCAGATGCCACAGAAAGAGTGTTTGGAAACTGCTGTTTGAAAAGAAACCTTCAACTCTGTGAGTTGAATGCAGTCATCACAAACAAGTTTCTGACAATGCTTCCCTCTAGTTTTTACGTGACGATAATTCGTTTTCCACCACAGGCCTGAAATCTCTCCAAATGTCCACTTGCAGACCCTACGAAAAGCATGTTTCTCATCTGCTCTATGAAAAGCAACGTGAAACTCTGTGATTTGGACACAAACATCACAGAGAAGTTTCTGAGAATGCTTCTGTTTAGATTTAATATGAAGATATTCCCGTTTCCAAAGACATCTTCAAAGAGGACCACATATCCACTTGCAGATTCCACAAAAAGAGAGATTCAAAACTGCTCTATCCATAGGAGGGTTCAACGCTTTGAGTTGAATGCAATCATCACAGAGAAGTTTCTGAGAAGGCTTCTGTCTAGATTTTATTTGAAGATGTACCCGTTTTGAACGAAGGCCAAAGAGTGGTCCAAATATCCACCTGCAGAGCCTACAAAAAGAGTGTTTCAAAGCTGAACTCTCAAAGGAAGGTTCAACTCTGGGATTTGAATGCAAACATCACAAAGAATTTTGTGAGAATGCTTCCGTTTAGTTAGCTGCAGTTATCCCGTTTCCAACGAAATCCTCAGAGAGGTCCAAATATCCACTCGCAGATTCTACAGAAAGTGTGTTTCAAACCTTCTCCATCCAAAGGAATGTTCAGCTCTGTGTGTTAAACTCAATCATCACAAAGTATTTTCTGAGAATGCTTCTGTCTAGATTTTATGTGAAGCTCTTCCCTTTACTACCATAGGCCTCAAAGCGCTCCAACTCTCCACTAGCCGATTCTACAAGAAGAGTGTTTCCAAACTGCTCTGTCAATAGGAATGCTCCACTCCGTGAGGTGAATGCAGTCATCACAAAGTAGTTTCTGAGAAGGCTTCTATCTAGTATTTATGTGGAGATATTTCCTTTTCCACCACAAACCTCACAGCCTTCCCAATGTCCACTTGCAGATTCTAGAAAAAGAGTGTTTCATAGCTGCTCTCTCCGAAGGAAAGTTCAGCTCTGGAAGTTGAATACAAACATCACCAAGGAGTTCCTGAGGATGCTTCCGTGTAATTTTTATGTGAAGATGATTCCGTTTCCAACGAAACCTTCAAAGAGGTCTGCATGTCCCCTTGCAGATTCCAGAGAAAGAGAGTTTCAAAACTGCGCTCTCAAAAGGAGTGTTCAACTCTGTGAGTTGAATGCAGTCATCACAGAAAAGTTTCTGAGAATGCTTCTGTCTAGATGTTATGTGAAGATATACCCGTTTCGAACGAAGTCCACAGAGTGGTCCGAATATCCACTTGTAGATCCTGCAAAAAGAGTGTTTCCAACCTGAACTTTCAAAGGAAGGTTCCATTCTGGGATTTGAATGCAAACATCACAAGAAGATTCTGAGACTGCTTCTGTTTAGTTAGCTGAAATTATCTGGTTTCCAACGAATTCAGCAGAGAGGTCCAAATATCCACTTGCAGATTCTACAGAAAGTGTGTTGAGAAACTACTCCTTCCCAAGGAAAGTACAGCTCTGTGAGTTCAACTCAGTCATCCCAGAGAATTTTCTGAGAAAGCTTCTGTCTTGTTTTTATAGGAATTTATTTCCTTTACTACGATAGGCCTCAAAGAAGTGCAGTTATCCACTTGCAGTTTCTACAAAAAGAGTGTTTCAAACCTGAACTATCAAAGAAAGGTTCAACACTGTGGGTTGAATGCAAACATCACGAAGAAGGTTCTGAGAATGCTTCTGTTTAGTTCTGTGCGGTTTATCCCGTTTCCAACGAAATCCTCAGGGAGGCCCAAGTATCTGCTTGCAGATCCTACAGATAGTGTGTTTCCAAACAGCTCCGTCCAAAGGAATGTTCAGCCCTGTGAGTTAAACTCAGTCGTCACAAAGAGTTTTCTGAGAATGCTGCTGTCTAGTTTTTATATGAAGCTGTTTCCTTTACTACCATAGGCCTCAAAGCGGTCCATATCTCCACTTGCAGATTCTACACAACGAGAGTTTCCAAAGTGCTCTCTGAAAGGGAATGTTCACCTCTGTGACTTGAATGCCATCGTCACAAAGTAGTTTCTGAGAATGCATCTGTCTTGTTTTTATATGAAGTTATTTCCTTTACTATGATAGGCCTCAAAGAAGTACAATTATCCACCTGCAGTTTCTACAAAAAGAGTGTTTCAAACCTGAACTATCAAAGAAAGGTTCAACACTGTGAGTTGAATGCAAACATCACGAAGAAGGTTCTGAGAATGCTTCTGTTTAGCTTTTCTGTGAAGATTATCCCGTTTCCAACGAAATCTTCAAAGAGGTCCAAATATCCTCTTCCAGATTCCACAGAAAGAGTGTTTGGAAACTGATGTTTGAAAAGGAACCTTCAACTCTGTGAGTTGAATGCAATCATCACAAACAAGTTTCCGACAATGCTTCTCTCTAGTTTTTACGTGACGATAATTCGTTTTCCACCACAGGGCTGAAATCTCTCCAAATGTCCACTTGCAGACCCTACGAAAAGCATGTTTCTCATCTGCTCTATGAAAAGCAACGTGAAACTCTGTGAGTTGAACACAAACATCACAGAGAAGTTTCTGAGAATGCTTCTGTTTAGTTTTTATGTGAAGATATTCCCGTTTCCAAAGACATCTTCAAAGAGGACCACACATCCACTTGAAGATTCCACAAAAAGAGAGATTCAAAACTGCTCTATCCATAGGAGGGTTCAACGCTTTGAGTTGAATGCAATCGTCACAGAGAAGTTACTGAGAAGGCTTCTGTCTAGATTTTATTTGAAGATGTACCCTTTTCGAACGAAGGCCAAAGAGTGGTCCAAATATCCACCTGCAGATCCTACAAAAAGAGTGTTTCAAAGCTGAACTATCAAAGGAAGGTTCAACTCTGGGATTTGAATGCAAACATCACAAAGATTTTTGTGAGAATGCTTCCGTTTAGTTAGGTGCAGTTATCCCGTTTCCAACGAAATCCTCAGAGAGGTCCAAATATCCACTCGCAGATTCTATAGAAAGTGTGTTTCAAACCTTCTCCATCCAAAGGAATGTTCAGCTCTGTGTGTTAAACTCAATCATCACAAAGTATTTTCTGAGAATGCTTCTGTCTAGATTTTATGTGAAGCTCTTCCCTTTACTACCATAGGCCTCAAAGCGCTCCAAATCTCCACTAGCAGATTCTACAACAAGAGTGTTTCCAACCTGCTCTGTCAATAGGAATGCTCCACTCCGTGAGGTGAATGCAATCATCACAAAGTAGTTTCTGAGAAGGCTTCTATCTAGTATTTATGTGGAGATATTTCCTTTTCCACCACAAACCTCACAGCCCTCCCAATGTCCACTTGCAGATTCTAGAAAAAGGGTGTTTCATAGCTGCTCATTCCGAAGGAAAGTTCAACTCTGGAAGTTGAATACAAACATCACCAAGGAGTTCCTGAGAATGCTTCTGTGTAATTTTTATGTGAAGATGATTCCCTTTCCAACGAAACCTTCAAAGAGGTCTGCATGTCCCCTGCATGTCCCCTTCAAAACTCTGCAAGTTTTGAAACAGAGAACGAGAGTTTCAAAACTGCGCTCTCAAAAGGAGTGTTCAACTCTCTGAGTTGAATGCAGTCATCACAGAAAAGTTTCTGAGACTGCT